>NC_000007.14:70991627-71294657 GCF_000001405.40 Homo sapiens
TTGTCCTCCCAAAGTGCTGGGATTACAGGCATGAGCCACCGCTCAACTAAACTCTTAATCATTTCAGCTGAATATGCTCTTCTTCCAGCTTTTCCTCTCAGTCGATGTCACATCCATGTATGTTTGCTGGTTCCTTGAACACACCAAGTTGTTTCTGATGGCCATGTACTCATTCCTAGCATCTTCTTGGCCTCTAACGTCCACCTGCATATTTCTTGATTATCTTTCAAGTGTTAGCTGAAAGGTCACTCCTCAAGAGAGTCACTTTTCCTCTCCAGCATCTCATCCTCCTCTTCTGTTGGTACCTCCTCTTATCTCTTGATAAGACAGGCTGTCAAGGTATCTAATTTCCCCAATCCATTCCCAGAACCCTTCCAAGGAATTGGCACGTGACCAAGGTAAGCCCATCAGACTCTGTTCCAGAAATTTGAGTTTTTTCCAAGGGAGTAAAATTGTGAGAACCCTTTTCTTTTCTTTTTTTTTCTTTCTTTCTTTCTTTCTTTCTTTCTTTCTTTCTTTCTTTCTTTCTTTCTTTCTTTCATTTCTTTACTTTCTTTCTTTCCTTTCTTTCTTCTTTCTTTTCTTTCCCTCCCTCCCTCCCTCTCTTTTTCTCTTTCCTTTCTTTCTTTCTTTTTCTCTCTCTCTCTTTCTTTCTTTTTTTTTTTTTGAGTTGTAGTCTCTCTGTTGCCCAGGCTGGAGTATGGTGGCATAACCACACCTGGGCTCAAACAATTTTCCTGCCTCAGCCTCCTGAGTAGCTGGGACAACTGGCACATGCCACCACACCCAGCTAATTTTTTAAATTCTTTGTAGAAATGGGGTCTTGCTATGTTGCCTAGGCTGGTTTCCAACTCCTGGCCTGAAGAGATCCTTCCACCTTGGACTCCCAAAGTGTTGGGATTACAGGCATGAGCTGCTGTGCCCAGACAGGAACATAATATATAATATATATTATACATAATTTTAATTTTTTATTTAATTTTATGTATTATATATAATTTCAATTTTTTATGTATTTTTGGTTAATAGTTTGGTTAATAGTTAAGGCGCAGGTGATTTTTGATTACGTGGATGAATTGCATAGTGATGAAGTCTCGGTTTCAGTATACCTGTCACCCAAATAGTGTACGTCATACCAAATAGGTGATTTTTTTCAATCTCTCATCCCCCTACCACCCTGCCCATTTGTGAGTCTCCAATGTCCATTATACCATTCTGTATGCCTTTGCATACCCATGGCTTAGCTCCTACTTATGAGTGAGAATATGCGGTGTTTGGCTTTCTGTTCCTGAGTTACTTCGGTTAGGATAATGACCTTCGGTTCCATACAGGAACACATTTCTTTCGATGGTGGTACCCTCAAAGTCTGCCCAGTGATTCCTGCTCCCAGATCCCAGAACTTCCATGGTTTTTATCCTTCCCATGGCTTAGTTGTTCAGCATTTACTTTGATTCTCTACCGCATCTCCTTTGAATAAATTCCTTATGCTTACATAAATTAGCACTTTTCTACTGCTTACCCTCAATGAAGCCTAATTGATACACATGCTAAATTAGGCTGCACCTGTTATTGTGTTGCATAGCACCTCTATTAGTTTCCCAAGGCTGTCCCAAACAAGGTACACAAACTCGGTGCCTTAAAACAACAGCAATTTATTCTCTCATGGTTCTGGAAGCTAGAATTCCCAAATCAAGGTGTTAGCAGGACCATTCTTCCTCCAAAGCCTCTGGTGGAAGATCCTCGCCTACTTCTGCCTAGCCTTTGGTGGTCCCAGGTGTTCTCAGGCTGGTAGAAACATAACTCCAATCTCTGATTCCATTCTCATATGGTCATCTTCCCTCTCAGCATCTCCATCGTCATATTGCATCCTCCTCTCTGTATCTCTCTTCTTAAAACAGCACAGTCATATTGGATTAAGAGCCCACTCTATTCCAGTATGACTTCATCTTAACTAATTATACTGCAATGACCCTATTTCCAAACAAAGTCACATTCTGAGGTGCCAGGGGCTTAGGATTCCAATATACCTTTTGGGGGACACAATTCAACCCATAACAGCATCCTATTTTTTTGCAGCATTTTCATTGTTTACAATTATATATATATATTTAAAACAAATTTTTAGAGATGGGGTCTTTCTGTGTTGCCCAGGCTGGAGTGCAGTGGCACAATCAGAGCTCACTGCAGCCTTGAACTCCTGGGCTTAAGCAATCCTTCTGTGTCAGCCTCCTAAAGTGCTGGGATTATAAGTGTGAGCCACCATACCCAACCATTACAATTATTTGTTTATTCGTAGTTTTGTTTAAAGCTTGTGTTTCCTATTAGTCCACGAGGGCAAAAACTGTGTATGCTTTATCATCTCTGTCTAGCCAGTGCCTAGCACCATCCCTGGCATAACTATGATTTCTACACAGCACCTCGCTAATATCTGGCACATCAAAAACTTCAAGAAATAACCAATTATTTTGATTGTTTAGAATTGTTGGAATGCTTTACATTGTAAGCATGTTGTCAGAATCTGTCGTATTCTGCATATGTGTAAGGAACAAGGGAAAGAGGCTTGGGTTAAAATACCCAAGGGCCATGTGTATTCTTTAAATATTAAGAGTCATGTTTGGCTGTGGAATGGAATGGCCGTGCCTGCCCCCAGGTGTCTCTTAGGGGACCACCAGCTGCTGTGTAAGAACGAGGCCCCATTGTGATGCTGCGGTGCACAGGCAGCCAGCGGGCCGTCTGGGGAGAGTGTCTGCATCCCTGCCAATGCTCATCTTTTACCTCTGTCATCCCTTTCCCACTGGCAGGGCTGCCTCTGTCTGGCTCAGGGATAGAATATGAATCAGGCCATCCCTGGCATCCAGAATTAATCATTTCTCCTTCAAATTGATTGTGTACCCCCAGAGCCATTGAATTGGGCCAGAAACCTCTGAAATCTATTTTCTAAAAATATTTTCCAACTTGGCAAAAATGTTTCTGTTGGTGAGGAAGGAAAGAAGTGAGTTAAGGAAGATGTTGTTAAAGTTATGAAATAAAGGGAACTATTGTGAAGGGTTGAGATGACATCTGACTGCTCATCAGTAGGAGAATGACCAAACGATAGTTGGAGAGGTGGGGACACCAGTCAGGATGGGGAATTTTAAATATGTAGTGGCGCCTGTCTGGCGGTGGGTGGTCAAAGTTTCTCTAGCAGGGCTCAGTCACCTGAGAAGTAGAATGTGGAATTCATCCAGGAGTGGGTTCGTTTTGTGCTGCTATAACAGAATACCTGGGACTGGATATTTTATAAAGAATAGCGATTTATTTCTTACAGTTCTAGAGGCTGGGAAGTCCAAGGTCAAGGGATCAACATCTGGCAAGGGCCTTCTTGCTGTGTCATCCCATGACAGAAGGAAGAAGGGTAAGTGAGCACACACAAGAGAGAAGAAGGGAGCTGAACTCACTTTTTGTTTGGAATCCACTCTCAAGATAACTAACCCACTCCCAAAATAACAGCATTAATCCATCCAGGAGGGCACAGCCCTCATGATGCAATTATCTCTTAAAGATCTCACTTCTCAACACTGTTGAATTGAAAATTAAGTTTCCAATACATGAACTCTGGGGGATACATTCAAATCATAGAAGGTGGGTTTATGGTAGGTGCGGTATGATGGCCTGGGGGGCAAGGATTTTAAGGAAGAAAACTAAAGGGAAGAAACTAAAGAAAGCTAGTGTACTAGAGGAAGAAATGGAGGCATCAAGGGAATGGAAGTCTTCATATAGCATAATAAAGCATGTGGTAGCATAAGGAAGGGAGCACTAAAAGGAGATGAGGTTATAATGTAGAGCTTTAGAGCTTAAGATTTCAGGAGTGCAAGGGTTCAGGGCAAAAAGAAAGATCCCTTGGTATTGGTGGCTGAAAAGGACTGGAGGTAGAAGTCACTGGAATTGAAGAAGTCCAAGATCCGTGAAGTGAGGGTGGCAGATGTGGAGGAGGGACAAATCACCTTCCTCAACATCTAAGTTTCCCAGACACTGTATTCTGCCCACACTTGTGAGAAATGGCTCTTGTCATGGTCAACAATGAACTCCCATTGCCAAATATAATTGCCAATGCTCATACCACACCTCTTGGCAATATTTGACAAGTTGACCACTCTCTTCCTTGAAACGTTTCTTTGCTTGGTGCTTGGACACCCTGAGCTTTTGGTTTCCAGTTCTCCTGGCTATCCTTCTCCACTGGCCACTCCATGAGTTGCTCCTGGTCTCCTTTGCTAGCTTCTCTTCCGGGCCTTCTAGTGCTGACATGCCCAGACTCCATCCTCTTAGCTCTCCTGTACACTCCCTAGGTGACACCTTCAATACCATGGCTTAAATGCTGTCCATATCTGATGACTTCCAATTTTATCCCTATTCTCTATGTTGCTTCTGAACTCCAGGCACCTATATCCAAAGGCTTTCTGGATATTTCCACTTAGGTGCCTGTCTTAGTTTATTTTGTGCTGCTATAACAGAATACCTAAGACTGGGTAGTTTATAATGAATAGAAATTGAATTTTCATGGTACTGGAGGCTGGGAATCCAAGATCAAGGCACCGATAAGTTTGCTGTCTTGTAAAAGCCCAGTCTTTGCTACCAGGATGGTACTATGTACACCACGTCCTCTGGAAGGAAGAACACTGTTTCTCACATGGTAGAAGAGCAGAAGGCAGGAAGCTCACTACCACTAGCCCTTCTTGTAGCAGTATTAATTCATTCATAAGGGCAGAGCTCTCATAACTTAAACACTTCCCATTAGGCTCCACCTCTCAACACTGTTGCATTAAAATTAAGTTTCAACAGGAGTTTTGAATAGGATGAAAACATTCCAGACAGCAGTGCCTAATTGACACCTCATATTTAACATGTCAAAAATAGAAGTAATAGAAGTCGTGACTTTCCCCCACCCAAACTTCTACCTCCACTGTTCCTCATCTTAAGAATTTGCAACTCCAGCTGGGTGTGGTGGCTGCCACCTGTAATCTCAGCACTTTGGGAGGCCAAGGCAGGCAGATCACTTGAGGTCAAGAGTTTGAGACCAGCCTGGCCAACATAGCGAAATCCCATCTCTACTAAAAATACAAAAAAATTAGCAGGTGTGGTGGCATGCACCTGTAATCACAGCTACTTGGGAAGCTGAGGCATGACATTTGCTTGAATCCAAGAGGTGGAGGTTGCAGTGAGTTGAGATCACACCACAGCACTCCAGCCTGGGCAACAGAGTGAGACACGAGACTCTGTCAAAAAAAAAAAAATTGTGACTTTATCCTTATAATTCTTCAGGTTTGGGGTAAAATGCTTAGCTTCTTTCTAGTTTTATTTCTTAACTACAAAACAGAGTAAATGATGGTACTTACTGCATAAGGCTCCTATAATGACTAATCGAATTATTGCATTCACTGCACTTAGCATTGTGTCCCAACTCAGAAAAATGTTCAATAGTTGTTACTTATGATTGCTATTTATGTATTTATGCAAAATTCTGACTCTGAATTGTCTGCAGCTAACTGATAATGAGCTAACAATAATGTAAAACGGAGTTGTTGTTCTTGCTTAACAACCATTAAGTCTGGCTTAATAAAAAAGAGTTTAAGATCAGTACAGGCATGTAGGATTGGGAGGGGTAAGAAATTCCTTATTGCTGTCTCTGATTTTGTTTTGGAGGTCAAAACATCTGGATAAAAAATGAGCATTAGTCTGTATAAAAACAAATATTTATACATTCAGAAATTCTGAGCCCATGAGGCCAAAATGTCTGGTCTTTGGCAATCTTTGGAAAATCTGTTCCCCAGGCAGCCCATGTATTGCTGGGGCCCCAGCATAGTTTTGTAGCCAAAGGCCCGGGATACAGGGTGAGTGGGTGGTGAAGAGAGATCTCTGGCAAAGCTTTACTCCACTGTCTGGAATTTAAACAAATACTGTTTTAAATTATACAAATAGTTCTTAGCAAACAGATGTTTAACATTACATAGCTGTAATATAACAATAATAGGCTAAATTTTCCATGTAACCAATAGAAAAGTGAAAGAGAACCATCCACTTCTCTTGGAGTATGGCTGCAAAGGTTTTGCCGCTGGTATTTTGCACCTTCTTTTGCCTTTTCTCTAAACCCTTTGGTATATTTTCTTACCAGGAGCAGCATGTTATTTCAGAGTCCTTGTTTGTGCCTCGTTCAGTGTTGTCATATTGGCTAACACCAGTCCTCTTGTAAATGGATCTGGAATTGGGGAAAATAGCCTTCCTTTTTTTTTTTTTTTGTTTTGTTTTGAGACAGAGTCTCGCTGTGTCACCCAGGCTGGAGTGTAGTGGCGCGATGTCAGCTCACTGCAAGCTCTGCCTCCCGGGTTCACGCCATTCTCCTGCCTCAGCCTCCTGAGTAGCTGGGACTACAAGTGTCCGCCACCACGCCTGGCTAATTTTTTTGTGTTTTTTTTTTAGTAGAGACGGGGTTTCACCGTGTTAGCCAGGATGGTCTCAATCTCCTGACCTCGTGATCTGCCCGCCTCAGCTTCCCAAAGTGCTGGGATTACAGGCGTGAGCCACCAAGCCTGGCTGAAAGTAGCCTTCTTACTCCTGTGCCTGGAGAATTCTCTTCTGTATATAGAAAGGCCATCCTTCTCACCAAGATGTGGTTTTGGGTGTGATGCCTTTAAAGGATGGAGGAGAATTGGGAATCACCCTCTTGGGCAATGCAATCAGTTGCCTCATTCTTAGTGGTCCATGGGGTGATGGATGTCCCAGCCAGGTTCCCCTCATCTCCAGGCTGATATTTATAGCAACTCTGGGGAGAAGGCTTTACATTTTAAAAAGAGAAATCAATATACCTAAACTGCTAAATTTAAACATTAGGTGGATATCAAACATAGAATCTAAGAGAATAAAAACAAATAAATGAAGAGATGAACTTTCCAGGAGACACTGCAATCCATTTCTCTGAGTGCTTTAAGTGACTGTTTCTATAGTCATGAATATTTTTTGCCCCAAAAGACTCTTGCCATCTAAGTGGAAGGGGAATATAGGGAGTTGGAGAAGAAGAAAGAGAAGTAGGCTTTGGCTATGCATGTTTACAAATCCCCACCAATGAAATGAGCATTCTGCCAGGGTGCTGTGCACACACCACCTCGGAGAGCTATACCTGCAAGATGCACCAATTTCATCTTCAGCTTATCTGTAAATCTATGATATGATTTGTCTGTGTCCCTACCCAAATCTCATCTTGAACTGTAGTTCCCCTAATCTCCATGTGTCATGGGAGGGACCCAGTAGGAGGTAATTGAACCATGGGGGCGGTTACCTGCATGCTGTTCTCGTGATAGTGAGTGAGTTCTCACAAGATGTGATGGTTTTATAAGGGGCTTTCCCCACTCCTTACTCTGCACTTCTCCTTGCTGCCATCATGTCAAGAAGGATGTGTTTGCCTTCCCCTTCCACCATGACTGTAAGTTTCCTGAGGCTTCCCCAGTCATGCTGAACTGTGAGTAAACTAAACCTCTTTCCTTTATAAATTACCCAGTTTCAGGTATGTCTTTATTAGCAGCATGAGAACAGACTAATACAATCTATGAATAAATACTTGGTATTTATGCCCATGCTCTAACAGAAGACTGGGGCTTTAGCTTCTATATTTTCTATGAATCCATCAAGAATGAATAAAGTAGATTGGGTTGGGGGAGTGTTCTACTGTTCCACAGCAGAACTTGTGGGAAGTTTAGTCACTGGATTCTGCTGGCCAGCAAAAAAATATAGGAAGATTCTATTAAGAAAATTAAAGAGAGTTAAAAAGAAAAAAAGAAAGACAAAGAGAGGAAGAAGAAAGGAAAAAAAAAAAAACAAAAAAGCAAACAAAAAAAAAACGAGAGAAGAAATAATGTGTCCCCAAAGAGCAAAAGTGTATATGGCGAGTGAGGGGCTTCAGAGCCCAATGTAAACAAAAGGTTTGAAACACAGGAGCCAATATGTGCTCTTGAAAGAAAATTCCTCCTTTCAAAGTAGCCCCTTGAAAATGAAGTTTTTGCATCCTTTTCTTGGAAATAATTAGACAATTTGATCATGCATCTTAAAAATGTTTACAAAATGTGTTTTCTTGTTGCACCTTGTAAACATTGCATTTTTTTTCTTTTTCTTTTTTTTTTTTTTTCCAAACTGAAGGCTTATGGCTACCCTGAATCGAGCAAGTCTACTGGTGCCATATTTCCAGCAGCATGTGCTCACTTTGTGTCTCTGTGTCGCATTTTGATTATTTTTGTGATATTTCAGACTTTTTCATTATTATATTTGTTATGGTGATCTGTGATCAGTTATCTTTGATGTTACTATTATACTAATTTTGGGGTTCCATGAGCCATACTCATATAAGATCATGAACCTAATTGATAAATATGTGTGTTTCAACTGCTCCACCAACCGACCATTCTCCCATCTCTCTCTCTCTTTCCTTGGGCTTCCTTATTCCCTGAGACACAACAATATTTAAATCAGGCCAACTAATAATCCTACAATGGCCTCTAAGTGTTCAAGTGAAAGGAAGAGTAACACATCTCTCTCTTTAAATCAAAAGCTAGAAATGATTAAGTTTAGTGAGGAAGGCATGTCAAAAGTCAAAACAAGCTGGAAGCTAGGCCTCTTGTACCAACTAGTCAAGCAGTGCACAGGAACAGTTCTTGATGGAAATTAAAGTGCTACTCCAGTGAACACATGGATTGTAAGAACCTGAAACAGACTTACTGCTGATGAGGGAAAAGTTTTGGTGGCTTGGATAGCAATAAAACCAGTCACAACATTCCCTTAAGCCAAAACCTAATCCACAAGAAGGTCCTAACTCTCTTCAATTCTATGAAGGCTGAGAGAGGTGAAGAAGCAGCTGAAGAAAAGTTGACACTAGCAGAGGTGGGGTCATGAGGTTTAAGGAAAGAAGCCAGCTCTATAACATAAAAATGCAAGGTGAAGCAGCAAGTGCTGATGGAGAAGCTTTAGCAAGTTATCCAGAAGATCTAGCTAAGTTCATTGATGAAGGTGGGCTATACTCAACAAGAGACTTGAAGCTTTAAAGCTTCAAAATACAAATTGACTCTCTTGTTAGGGGCTAATGGAGCTGATGACCGTAGGTTGGAGCCACTGCTCATTTACCATTCTGAAAACCCTACAGCCCTTAAGAATTATGCTGAATCTACTCTGCCTGTGCTCTAAAAATGGAAAAACAAAGCCAGAATGACAGCACGTCTGTTTACAGCATGGTTTACTGAATATTTTAAGCCCATTGTTGATACCTACTGCTCAGAAAAAAAGGATTCTTTCCAAAATATGACTGCTCACTGACAATGCAGCTGGTCACCCAAGAGCTCTGATGGAGAGGTACGAGAAGACTAATGCTGTTTTCGTGTCTGCTAACACAACCGCCATCCTGCAGTTCATGGATCAAGGAGTAATTTTGACTTTCAAGCCTTATTATTTAAGAAATATATTTTGTAAGGCAATAGTTGCCATAGATATTGATTCCTCTGATGGATCTAGGCAAAGTGAATTGAAAACTTCATGGAAATAATTCACCATTCTAGATGCCATTAAAAACATTCATAATTTATGGGAGGAGATCAAAACATCAATATAACAGGAGTTTGGAATGAGTGGATTCCAACCTTCTTGGTTAACTCTGAGGGTTTGAAGACTTCAGTGGAGGAAGGAACTGCAGATATGGTGGAAATAGCAAGAGAACTAGAATTAGCCTGAAGATGTGACTGAAACTGTTATGATCTCATGATCAACCTTGAACAGATGAGGAGCTGCTTCTTATGGATGAGCAAATAAAGTGGTTTCTTGAGGTGGAATCTACTCCTGGTGAAGATGCTGTGAACATTGTTGAAATGACTGCAAAGTTCTTAGAATACTCCATAAACTTAGTTGATAAAACATTGGTGGGATTTAAGAGAATTGACTCCAATTTTGAAGGAAGTTCTACTTGGGTAAAATGCCATCAGACAGCATTGCATGCTACAGAGAAATTTCATGAAAGAAAGAGTCAATGAATATGGTAAACTTTATTGTTGTCTTAATTTAAGAAATTGCCACAGCCACTGCAAAGTTCAGCAACCACCACCCTGATCAATAAGCAGCCATCAACATTGAGGCAAGACTCTTCACCAGCAAAAAGATTTATGACTTGCTGAAGGCCCAGATGACTGTTAACATTTTTCATCAATAATTTTACATTAAGGAATGTACATTGTTCTTTTAGACATAATACTATTGCACACTTAATAGACTACAGTATAGTATAAACATAACTTTTATATGCACAGGTAAACAAAAAAAATTGCATGACTTGTGTGATGGTTAATATTGAATGTCAACTTGAGTGGATTGAAAGATGCAAAGTATTGTTCCTGGGTGTGTCTGTGAGGGTGTTGCCAAAGGAGATTAATATTTGAGTCAGTGGACTGGGAGAGGCAGACTCACCTTTAATGTGGTAGGCACTATCTAATCAGCTGCCAGTGCAGCTAGAATAAAGCAGGCAGAAAAAGGTGGAAAGAGCAGACTTGCTGAGTCTTCCAGCCTTCATCTTTCTCCCGTGCTGGATGCTTCCTGCCCTTGAACATCAGACTCCAAGTTCTTCAGCTTTTGGACTGTTGGACTTACATCAGTGGTTTTCCAGGGGCTCTCAGGCCTTCTGCCACAGATTGAAGGCTGCACTGTCAGCTTCCCTACTTTTGAGGTTTTGGGACTTGGACTGGCTTCCCTGCTCCTCAGCTTGCAGACAGCCTATTGTGGGACTTCACCTTGTGATCGTGTGAGTCAATACTCCTTAATAAACTCCCCTTCATATATACATCTATCCTGTTAGTTCTGTCCCTCTAGAGAACCCTGACTAACACAACTTGCTTTATTGAAATATCTGCTCTACTACAGTGGTCTGCAGTTGAACCTGCAATATCTCCAAGGTGATTCTGTAATTTTTAGTCATTCCTTTATTAGAAACCAAATTTAGTGGTGACATATGAAATCTTTAGCACCCAAAGATGTGCATCTTGACGCTCTTTGTGCTTTTGAATTACCAGGTGAGTTTTGAAAAAAAATACAGGTGCCTGGGCCTCAACCCACACCCTGAAGTGGAGCCAAAAGTGTAACTGGTGGTGGAGGTTTTTTGTATGTGTTTTTTTTTTTTTTTGAGAAGTTGTCTCGTTCTGCAAGCTCCGCCTCCCGGGTTCATGCCATTCTCCTGCCTCAGCCTCCCGAGTAGCTGGGACTACAGGTGCCCACCACCATGCCCGGCTAATTTTTTGTATTTTTAGTGCAGACGGGGTTTCACCGTGTTAGCCAGGATGGTCTCGATCTCCTGACCTTGTGATCCGCCCGCCTTGGCCTCCCTAAATGCTGGGATTACAGGCGTGAGCCAGTGCACCCGGCCTTGTATGTTTGTTTTAAGCTCCCTGGGTGATTTGAATGCACAGTCTGATCGGAGAACCTCCATCGGATATCTCTGCATGACTGAATCACACTCTTCAGAACTAACTCGAATTTTACTCCCACTGAGAGACTTCCTTATTTCATAAACCCCTGGCCCATACCCCACCCCCGATACTCCATATATTTTTCTGTTTGACTTTCTTCCAGGTTTGCTATCTATCTTTCTCTCTGTACTCATTTTCTCTCGTAGGACTTTATTTCATTATTTTCTCTTTGGTCTTTAGTTCTGAGGATTCCACTTATCGTATGGGGTGAGGGTTTGGGGAGCATGTGATGAAGTGGTGGGTGATTGGTTGCTAGTTATTACAATTCTAGCTAGAGAGACCATTGAGATAGTTCTGATGGCTTCAATGGCTTCCCTCATTGACCACAACCATAGTCAGGGATGCCATCTCCATGCCTATGGTGGCTCCATGATTTACCTACGACAGGCTTTTCAGCCCCCTCGGTCACTGCACATCTATTTGGGGGATGCTATAAGAACTTCCCAGGCTTTATTGACTCACAACTCACCTTTTCCTCCCTTTCCCCTTCTGGTGGTAGCTGCCTGGTTAGAAGCCACACTGAGATATGCTCACCAGAATCCTCCCCAGCTACCACTTTCCAAAGTGTAAGCCAGGAAGTTGTGCCCCCTCTTATTTCCTGGGGAGTTTGAGGTGGGTTTTCACTCTGAAATTATTTCTAACCTCTTTGGTTCATTTTGTCAGCTTGGGAGAGGAAGAATCACTAAGCCTGCTTGACTCCACTATCTTTATCATGACTTGGCAAAGGCAGTTTAGTAACACAGTAAAAAGCTAATGTCATGGTGTTCAATAAAAATCCCAGGCACCAATATATGCAGGTTATATGATATTGACCATATTTAATGTAAAAAGATGAGAAGAAATACAACAAAATCATAACAGGAATGGACTTTTTATGCAGAGATTATAAAAGAGGTTGATTTAAAACTTCAGTAATTCTCAAGTTTTTCAAAACATGCTTATTTTGCTTTTATAGGGATACAAAAAATTGTGGGGATTAAAAAAAACTTTACAAAATGAAAAGCACAAAACAGTCCTCTCTGGAGACCATACCCTTTCTTGTATAGTCCTGTCATTGGTCAAATAGTTAACTTCCCTTTTTCAGAATTGTCTAGATTCTGTGGTCTCTTTTCTAATTAAAGCTCATCTTCATCTAAAGACTTGGGCCAAATTTGGTGAATGAATGAGTGATTAGGCTGGGAAATGCCATGTAACCCCTCAGAGGGTTAAAAAGTATGGCTTTGCAGTTGACTTTGGGGTACCCTCCCAGGGACAAGCCCAGAGATGCTTTGCACACTCTCTTAGTCCATTTCATGCTGCTATGCAGAATACTACACTGGGTAATTTATAAAGAACAGAAAGTTATTTCATCACAGCTCTGGAGGTTGGGAAGTCCAAGATCAAGGCATCAGCATCCGGTGAGGGCCTTCTTGCTGTGTCTTAACATGGCAGAGGTGGAGGAGTGTGAGAGAGAGAGAAAGAGAGACAAAGAGAGAGATACAGACAGAGAGAGAGAGAGGAGCTGAATTTATCCTCACTCCCATGATAACAAACCCATTCCCAAAATAACAGCATTAATCCTAATCACCTCTTAAAGATCTCATCTCCCAGTACTGTTGCATTGGGGATTAAGTCTCCAGCACATAAAGTTTGGGGACTACATTCAAACCATAGCAGACACTGACAACAGCTAAAAATGCATCAAGTGCATACTCTGTGCCAGGCACTGTCCCAAGTGCTTTAGACACCCAAGTTTACTTAATATATAGGGCAACCCTATACATATGGAAATACTCCAATTCCAATTTGCAAATGAGAAAACTGAGGTTAAGTAACCTGCTTAAGATCAGAGGACAAGTGACAGAGTATGAGATATACCCTGATGGGCACTTATTTCTACCACTTATTACCATCAAGGAGCCTAAAATGTAGCTGCGGAAATAAAATAATTGAAACAACTATAATGCAAGGCAGAATCTGACAAATGGTTCAAGAGAAGAATAAATCCAGGGCTGAGAAAAGGATTCTGTCCAGAGGAAGGGGGGTTGGTGAGGGAGGACATAAAATGGTCAAGGAGAATGGGCTGTCTTAAATCAGAACACGTGCTTTCTTAAATATGCTGTCTTGACTCTGAACTTCTGACTCACACTTTCAACCGCTGTTCTCTACTAACACTTGTAGCAAGATGGCAGCATCATTAGGAAGATTCAAGGTAACGTCCCCAGGAGACAACTTAGACAGAGCAACAGAAAATTCACATGGGTGTGAGCAGACCTGATAGTAATTTTTCATGCAAATTGGTTAACCACAGAGTGATATGTACAAATGTGGGGGAGGATTGGCGTGGCAGTGTGTTACCCGTATTGGGTACTGACTTATCCTCAAGCACATGAACCACTGACCATTGCTAGCACCCAGCAAGGTCAATCCTTACCACTGAGAGTGCTTCAGAATTAATCCAGTGCCATCCTAAAGACTCTCCTCTGCCATTCTGCTGTGACTGGGGAAAGTGGTCAGGCAGGGCAGGATTGAGGTCGTGCTGTCATTTGTCCCCTTTAGGACTCATTATCTCACAAGCATGCACCTGCACACACACCCCTGTCCCTGAGCACTAGCAGCCTGTTGGGAACTTAGTACTTAGCATGTTTTGGAAACAAGAATCAGGCTTCTCTACTTCCCCTGAGGACGGCTGTGTGAACATGTAATGTGGAACAGTTCTTATGTTTCTCACATTCCTCCCTTCCTCTGTCTGTTTCTATCCTCTTCTCACTTTCTGTTACCTTGCTGGCATTCCTTCCTTTCATTCTCCTTTCTTCATTCATCCATCTCCCCTTCAAACTGTGGTTCTTAGTCTTTTGAGAGGTCACAGATGCCTTTGAGACTCCAGCAAAAGCTGTGGATCTCCTCCCCCTTAAAATAGACAGATCACACACCCATTCCTGAATGTGTATGCATGAAGCTTTTCCATAGACCCATTATGAGTCTCTCTATGCCAGCAGAGATCCCTGGTTGATATGGTTTGGCTGTGTCTCCACCCAAATCTTATCTTGAATTATAGCCCCCTTAATTCTCACATATTGTGGGAGGGACCCACTGGGAGGTAATTGAATCATGTGGGTGGGTCGCTCCCGTGCTGTTCTTGTGATAGTGAGTAAGTCTCATGAGATCTGATGGTTTTATAAAGGGGAGTTCCCCTACACAAGCTCTCTCTTGCCTGCTGCCATGTAAGATGTGTCCTTGCTCTTCCTTCACCTTCTGCCATGATTGTGAAGCCTCCCCAGCCATGTGGAACTGTGAGTCCATTAAATCTCTCTCTCTCTCTCTTTTTTAAATAAATTACCCAGTCTCGGGTATGTCTTTATTAGCAGCATGAGAATGAACTAATACACTGGTCTATAGGTGGAATTCTTCCTTCATCCCTTTCATACACACTGCAGTCAAGAGCATGGGCTTAACTCAGGTCCTCTCCATTGATCAGCAAGTGAGCATGCTGCATGCTAGGTCCCACTTTTCCTTTCCTCTCAGGCCCTTCTCATGGCCAAGTGATTGAAGGCATGGACCTTGAGGACAGGTTATCTGGGTAAAAATTTAGGTTCTGCCCTTTTGTTATGTGCCCTTGGATGGGCAAGTCTCTTCATTGAAAAATTGAGACTAACTGTATATTCCTTATAGGAATTTATTATGATGACTTGCATTAATAAATATCAGAGCCCTTAGAACAATACCTGGTCGGGATTAAATGATATCAGTCCTTGCCATTTTTATTATTTGGTTGCTCAGCATTGAAGGAAAAGGAATGGGCTTTGCTTTGAGGACCGGTTATACCTTCCTCCTCTTTCTTCTTATTTCCGGAGGTAGTAGAACTAATAAGTACAGTCCCACATAATGTAAACATCCAGGCAACATTTAAGTCCTTGGGGGACGATTAAGATAACACTCATTACCATCAAGGAGCTTAAAATGTAGCTGCAGAATAAAACAATCAAAACAACTATAATGCAAGGCAGAATCTGACAAATGGTTCAAGAGAAGAATAAATCCAGGGCTGAGAAAGGGATTCTGTCCAGAGGATGGAGAGGGATTGGTAAGGGAGGGCATAAAACTGGGCCATGGAGAATGTGCTGTCTTAAGTCAGTAACAGAATAACATGCAGAGCAGGGGCTTTTGCACAGAAGGAGTGGTGTTCAGAGGTACTCAGGCAGCCAGTGTTGGAGGTGTCTGGGAAACAAGGAAGCCTGGGGAAGGCTCTGTCCTGGGTGATGTGAGGAGAAATGGCTGGAAAGACAGGGTGAGCCAAATTGGGGAGAAATCTTTAAAAGGTGCACGTTTTGGAGGTAACTTCATTGCAAGAGCAGAAACTCACTCAAGCTAGCTTACCTAAATGGAAATTGATTTCAAGATGTCATGGTTTCTCACAAAGCTCATGGAAATGAAGTAAAGCCAGGTCACTCAAAGGATTTAAACTGGAAATCAGAAAGAAGTGCCCACTGGGATATGTCTCATACTCTGTCCCCGCCCATCGCCTTATCTCTCTGCCTTTCTGTGTCTCTGTCCTTCTCAGTCTCCCTCCTCAGTGTCTCTTTCATTCTCTCTCCAGCAGTCAGGGGCCCAAAATGGCAGCCCTAAACCCATGTCCACATGATCCTTGGGATTCATAAACCCACAGATCAACTCCATCTCAGCAGGACTGCTGTGTATGGTTGGGCAGGTTGGACCCTGCATGAGGCTACTGTGCCAAGGAGGTGAATACTGGCTGAAATCCAGTGTAATTCCCTCACTAATATTTCATTGGCTAGAGCATACCACCCAAATTTCAAAGGGAGGTGTGTTCCTACCATGTTCCAGAAGGCGGGAAAACCAGAGTATTTGGTAACAGCTCTAAAGTTTACTACACGGAAAAAAAGAAAAAGCCTTTAAACTGTACGAAGTGGTATTTTCTTTTAATAATTTCTAGCATCAACACATTCTATTTAACTTCTGCATAACATTCCATATCATTCCTTTTAACTACTGTACTGTACATCTCATTGCCATTAAGATACGCTGCATAATATTCCATTGTATGACTGCATTATAGTTGATTTCTGCCTCCATGCTAAGGGACATTTAAGTTTTTTTAATGCAGTTTTTTTAAGTCGTTCTTTCTAGTACAAATAATGAGGCAATACATTTCCATATACATATATATATAATATATGCATATATATAGTGTGTGTGTATGTCTGTGTGTGTGTGCGTGCGTGCGTGTGTTAGGGGAATACATACACATGCATATATACACAGTCATGTGCCTCAAAAAGACATTTTGGTCAATGACAGCCCACATATACGACCGTGGTCCCATAAGACTATGAAATGAAGCTGAAAAATTCCTATTGCCTACAGCTGTCATAGCTGTGGTAACATCCTAGTGCAACGTGTTACCTTTTCTATGTTTAGATAGGTTTAGATATACAAATATTTACCACTGTGTTACAATTATCTACAGTATTCAGTACAGTCACATGCTATACAGGTTTGTAGCTTAGGAGCAATAGGCTGTACCATGTAACCTAGGTATGTAGATTACATGGTAGGCTAGATCATCTAGGTTTGTGTAAGTACATTCTGTGATGTTCAAACAATGACAAAATTGCCTAATGACACATTTCTCAAAATGAATACACATTATTAAGTGATGCATGACTGATTTTTTTCCTTTTATATTTGAAAGTACATCTCTGGGATATATAGAGAATCTAATGATCAGCTCCTATTGTTACACAATCAGCTCCTATTGTGACAAGATTAAAGCTGGACAGGCATCACATTAAAGACTTTTTGTGAACCCGTTAGAGAACTGAAATGAGAGAACAGGTCACAGGACACACAGCCATCTTGAAGAGAAACAGGTCCTTGCAGGGAAACTCCTGACCTGCTTATTTGCTTGCCTGGGGGAGAAGCAAAGAAGCCCCTGGATATCATACACACTGAGAGAAACACGAAACGAGAAATTTTGTTTCCTATTGGCCTAGTATGACAGTGTGAGGCTCCTGGGAGCTGTAGTCATGGGGGGAGGAGACTTCCTCCTCCCTTTTCAGGTTTTCCTCCAGGAACTCCACCAAGCTCTCATAGGAAGTGTTACAGGTGGAGGGTTTTGACTACAAATTGTCCCAGTTCTTGGCATTTTGAACAAAGAACTGGACAAAATGCACAAACAAAGCAATGAAAGAAGAAAGCAACAAAAGCACAGATTTATTGAAATGAAAGTATGCTCCATAGAGTGGGAGTGGGTTCAAGAAAGCAATTCAAGAGCCCTGGTTACAGAATTATCTGGGATTTAAATACCCTCTAGAGGTTTCCCATTGGTTACTTGGTTTACACCCTATGAAAATGAAGGAGCAGTCTTTGATCAGTTTGACTGGTTGTGGAAGGCAACAAATCAGAGGCTAAAGTGAAGTTACAAAGTTACACTTCTATGCAAATGAAGACTAGGCCCACGACCAGTCTGATTGGTTGTGGAAGAGGACCAATCAGAGGTATTTTTTATTTCTCATCCCTGATAGAGAGAGTGGGGGATTGCAAAGGGAGGAGCGCCTGTTCTTTTGTTACTTGGTAATGGAAAGTTGAAGTTTCCCTTTTGATTTAATTCTAGGAAGTCAGTGTGAATCAGCCTTAGATTCCCTGCCTCTAGACCCTATTCTCCCGCCTCAGAAGGATGGAGATAATCCAGACGCATTGGCTGGGAAAGGGGAGTGGCAGCCACTGACAAAGCTCCAAAGAGATCCTTCTTCCTTACAGAAGAAAGAGCTTAATCTTCAGGCAGGAGTATATTGCCAGAGGCCACTCCCTGCAGCCCAAGCATCTCTTTCTCACATAAAGGAGGAAAAGAAACTCAATACAAAATCTTACTCTGCAGAGAGGAGAGTCTTAGGGTAGATTGAAAAATAAAGTATTGGAATTTATGCACTGCTGCATGGAAAAGGAATAAGGGTGGAGGGATTAAAAACTCTACTCTTAACCAGGCGTGGTGGCTCACACCTGTAATCCCGGCACTTTGGGAGGCCGAGGCAGGTGGATCACCTGAGGTCGGGAGTTCAAGACCAGCCTGACCAACATGGAGAAACCCCGTCTCTATTAAAAATACAAAAAAATTAGCCAGGCGCAGCGGCAGGTGCTTGTAATCCCAGCTACTGGGGAGGCTGAGGCAGGAGAATCGCTTGAACCTGGAAAGCAGAGGTTGCAGTGAGCTGAGATGGCGCCACTGCACTCCAGCCTGGGCGACAGAGCGAGACTCTGTCTAAAAACAACAACAATAGCAACAACAAAACTCTACTCTTAGGTGAGGGACAGAAACACTTGTGAAGGCTACATCCCAAGACACAGGCCCATTGTACACTTCCAGAAATGGAGAGTTAATCAGAAAACTACAAAACGCTCCCTATCCTCCATACCTTACCACCATGCTAACAAGCTTCCAGTAAGAATAATAGCAAGTCAATAACATCAAAATACAGATGCGAGAGCTCAAGAGGCAGAACACCAAAGGCAAAAAGAAAATCTTGAAATCAGCTACAGAGGGAAAGAAGCACCTTACCTACAGAGGAACAAGGACAAAAATAATGGCAGATTTCTTGTCAGAAACTACGCAACCAAGAAGACAGTGGAGTAATGCCTTTAACGTGGTGAAAGAGGCCGGGCACAGTGGCTCACGCCTGTAATCCCAGCACTTTGGGAGTCCAAGGTGGATGGATCACCAGAGGTCAGGAGTTTGAGACCAGCCTGGTCAACATGGTGAAACCCCGTCTCTACTAAAAATACAAAATATTAATCTTGGCACAGTGGCAGGTGCCTGTAATCCCAGCTACTCGGGAGGCTGAGGCAGGAGAATCGCTTGAACCTGAAAGGCGGAGGTTGCAGTGAGCTGAGATCATGCCACTGCACTCCAGCCTGGGTGACAGAGCAAGATTCTGTCTCAAAAAAAAAAAAAAAAAAAAAGAAACTATGCAAGAAAGGAGGAAGACAGTGGAGTGATGCCTTTTAAAGTGGTGAAAGAAAATAGTTGAAGAAGGGTCTCTGTGGAGCTCCGTCAGTGGCTGCCACTCCCCTTCCCCAGCCAACACCTCTGGATTATCTCCATCCTTCTGAGGCAGAAGAATAGGGTCTAGAGGCAGGGAACCTAAAGCTGATTCACACTGACTTCCGAGAACTAAATCAAAAGGAAAACTTCAACTTTCCACGCCCAAGTAACAAAGAAAAAGGTTTTTTCCTCAGGCAGAAGGAATATTATTAAGGTAAGAAACTTAGATATACACAAAGAAATGAAGAGCATTAGTATTGAGATAAAAGTAAAATATAACTAAGAAAAATTTTAGTTGCTATAAAAAAATCACTGACTGCAGAAAGTAACAATAGTAGTTATATATTGGTGCTTATATCATATGCAAATGAGAAATACATGACACAGTAAAACAAGACATGGGAAGAAGGAAGTGGGAGTCGGGTATTTTGTTATAAGTTCCTTTCACCATGCATGAAGAGATACGATATTATGATGAAACGTTATTATAATCAGAAATGGACTTAGATTATTTAAAAATGTATATTATAAACCATAAGGAAAACACTAGAAAGGTTAAAAAGCACAAATAGTAAACTAATAGAGAAGATAAAACAGAATCACAAAAATTCTCATTAAAACCAGACGAGGCAAAAAAATAAAAATAAAAACCAACCAGTAAACAAGAAACAAAGAACAAATACAACAAAAAGAAAAGAGCTTGGAAACGTGGTTTTAGTCCAAATATATTACTAATTACTTTTTTAAATTTTATTTTATTTTTTGAGACAGAGTCTGGCTCTGTCACTCAGGCTGGAGTGTAGTGGTGTGATCTCAGCTCACTGAAAACTGCTTCCCAGGTTCAAGCAATCCTCCCGAGTAGCTGGGATTACAGCTCAGCCTCCTGAGTAGCCGGGATTACAGGCGTGCGCCATCACACCTGGCTAATTTTTGTATTTTTAGTAGAGATGGGGTTTCACCATGTTGACCAGGCTGGTCTCGAACTCCTGGCCTCAAGTGATACACCTGCCTCAGCTTCCCAAAGTGCTGGGATTATAGGCATGAGCCACTGTGCCAGGCCATTACTGTAAATGTGAATGATCTAAACACACCAGTTGAAAGACAGACATTGTCGGATTGGATTTTTTAAAAAATCAAGCCTCAACTATATTTTATTTTGTATACAATATACTCACTTTAAATATACTGGAAAGACATGGATACTTTTTTTTTTTTTTAGATGGAGCCTTGCTCTGTCGCCCAGGCTGGAGTGCAGTGGCGCAATCTCGGCTCACTGCAGCCTCCGCCTCCCATGTTCAGGCAATTCTCCCATCTCAGCCTCCCGAGTAGCTGGGATTACAGGGGTGTGCTACCATGCCCAGCTAATTTTTGTATTTTTAGTAGAGAAGGGGTTTCACCATGTTGGCCAGGCTTGTCTCGATCTCCTGACCTCAGCTGATCCACCCATCTTGGCATCTCAAAGTGCTGGGATTATAGGTGTGAGCTGCCACGCCCGCCCCATGTATACGTTTTTTTAAAAAGGGATGAAGAAAAATATACCATGAAAACATCAATGAAAAAAAGCAGGAGTCATCATATTAATGTTGGACAAATCACTACCGATCAATTTTAGACAAAATATAATCAACTAAGTCTAATTGACATTTATAGAACACTTTATTCAACAATAGTAGAATACAAATTTATCTCAAGTACACAAGCAGCATTCATCCCAATAGATCATGTTCTGGGCTAAAAACAAACCTCAAAAAATGTAAAGGAATAGAAATAATACAATGGGCATTCTTGCATCATATCCAAATAGCACTAGAAATTGATAAGAGTTAGTCAGAAACGCCCAATGGTTAGGAATTTAAACACTATACTTTTAAATAGCCCATGGGTCAAAAAAGAGATGTCTTAAGGAAAATTTCAAAGTCTTTTGAAATGAAATAGAATAAATCAGAATTTGTGGGATGCAGAATAAGTAGTCCTTAGAGGGAGATGTATAGCATTGAATACTCATACTCGACAAAGATGAAAAATCACAAAGTTGCTTAAATTTCTACCTTAGGAAACTCATGAGAGAAAAGAAAACCTATTTTGGAGGACAAGGGGAAAGAATTGCTTGAGGCCAGGAGTTCCAGGTAGCCTGGGCAACAAAGCGAAACCCCCAAAAATTAAAAAAAAAAAAATTAGCTGGGTGTGGTGGCATGTGCCCGTAGTCCCAGCTACTAGGGAGGCTGAGGCAGGAGGATCACTTGATCCTGGGAGTCTGAGGCTGCAGTGATCTATGATTGTGCCACTGCACTCCAGCCTGTGGGGGGCAAAGCAAGACCCTGCCAAAAGAAAGAAAGAAAGGAAAGAAAAAGGAGAAAGAAGGAAAGAAAGAAAGAAGAAAGAAAGAAAGAAGAAAGAGAGAAAGAAAAGAAAAAAGAAAGAGAGAGAGGAAAGAAAGAAAGAAAAACAGGAAAGGAAAGGAAGAAAGAGAAAGAAGAAAGAGAAAGAAAAAGAAAGACAGACAGAAAGGAGGGAGGAAGGGAAGGAAGGAAGGAGAAAGGAGAAAGAAAGAGAGAAAGAGAAAGAAAGAAAGAGAAAAGGGAAGAAGGAAGGAAGGAAAGAAAGAAGAAAGAAAAAGAAAGAAAGAGAAAGAAAAGAAAGAAAGAAAAGAAAGGAAGAAAGAAGAAAGAAAGAAAGAAAGAAAGAAAGAAAGAAAGAAAGAAAGAAAGAAAGAAAAGCAAACCTAAAGCAAGCAGCAGGAAGAAGATAAAAATTAGAGCAGACCTCAACCAAATCAAAAACAGGAAAAGAATAGAGAGAATCACAGAAACCAACAGCTGATTCTTTAGAAGCATATCTCCAGAATAAATTCCCAGAAGTGTGTGACGGTTCAAAGAGCTTGTGAATTTTAAATTTGGAAAGACAGCACTGCATAGATCAATTTACATTCCCACCCCAATGTGTGAAAATCTCAGTTTCTGCATATTCTTGTCTGCACTGTACATGATCAATATTTTTATTCTTTGACAGTCTAATACAAATAATAGAAATGGTGCCTTTTCTTGTAAAGTTTTGCCTTCCTCTTCATGTGTTTCTAAGTTAAGTCTATCGTTTTCTGGGAAGTATTTCAAGTCCTTTGCCCACTCATTTTTCTATTGATTAGTTGCTATTTTTCCTTATTGATTCAAAAGTAGTATTTAAATAATTAGTTTAAGGGAACTAACCATTTTCACATACAACAAATTTCCCCTACTTTGTTTTATTTATTTATTTAGAGACAGGGTCTCACTCTTTCATCCAGGCTGGAGTGAGGTGATGTGTTCACACTCACTGCAGCCTCGACTACAAGGGTTCAGGCGATTCTCCCACGTCAGCCTCCTGAGTACCTGGGACCACAGGCATGTGGCACCATGCCTGGTTAATTTTTAAAGGACCACAGGCATGTGCCACCATGCCTGTTTAATTTTTAAAAATTTCTTGGAGAGGTAGTGTTTCACCGTGTTGCCCTGGCTGGTCTCAAACTCCTAGGCTCCAGCGATCCTCCCGCCTCCACCTCCCAAAGTGCTGGGATTACAGGCATAAGCCACTGTACCCAGCCTAATTCCCCCTACTTTGTCCAGTGTATTTTGACTTTGTTCACTGTATTTGCTGCCACCAAGTGTATTGGACGAACCACTCTTTCTCAAACCCCAAAAGCCACAGAAGAGAAAAGTCTCACCTATGCCAAGATTCTTCTAACTCTTTTATTGCTTCATTTTTTACTTTTAAATTTTTTATCTATCCTTTTGATATATAAGGAGTGATGTGTCATTGAATTTCAAGGTTATTTCTGAACATCTGAAAAGCAGTTTGCTGCATTTTTTCTGAAGCCTCTATATTTTTCACACATAATTCATGTTCCTTAAGAAAAATCTGAAAATAGATAAAAAGAATTAAAAACACCCACAATCACATCATTTGGATATACCTTCTATTATTTTATTATATAACATTTCTCAATGAAAAAAATATGTAAATATAACACTTTTTAAAACAAGAAATGGAATTGCAGTACACATCATGTTTTACCATCTGCATTTTTTGATTCACAACATATCGCGATGATCTTTCCAAGGGCATCTTTTTGGTCATGCTTTGGGTTGAAATCGTGATTACGAGGGTTGAGGAAGGTGAAGGAGCAGAGGTGTTTGGATGAATCTTTCATTCTCCGAGTTTGCTGGCAACAGGAAGGAGAACTGAAGGGCGGCAGCTTGAGGACCATCTGGGTTAAGGAGTCATATTTTCCTTGGGATGGAACAGTCCTGCTGTAGACACCAAGGAACGACCGGGAAAGTGAAGGGGAAAATGGGAGGAGGCTGGAGGCAGAGGGGAGGGGTTCTCTTGCCAGGAGAGGAGAGAAAAGGAAGACAGGAGGATGAAGGGATGGATATTAAGAAGCAGAAGGGATGGAATTTAGAGGAGTTCACGCTGCGTGGTTCCAATCTCCCTGAAGCAGATGAGGTCATCGGCTGAGAGTAAGGAGGACTGGAGTGAGTTCGGTGCCTCCAGGAAGCGGGAATGTTGGAGCAGAGGCTCTGGGAACTTCATCAGGGAGCCAAGAAGAGCAGGGGCAAAAGCCAAGTAGGGGAACAGTCGGAGCAGCCACTTGGCTCCGCCAGCCCCGCTCTGGATCCAGGAGCGGAAAAGAGAGGGAGGCTTGAGGCATGGCCAGGGTGGAGGTAGGGGGAGGGGGGATGGATACAGCAGACCCCCTGGCCTGGAGCAAGCACCCTTGGGTGTCCAGAAAGGAGGCCAAATGCAGGGAAGGTTGCCTCTCATCAATACCATGCTCTGGGATGGGTGTGGTGGCTCAGTCACGCCTGTAATCCCAGCATTTTGCGAGGCCGAGGCAGGCAGATCATTTGAGGTCAAGAGTTTGAGACCAACCTGGCCAACATGGTGAAACCCCTTCTCTACTAAAAATGCAAAAATTAGCTGGGCATGGTGGTGCAGGCCTGTAATCCCAGCTACTTGGGAGGCTGAGGCAGGAGAATCGCTTGAACCCAGGAGGCGGAGGTTGCAATGAGCCGAGATCATGCCATTGCACTCCAGCCTGGGTAACAGAGCAAGACACCGTCTTAAAAAAACAAAAAACAAAAAACACCACGCTCTGCCCTCTGCTCAGGTGGTCTTATTTCTGCCTTCCTACTCCAGGGCTCCTATCTGTAGCCTCCCATCCATTTGCCACCCACCTGGCCGCCAGCCTCATCATCCCCTTCTCCTCGAGCTGGGGCCTCCTGATCTTCAGAAACAGACTCCCCCTCATCTCCAGATCCCAGGGAGCAGGAGAAATTCAAGCACTGGCCAGCACTGCATCCTTGAACTCCTCAGCAAGGCACCAAAGTTCTCCATGTATCACTGCCCAAAAATGTCCAGGCAGCCTCCCATCTCCCCGAGGTCCCAACAGCATGACTGTTCAAATCCACAGTGTCTTGAACATCTTGTGCAGAGATGGATCAAGCCATGCTGCTGCCTGAAGGAAGTTTGGAGCAAGTGTCTTAGTCCCTTTGGGCTGCTGTAGCAAAGTGCTATAGGCTGAGTGGCTCAAAAACAGCAGCAATTTATTTCTCATAGCTCTGGAAGCTGGAAGTCCAAGATCAGGATGTCAGCATGGGCGGGGTCCTGGTGAGGCCCCTCTTCTGGGTTGCAGACTTCCAGCTTCTCTCTGTGTCCTCACATGGTAGAAAGACAGCTAGTTAGCTCTCTGGCCTCTTCTTATAAGTGCACTAATCTGGCCGGGCACAGTGGCTCATGCCTGTAATCCCAGCACTTTGGGAGGCCAAGGTGGGTGGATCACCTGAAGTCAGGAGTTTGAGACCAGCTTGGCCAACATGGTGAAACCCTGTCTCTACTCAAAATGCAAAAATTAGCCGGGCGTGGTGGTGGATGCCTGTAGTCCCAGCTACTCGGGAGGCTGAGACAGGAGAATGGCTTAAACCTGGGAGGCGGAGGTTGCCGTGAGCTGAGATTGCGCCACTACACTCCAGCCTGGGCAATACAGTGAGACTTTGTCTCAAAAAAAAAAATTATAACTGCACTAATCCTATTCATGGGGGTTCCACTTTGTGAAAGGCAAATAAATCTTAGGGTCCTTAAATCACTAAGATAAAGGGAAAAGTCAAGCTGGGAACTGCTTCAGGCGAACCTGCCTCCTATTCTATTCAAAGTCACCCCTCTGCTCACTGAGATAAATGCATATCTGATCGCCTCCTTTGAAAGGTGAATCAGAAACTCAAAAGAATGCAACCATTTGTCTCTTATCTACCTATGACCTGGAAGCCCCCACCTCACTTTGAGTTGTCCGGCCTTTCCAGACTGAACCAATGTTCACCTTACATTTGTTGATTGATCTCTCATGTCTTCCTAGAATGTATACAACCAAACTGTGCTCTGACCACCTTGGTCACATGTCGTCAGTGTAAGATTTTCCCTGGGACCTGAAAACTTGAAGGGCTGAGTAACTCCTCCCTTCTCAGGCCCAGTCCCAAGGCGCAAGGCTACTTAGGTCAGCATCGTGCATCAGCAAGATAGCAGAAGCAGGAAGAGAGCCTGCCCGAAGACACGTACCCTGGCCGGAAGTCACGTACCCCTGAAGATCGAGAAAGAGGCCATGTGGGAATAACGTAGCAGTTACGTCAGACTAGGACACTTCTTGTTTACAGGAGACTATAAAACCTTTGCCCTGTCCTCAACTGGGGCTGACGCCATTTTAGGCCTCAGCCCGCCTGCACCCAGGCGCTCATTAAAACAGCACGTTGCTCCACACCGCCTCGTGTTGTCTGTTGGCGCACTCTTGGGGTTCGAATGGATACAAGAACCTTACAGTCAGGACCTCCTAAGGCTGTGTCACTGGCGCACGTTCTCAACCTTGGCAAAGTAAACTTTCTAAATTAACTGAGACCTGTCTCAGATTTTCCGGGTTCACAACTCTTATGACTTAATTACCTTCCAAAGGCCCCACCTCCAAATACCATCACACTGAGATCAGGTTTTCAACACATGAATTTTAGTAGGAGATAGACATTCAGTCCATTACAAAAGAAAACAACAGGGATAATTCATCCAGGCAAATCATTCCAACACAGCGGGGCAGGCACATGACAGAGGCCAGCAAAAGGCATCCCTGGGCCAGGTGTGGCAGCTCACACCTGTAATCCCAGCACTTTAGGAGGCTGAGGCAGGAGGATCCTTTGGGCCTAGGAGTTCGAAACCAGCCTGGGATGGAGCTGCAGCCATCGCTTCTGCAGTCCTATGGCAATACAGGATGGCACAAGATCACTCTCCCAACTTTCACCCTCTGGCTCCTATATTCAAGGAGGCATGGTGGGCCAGGCATGGAGCCTCATGCCTGTAGTCCCAGCACTTTAGGAGCTGAGGTGGGAGGATCCCTTTAGGCCAGAAGTTTGAGACCAGCATGGGCAACATCTGTTTATATATAACATCTCTATATAAAATTAAAAGCTGAGCTGAGGATGGTGGCACATGCCTGTAGTCCCAGCTACTTAGGAGGCTGAGGCAGGAGGATCGTGTGAGCCCAGGAGTTGGAGGCTGCAGTGAGCTGGGATCACACCCCTGCACTCCAGCCTGGGCGATAAAGCAAAACTCTGTCTCCAAAAAATGAAAATAAAAAAAGGACCGCACTAGAGATGAGCTCTAAAGGACAGCAGAAAAGAAAGGGGAAGGGAACTCTAGGCAGATGGAACCCTATGAGCAAAGGTTCCAAGTCAAGAAGAGCCTGCAATGTGGGGTCATTCAAGATCAGAATGGCTTGAAGCTGTGGCAACTGTGGGCCCTGACCCTAGGCATAGGAGGCTCTTTTTTTGAGACGGAGTCTTGCTCTGTTGCCAACCTGGAGTGTAGTGGCGCGATCTCAGCTCACTGCAACGTCCGTCTCCCTGGTTCAAGCGATTCTCCTGCCCCAGCCTACTGAGTAGCTGGGATTATAGGCACGCGGCACCATGCCCAGCTAACTTTTGTATTTTTTTTTTAGTAGAGATGGGGTTTCACCATGTTGGCCAAGATGGTCTCCATCTCCTGATCTCGTGATCTGCCCGTCTCGGCCTCCCAAAGTGCTGGGATTACAGGCGTGAGCCACTGCGCCTGGCCCATAGCAGGCTCTTATGTGCATTGCCGTGGGCTACTGTGGTGTGACCAAGTGTGGGTTCCACCTGGGTGTAGGACACGGGCCCTCCTCCTGGGGCTGCCCAGCCATGCAGGCTTTGAGCCCTCATCGTGAGGCATTTTGCTCTCTATCCTCTGAGCCTATCTCTGCCTGCAGAAACCATCTCCCCTCTGTTCCCAGTGCTGCAATTCCTGCTAAGACCTAGGCAAGGCTTGATGCTGGGTTCTCATTCTCACCGGGGATGCCTGGGCCCTGTGAGTTTCAAGCCAAGTCACTCCTCCACTCTCGCTGGGTGTCTGTCTTCATCCATGACCCCAGGAGGGGGCCTAGAGGGAGGCACAGTGGATGTACCTGCAACCACGGCGTGTCCTCTCCTGCCTTCTCTCTCTTTCCTTTTGTGGTGCTGTTTTATCTGGAACTTTGCTGAAGCGGCAGTTTATTCTAATTCTCTCCAGCAGGACACATTGTATACTGTGGTTCATCATATGCTAATAACATAATTATGTGGTTAGAAGATCAGGTCAGCAGAACATCGGCCAGGATGGGAAATAAAGCCAGGCGTTTTCAGGGGAATGTTCCAAGCATCCCTTTAGCAAGGCCTCTCTGGGCTCCCGGCCCAGGGCACAAGGCTGTGAAACCCTACCACGCAGCGGGAGGATGAGAAGGCAGCTGCCAGGCTGTCCAGTTGAGGTCCCCGACCAGAGACCCCAGGGACCAGTCACCAACCAGCTTGGAAAAACAGGATTAGTCTCTAAATAATGCTTGACAGATTTTTGGAACTTTCTTCTATCCAAAGGGGACCCTGGGGTTTTTAGTCTGGTGTGTAATCTCATAACTACATTGAAGGCAAACAGAAAGTACTAAGATACATGAAAACTTGCTAGTTAGGCCCAAGCACAAGTTCCTTAGTGCTTGGTGAGGCTAGAAACTGGTCTTCTGACCCGGAGAGAAGTTGCTTTTATTCACTCTATGTCTTCTCAAATACTTGCCTGTTACTGCAGCTTCTTCAGAAATGAGGGAGCTGGGAGTCAGGATGGCCGTTCACTCTGGGACAATTGTAGGTCAACTGCAGGAATTTTTTTCCTTTTTTGGAGACAGAGTCTCGCTCTGTCACCCAGGCTGCAGTGCAGTGGCGCGATCTCGGCTCACTGCAACTTCCACCTCCTGGGTTCAAGTGATTATCGTGCCTCAGCCTCCTGAGTAGCTGGGACTATAGGCACGCACCGCCACGACTGGCTTTTTTTTTTTTTTTTTTTTTTTTGTATTTTGAGTAGAGACAGGGTTTTACCATGTTGCCCAGGCTGGTCTCGAATTCCTGACCTCAGACAATCTGCCTCCTTGGCCTCCCAAAGTGCTGGGATTACAGGCGTGAGCCACTACACCCGGCCAGGGGCTCCTTTCTATAGTGCTTTTTTTTTTTTAAAGAGACAGGGTCTTGCTGTGTTGCCCAGGCTGGAGTGCAGTGGTGTGATCATAGCTGCCTGCAGCTTTGACCTCTTGTGCTCAAGCGATCCTCCCGCCCCAGCCTCTTGAGTAGCTGGGACTACAGGCATACACCACTATGCCTGGCTGATTTTTTAAAAAATATTTTTGTAGGCCAGGCCGGGTGGCTCACGGCTGTAATCCCAGCACTTTGGGAGGCCAAGGCTGGCAGATCACTTGAGGTCAGGTGTTCAAGACCAGCCTGGCCAACATGGTGAAAACCCATCTGTACTGAAAATACAAAAATTAGGTAGGTGTGGTGGCGGATGCCTGTAATCCCAGCTACTCAGTTGGCTGAGGCAGGAGAATTGCTTGAGCCCGGGGAGCGGAGGTTGCAGTGAGCCAAGATCCAGCCACTGTACTCCAGCCTGGACGAAAGAGCAAGACTCCATCTCAAAAGAAAAAAAAAGGAGGAGAAAGGAGAAGAGGGATGTCAAGAGGTTAGGAAGCAGATGGTGTGAAACAGACCAGGACTTCAGGCAGCTGAGAAATATTTGTCACACCCTGTGGACATGGCTCTGCTAGCTCTCTTTCTGGTAGGAGAACAGGGTTTTCAAGGTGGAGAGCGTGCGTGAAGGGTTTGTTTATGGAAATCCAAAGGTTCAGTTCATGAAGTTGGCCAGGGGCCCCCTTCTCATCTCTTTCTGGAAACTCTTCCTACTCCCAGGAGCCCCTTCTCTTCCAAGAACCTCCCAGAACCTGGATTTCATTAAATACCAAGGAGGTAAAACACTTTTTAATCATCTGTAAGATTTGAACTCAGGCCCACATCTGTGGTTGTCAAAATGTGGCCCCAGTACCAATGATAGGTGCCTGAGAGTGTGTCAGAAATGCAAAAGCAGACCAAGCGCATTGGCTCACACCCATGATCCCAGCACTTTGGGTAGCCACGGCAGGAAGACTGCTTGAGCCCAGAAGTTCAAGGCTGCAGGGAGCGATGATTGCACCACTGCCCTCCAGCCTAGGTGACAGAGACAGACAATGTCAAAAAAAAAAAAAAATGGTCCAGGCACAGTGGCTTACAAGGCCTATATTCCCAGCGCTTTGGGAGGCCAAGGTGGGAGGATGGCTTGAGCCTAGGAATTTGAGACCTAGGGTTCTCATTTCCTGAGCAATATGGTGAAACTCCATCTCTACAAAAAAATACAAAAATTAGCACATGGTGGCACGTGCCTGTAGTCCCAGCAACTTGGGGGACTGAGGCAGGAGAATCACTTGAGCCTGGGAGATCGAGGCTGCAGGGAGCTGTGATTGTGCCACTGGACTCCAGCCTGGGTGACAAAGTGAGACCCTGTCAAAAGAAAGAAAGAGGAAGAAAGAAAGAAAGAAAGAAAGAAAGAAGAAAGAGGAAAGAGAGAAAAGCGAAGAAAGAAGAAAGAAAAGGAAGGAAGGTAGGAAGAAAGGAAAAGAAGTGCAAAAATAGCTAAATTCTAATTCAGCAGCAAGGATTGCAAAGCGTCTCTCCTCCCTCAGCAGATACCCTTCGGCTGCCAATGTCCAGGTAAGATGTCTTTGTCCTATAAAGCTGGGGCAAAATTAATATTTACCCAGCACCTCACAAGGGCCAGGCATGGAGGTAAACACCTCTCTTTCACCAATGAAGAAACTCAAGTTCAGAGAAGTTCAGTAACTTGCCCAAGTCTGCATGGCTAGGAGGCTGCACAGTCAGCATTTGTTTTTGTTTTTTTGAGACAGAGTCTCACACTGTCGCCCAGGCTGGAGTGCAGTGGTGTGATCTTGGCTCACTGCAACCTCCACCTCCTGGACTCAAGTGATTCTCCTGCCTTAGTCTCCCAAGTAGCTAGGACCACAGGTGTGCGCCACCAGGCCTGGCTATTTTTTGTATTTTTAGTAGAGGCAGGGTTTCACCATGTTGGCCAGGCTGGTCTCGAACTCCTGATCTCAAATCATCCACCCGCCTCATCCTCCCAAAGTCCTGGGATTACAGGTGTGAGCCACCACTCCCGGTCACACAGTGAGCATTTGAACCCAGATCTGGTATTCGTTAAAGCCCTAAGCTCCTGTTGAGTAGAAAACAGTTTTCAAACTTTTTGGTCTCAGGGAAAGTTCCCTCTGCACTCTTAAAAATTATTGAGCACCTCAAAAATCTTTTGTTTATGTGTGCTATATCTAGGGATATTTACTGTGTGAGAACGTAAGGCTGATAAATTCTTAAAATATTAATTCATTTTAAACAATAAGGAACCTATTGCGTGTTTAACATAAATAACACGCTTTAAGAAAGCAGATCTTTCCCAAACAAAAAAGCGTAGTGAGAAGAATGGCATTGTTTTTGTTGTTGTTGTTGTTGTTTATTTGTTTTGAGACAGAGGTTTGCTCTCCTTGCCCAGCCTAGAGTGCAATGGTGCGATCTCGGCTCACCACAATCTCCACCTTGCAGGTTCAAGCAATTCTCCTGCCTCAGCCTCCCGAGTAGCTGGAATTACAGGCATGCACCACCACACCCAGCTAATTTTGTATTTTTTAGTAGAGATGTTTCTCCATGTTGGTCAGGCTGGTCTCAAACTCCCTCACGTGATCTGCCCACCTCAGCCTCCCAAAGTGCTGGGATTACAGGTGTGAGCCACCACGCCCGGCCGGCATTGTTTTATATTTTTGCAAAGCTCTTCAATATCTGGCTGAAGACAGCTAGGTTCTCAAACCTGCCTTTAATCTGTTGCAATACCCCACGTCATGTAGCCTCTGGGAAACACTGTATGCTTGTGAATGAAATGAATGTGAATGAAAAGGCCAATAGCATGTTAGGATTGTTGTAAAGTAGTTTTGTCCCTGCAGACCCCCCAAAAGAGTCTTGAAGAGCCCAGAGATCCCCATACCACACTTAAAGTTTTTTTTAATTAAAAATTTTTAAAAATTTGTATGTGTATATAGTATATATCTATGGCATACATGAGGTACTTTGATACAGGCCTGGAACATGTAATAATCACATCAGGGTAAATGAGGTATCCATCACCTCAAGCGTCTATCATTTTTTTGTGTCACAAATGTTCCGGCTGGGCACGGTGGCTCACGCCTGTAATCCCAGCTCTTTGGGAGGCTGAGGCGGGCGGATCACAAGGTCAGGAGATCAAAACCATCCTGGATAACACGGCGAAACCCCATCTCCACTAAAAAACACAAAAAAATTAGCCGGGCGTGGTGGCGGGCGCCTGTAGTCCCAGCTACATCGGAGGCTGAGGTAGGAGAATGGCGTGAACCCAGGAGGCGGAGCTTGCAGTGAGCCGAGATCGCGCCACTGCACTCCAGCCTGGATGACAGAGCGAGACTCCGTCTCAAAATAAATAAATAAAATAAAAAAACAAATGTTCCAATTATACTCTTTTAGTTAGTTTAAAATGTACCATAAGTTCTTGTTCACCGCAGTCACCCTGCTGTGCTATCGAATAGTAGATCTTATTCATTCTATCTAACTATATGTTTGTACCCATTAATCATCACCACGTACCCCCTCCCTACTACCCTCTTCCCAGCCCCTGGTAATCATCATTCTATTCTCTATCTCCATGAGTTCAGTTGCTTTGATTTTTATCTCCATGAGTTCAGTTTCTTTGATTTTTAGATCACATAAATCAGTGAGAACATGAGAACTTAGACCCAGACTACACTTAGAAAACTGCTGGAATACAGTAAAACTGAGGAATCATCTTAATTTGAGGGCTTGTAGGTGCTCTTTTTTTCTTTCTTTCCTTTTTTTTTTTTTTTTTTTTTTGAGATGGAGTTTCACTCTGTCACTCAGGCTGGAGTGCAGTGGTGTGATCTCAGCTCACTGCAACCTCCGCCTCCTGGTTTCAAGTGATTCTCCTGCCTCAGCCTCCTTAGTAGCTGGGATTACAGGCGTATACCGCCGTGCCCGGCTAATTTTTGTATTTTTAGTACTGATGGGGTTTCGCCATGTTGGCCAGGCTGTTCTCGAACTCCTGACTTCAGGTGATCCACCCGCCTCGGCCTCCCAAAGTGCTGGGATTACAGGCGTGAACCACCATGCCTGGTCTTTTTAACATTTCTTTAGAGATAGAGTCTCACTGTTGCCCAAACTGGAGTGCAGTGGTGTGATCTTAGCTCGCTGCAGCCTCGAACTTCCAGGCTCAAGCGATCCTCACGCCCCAGCCTCTCATGTAGTGGGGACCACAGGCTTGCACTACCACACCCAGCTAAGTTTTAAAATTTTTTGTATAGACACGGTCTTACGATGTTGTCCTGGCTGGTCCCAAATGCCTGGACCCAAGCTATCCTCCCACATTGGCCTCGCAAAGCTCTAGGATCACAGGCATGAGCCATCATGCCTGGCATCATTTTGATAATCCATCTTTCATAAACAAATACTGGGTTTATGTCTCTAGTCTGGCTTCTGTCAAGTTTTCATGTGGAGACTGAGCAATGGGCTGGAGAAAAGGGGGAAAAAAGGGAATGTGGGAACCAGCATGTGCTGCTGGAATTCTGAACTATGTCCCTTGGTCACCACGAAGGAAGAGTGGGTCGCTGGCTGCTTGTTTGGGATGTTATCTGAAGAGCAGGATGCCCAGCCGAGCCCTGCCCCCCATGATCTGCCCAGGGATAACACTCATCTCTGGCCTCAAGTCCCCGACATGTGTAACAGTGTGGTAGACATTCAACCCAGCAATGCTATTATTGGGTATATATTCAAAGGAATAGAAATCATTCTACCATAGGCCAGGCGCAGTGGCTCATGCCTTTAGGCTCAGCTCTTTGAGAGGCCGAAGCAGGAGGATCACCTGAGGTCAGGAGTTTGAGACGGGCGGATGACCTGAGGTCAGGAGTTCAAGAGCAGCCTGGCCAACATGGTGAAACTCCATCTTAACTAAAAATATGAAAATTAGCTGGATATGGTGGCACGTGCCTGTAATCTCAGCTACTCAGTTGTCTGAGGCATGAGTATCACTTGAACCCGAGAGGCAGAGATCACAGTGATCTGAGATCGTGCCACTGCACTCCAGCCTGGTTGACAGATCGAGACTCTATCTCAAAAATCAATCAATCCATCCATCGTTTACCATGCACATAAATAAATAAATCATTCAACCATGTACATTCTACCATAGTGCTGAATTGGACATGTATGTGCATGCAAAGACACATGGACGTATATGTTCATTTCAGCACTATTCACAATAGCAAAGATACGGAATCAACCTAAATGCCCATCAACGGTAGACTGGATAAAGAAAATAGGGTACATATACACCATGGAATACTATGCAGCTATAAAAAAGTGAGATCATGGCCTTTGCAGCAGCATGGATGTAACTGGAGGCCATTATCCTTAGCCGATTGACACAGGAACAGAAAACCAAATACCACATGTTCTCACTTGCAAGTGGGAGCTAAACATTGAGTGTACAAGGACACAAAGAGGGTAACAACAGACACTGGGCCCAGTTTGAGGGCGAGGATTGGAAAACTATCTATGAGTATTATACTGATTACCCAGGTGACAAAATAGTCTGCACACCAAACCCTTGTGTTATGCAATATTCCCATGTAACAAACCTACGTATGTGCCCCTGAACCTAAAAAAAGTTGAAAATTAAAATTTTTAAAAAGAATGTGTGATGGAATTGTACAGTCTCTAGGATATTCAAGCTGGGTCGGACCCACAATGGGGAACCTGAGGCCCACAGACTGCAGCCTACGCAAGCCCCCCAGTACTGTTCCTGGGAGAGCTGAGATGGAATCCATGTTCTTCCTCTACCTGCTGACACCCCTGGACTTGATTTTCCAGCTCGGCAGATCCTCCAGGAAACACTGGTTATCCAGAGGAAACTCTGAGTCAGGGGAGAGGACTTTTAATTTAACTTTGTTTTACTGAGATGTGGTCTTGCTCTGTCACCCAGGCTGGAGTGCAGTGGCGTGATCATAGCTCACTGTAGCTTTGAATTTCTCTGTTCAAGTGATCCCTCCCACCTCTGCCTCCCAAGTTCTTGGGACTACAGGCTTGCACCACCATATCCAGCTCATTTCAATTTTTTTTGGTCAAGACAGGGTCTTGCTATGTTGTCCAGTCTGGTCTCGAATTCCTGGCCTCATATGATCCTCCTGCTTCAGCCTCCCAAAGTGCGGGGATTACAGGTGTGAGCCTCCATGCCTGGCCAGAGGAGAGGGACTTACTAGTCGGGGCTATAGTCAATATGTTACAAATCAAGGTTATGTGCTGCTTAGGTGCCATTAAAAAAACAAATTGTCATGGAGATTGTGGGAACAAAAGGTCACTTCTACACCCAACCACGTCCTGCACATTCCAGGGACTGTGGCAATCATGCCACATGTTGTCAGAGAGCAACCTTCAGGCCACCAAATCGTGGGGGTCTTGGCTCTGGCACTCTGTCCTCCCTGCACTCACTGGGCCCCATGACCACAGGTAGCCCGGGGTTTTTTCCTTCTTTCCTTCTGCTAAGCATGTGCAACATTCCTTCTGCCAGGGGCTATGCTTATGGCTGGGAACACAGAGCAGGGCCATTCACAGTCCTTGCCCTTGAAAAGCCCCTTCTATCAATGCAGAGAGGAAAGTAGGGGACCATGTCGTAGGGTGTGAGCAATATTTCTCAGGGATAAGGTAGCATAAGGAGGAAACAGACAAAGACAACACTTAAGCAGCCATGGGAACTGGGAGGGGAACCCTGAAGTCTCAGATGTGAAGCCAAGGGTGTGAGGGAGGGGGTGGCTTGTGGGGTTTGTCCTAGTCACTCTAGGGCTTCTGGAGGTAGCTTGCCCCAGGTAGGATTCTACCACCTCCAGCAGAAGAATTCTGTGTGGCTTCCTTGGATTTTGAGCAGCCACAGAGGTTTATCTGTCCTGCTCTCTTGTTCCTGGCTAGGCACGGATCTTCCTAGAACTTGATGGGGCTGATGGTGAGCCCAGTTCCAGGCAAGAGGAAAGAAGAGAGACAAGCCAGAGAGGGCGGGCAGGCAGGACCCTAGAGGAGAAAACTGAGCTGGGCTTGGCAATGATCACCTGTGTAATTAGCACCACCGGCCTCATTGTTGCGTCTAAGCAGGGTCCCCTGCTCTCTGGGGTCCTGAATCTAGGCCTCCCTTGGGGAGTTCAGAGCCAGGGCGGGATGGCGGATCCCTGCCTGGGCACAACATCCCACGGTTCTGCTTTCTCTCCACCAAGATATCTTCCCTCCCTTCAGGCAGGATGGGCGATCTCGGCAATCAGGCTTGGGATTGAGTCCTCTCTGTCACACAGATTTTTGTTTAGTTGCTTTTATTTTTATTTTTTAGACAGAGTCTCGCTCTGTTGCTCAGGCTGGAGTGCAGTGGCATGATCTCAGCTCGCTGCAACCTCTGCCTTCCAGGTTCAAGTGACTCTCGTGCCTCAGCCTCCAGAGTAGCTGGGATTACAGGTGTGTGCCACCAAGCCCAGCTAATTTTTGTATTTTTAGTAGAGACGTGGTTTCACCATGTTGGCCAGGCTGGTCTTGAACCCCTGACCTCAGGTCACCTATCTCGGCCTCCTAAAGTGCTGTGATTATAGGTGTGAGCCACCGCGCTCGGCCTATTTAGTTGCTTTTAATTGTCAGCGTCTTCATCTCTGGAATATTTTGATTTAAAAAATCTTATGAAGCTGTAAATTAAGCTTGCCTATGTTTACACTGTTTTGAAAATCCTCCTGGTGTTGAGATGATCACAGATTAAATGTGTTTAGAGGCTGGATACAGCCGCTCATGCCTGTAATCCCAGCACTTTGGGAGGCCGAGGTGGGAGGATTACTTGAGGCCAGGAGTTTCAGATCAGCCTGGGCAACAGAGTGAGACCCTGTGCCTACAAAAAATTTAAAAATTAGCCAAGGGCAGTGGCACACGCCTGTGGTCCCAGCTAGTCATGAGGCTGAGGCTGGAAGATCGCTTGAGCCCAGGAGTTTGAGGTTGCTCTGAGCTATGATCGCACCACTGCACTGCAGCCTTGGTGACAGAGCCAGACCCTGTCTCTTAAGAAAAATTATGAAAGTGTAAGACAAGCATGCTTAAATTTATCCTGTTTTGAAAACCCTCCCTGTGTTAAGATGATCACAGCTTAAAAATGTTTAGAGAATAGGATCACAAGGTCAGGAGATCGAGACCATCCTGGCTAACATGGTGAAACCCCGTCTCTACTAAAAATACAAAAAATTAGCTGGGTGTGGTGGTGGGCGCCTGTAGCCCCAGCCACTCGGGAGGCTGAGGCAGGAGAATGGTGTGGACCCCGGAGGCGGAGCTTGCAGTGAGCCGAGATCGCACCACCGTACTCCAGCCTGGGTGACAGAGCGAGACTCCGTCTCAAAAAAAAAAAAAAAAAGTTTAGAGAATAAATGGCCCAAAATCCCTGCTATCACTTTACATCAATGCTGAAATTCAAGAACAGGTTGAGGCTGCCACTGGGAGTGTTGAACCCACTTCAGCTGGTCTAGAGGCCATCAGCAGAGCTGAAGGCCAATTTGGAGATTGCATTCTTCACCTTTGTCCTCTCCATTTCAGAGACAAAAAATCTAAAGTCCAAAGAGGTTAAGTGAGAGGTCCAAGATCTGATGGAAAAATCCTGGCAGAACTTGAAGTGGATATGGGGGGTGGCTGCTGATGACAGAGAGGTCTCTCAGCAGTACCAGGGGTCCTTTTGCCCTTTGACCTCTCCACATATTTGCAAGGACTGAAAGGGGACCTGCCGGCCAGATGCTCTAGGGCAGGGGTATCCAATCTTTTGGCTTCCCTGGGCCGCATTGGAAGAAGAATGATCTGGAGCCACACATAAAATACACTAACACTAATGACAGCTGATGAGCTAAAAAAAAAAATTCCAAAAAAGTTTCATAATGTTTTGTGTGTGTGTGTGTGTGTGTTTTGTTTTTGTTTGTTTGTTTAATTTTTTTTTTGAGATGGAGTTTTGCTCTTGTTGCCCAGGCTAGAGTGCAATGGTACAATCTCAACTCACTGCAACCTCCACCTCCTGAGTTCAAGCGATTCTTCTGCCTCAGCCTCCCAAGTAGCTAGGACTATAGGCATGCACCACCACACCCAGCTAATTTTGTATTTTTACTAGAAACAGGGTTTCACCATGTTGGTCAGGTTGGTCTCGAACTCCTGACCTCAGGTGATCCACCGGCCTCGGCCTCCCAAAGTGCTGGGAGTACAGGCGTGAGACACCACGCCCGACCTCATAATGTTTTAAGAAGTTTATGAATTTGTGTTGGGCTGCATTCAAAGCCATCCTGGGCTGCGTGTTTACCACAAGCTTCAGGTTGGACAAGCTTGCTCTAGGACTTCAGGGTGGCTCTGATTCTAGATGGAGGTAGCTCCGGCTTGAGGACTCAGGCCACTAGCCTTCAATGTCTGTGCCTGACTTCTGTGAAAGAAAAATCTTAGGCACTGTGATGGTTAATGCTGAGTGTCAACTTGATTGGATTGAGGGATACAAAGTATTGATCCTGGGTGTGTCTGTGAGGGTGTTGCCAAAGGAGATTAACACTTGAGTCAGTGGACTGGGGAAGGCAAATCCACCCTTAATCTGGTTGGCACAATCTAATCAGCTTCCAGTGAATATAAAGCGGGCAGAAAAACGTGAAAAAGGAGACGGGCCTAGCCTCCCAGCTTACGTCTTTCTCCTGTGCTGGATGCTTCCTGCTCTCGAACATCGCACTCCAAGTTCTTCAGTTTTGGGACTCGGACTGGCTCTCCTTGCTCCTCAGCTTGCAGATGGCCCATTGTGGGACCTTGTGATCATGTAAGTTAATACTTAATAAACTCTTATATATATCTTATTAATTCTGTCCCTCTAAGAGAACTCTAATACAGGCACAATACGATTTTGAAGCATTTATTTGAGTAAGAAGCAATTTGGGGATTGGGAAACGCCAAATTGAAAGAGATCACATGTTGCCACGACCAGTCTTGAAAGGCAAATATGTGTAAGATATATGCAGAAGCAAAATAAATAAATTATTTGATGGGTTGCGATGATATTAGTTGTCTTATTTAGTCTATCTTCTTGGAAAGTTCCTAGTTATACCATTATGAGTTTGTTGGCTACTTCTGATTCATTGAACTTAAGTTTTACTTTTCTTTAATATAGGCATTGATAAGAAATAGCTCAAGTTAAGGGGCTGAGTGTGGTGGTTCATGCCTGTAATTCCAGCACTTTGGGAGGCTGGGGTGGGAAGATTGCTTGAGGCCAGGAATTTGAGGCCAGCCTGGGCAACAGCTAGACTTCGTCTCTACTTTAAATCAAAAAAATTAGCCAGATGTAGTGGTGCATGCCTGTAGTCCCAACTACTTGGGAGGCTGAGGTGGGAGGATCACTTGAGCCCAGGAGTTCTAGGCTGTATTGAGCTATGATTGCACCACTGCCCTCCAGCCTGGGTAACAGAGAGAGACCCTGTAGAAAAAAAAAAAAAAGAAAACAAAAAACAAACAAACAAAGAGAAATAGCTCAATTTGAGTTTTGCTCATGTTTGCAAATCAAGCAAGGTGGAGGTCACTGATGAGGCCTAACTGGTATCTGCCCAGGGATTCTTCAGATCTGTTCTCCTTCTTCATTTATTTTAACTGTTCTTACTAAAATGAGAATGTCATCATTCCAAAGCGCATGAAGTGTGAAGAACCACAGCTGCCATTCATTGATCCCCCACTGTGTCCCAGCCACACTATCTACTGTCCCTAAATGCTTGACACACGTTGTCACAATGGACTCTTACAACCCCACTTCACAGCTTTGAAAACTGAGGCATGAACTGGCCGCAAGACACGCTGAAGCTCCCACATCTACTTAAGGGATGGAGCAGGAGTTTGGGGCCATGTTTATCTGACCCTAAAGCCCTGCTTTTTTTTTTTTTTTTTTTTTTGGAGATGGAGTTTCGCTCTTGTTGCCCAGGATGGAGTTGCAATGGCGCCATCTGGGCTCACTGCAACCTCTGCCTCCCGGGTTCAAGCAATTCTCCTGCCTCAGCCTCCTGAGTAGCTGGGATTACAGGTGCCTGCCAGCATGCCCGGCTAATTTTTTGTATTTTTAGTAGAGACAGGGTTTTACCATGTTGGCCAAGCTGGTCTCAAACTCCTGACTTCAGGTGATCTACCCGCCTCAGCCTCCCAAAGTGCTGGGATTACAGGTGTGAGCCACCACACCCAACCAAAGCCCTGCTTTTAACAGCTGTGATAGAAGATGTCATCAAGTGAAGTTGACTCCTGATCAGAATCTCTGGGAGGTCCAGGACTTCCCCATCTGCCGTTGAGACTTCGGGAGACTTCGAGACCATTTAAGACTTCTTTTTAAAATTTTTGATTATTTAATATTTATGTATTTTAAATTTCCGTAGGTTTTTGGGGAACAGGTGGTGTTTGGTTACATGAGTAAGTTCTTTAGGAGTGATTTGTGAGATTTTGGTGCACCCATCATCTGAGCTCAAAAGAAGATATACAAATGGCTAAGAAACGTATGAAAAAAATGCTCAGCGTCACTAATGATCAGGGAAATGCAAATCAAAACCGCAATGCCATACCACCTGACTCCCGCAAGAATGGCCATAATCAAAAAATAATAGATGTTGGCATGGATGTGATGAAAAAGGAACATTCCTACATTGCTGGTGGGAATGTAAACTAGTACAACCACTATTGAAAACAGTGTGGAGATTCCTTAAATAACTGGAAGTAGAACTATCATTTGACCCAGCAATCCCACTACTGGGTATTATATCCAGAGGAAAAGAAATCATTACACAAAAAAAATACTTGCACACGCATGTTTATAGCAGCACAATTCGCAATTGCAAAACTGTTAAACCAGCCCAAATGCCCATCAATCAATGAGTGAATAAGGAAACTACAATTTATATGTATGAAGGAATACTACTCAGCCATAAAGAGGAATGAATTAATAGCATTCACAGCAATCTCTGGATGGGATTAGAGACCATTATTCTCAGTGAAGTAACTCAGGAATGGAAAACCAAACATCGTATGTTCTCACTCATAAGTGGGAGCTAAGCTACGAGGATGCAAAGGCATAAGAATGATACAATGGACTTGGGGACTTGGGGGGAAAGCATGGGAAGGGGGTGAGGGATTAAAGACTACAAATTGGATTCAGTGACACCGTTTAAGACTTTCATACCATAGTAGCCTTGTGAGTGAAGGTTCTCCCAAAAGCAGACACCAAAACAGGATTAGACATGCAGGGGGTTTACTGGGGGAAACACCTGTGAGGGAAAGTGGGGAGGAAGCCAGAGAAGGCTGGAAAAGGCTTAGGCTATAATGCAAGTCTGACCCCTATGAAGGAGAGAGGGAGGGAAGAAAGGAAAGAAGAAAGCTCTTAGGCTGCAGTTCAGAGCTAAGACCAGTTGGGCAAAGTTACAGATAGTCCTTGAGCCAAAGTCATCCATGACAGGAGTCCCATATCTCGCAGAAACAGGCCCCTCTTCGTGTCCCCAGACTGCACAGTGAGCCGAGAAGCAGAGCATCAGTGCAAATGGAGTGATGGATCTCCAAGTGCACCAGCTGCGGCCACGGTAGGAGACCTAGGTGGTGCATTTTCATAGCTGCCACATAGTCCCCCACAAGGACAATGCGTTAATTGGTCAGAACTAAAGACCTCTGAGTTTGATTCACAGGGATGTCAGAGCAATTGAGCTGGTGCTCATGGGCAGGCATAAGTGATACCACTGGGCCGGGTGCAGTGGCTCACACTTGTAATCCCAGCACTTTGGGAGGCCAAGGCAGGTGGATCACTTGAGGTCAGGAGTTCAAGACCAGCCTGGGCATGATGGCAAAACCCTGTCTACAAAAAAATACAAAAACTAGCCGGGCATGGTGGCTCACACCTGTAGTCCCAGCTACTTAGGAGGCTGAGGTAGGAGGATTGCTTGAGCCCAAGAGATGGAGACTGCAGTGATCCTTGTTTGTGCCACCGCACTCCAGTCTGGGTGACATACAGAGCAAACCCCTGTTGCAAATTTTAAAAAGAAAAAAATTGATAGCACTAAGGAAACTCTGGAAGCTGTGTTTCTTTGCTTTCAAGCTTCAAGCCGTTCCCTACTCTCTGAAGCTGCTTGGAGGAGGAGAAAAGTCCTGGAAAGATCGTTGTGACCTGTCATGCTGCAATAGGCAGGTGAGGAGGAGAGGTGGATGCTGGCAACCAGAAGTCACACAGTAAGATCAGACAGAAGAGGCTAGAACCATATCCAGGAGTCAAGAACAGGAGAAGGTAGGAAGGAAGTCTAGGAATATAAGCTGAGCCAGTTTCCAGAGAGCTGGGATTAAATGGCCTGGAATTGGTTGTTGGAACTGAAAGTCACATAGTAACAGAGCTGAAGCCCTAGGACAAAGCAAGAGTGAGAGACAAAGCTGGGCTTATCAGAGCGAGACACCAGGACCTCCAAGATGGGCCAGTGAACGCTGTTCGACCATGTACACTAGCGCGGAACTGTAGTGGAAGGCCTAAAATTAAAGCCCGATATCATGTTCTGCCCTGATGTCTGGTGAAACCAGGAGGGCCTCAGGTGGTGTAATTGCAAGTTCACCTCCCTCTTTTGCTTCTAAAAAGGTCCCCTAGCCAAACAACTGTTCTTATCAAAAGGACCAGGCACAGTTCCTGCTTACCCTTGAGTAGCAGGCTTCAGTTCCCTGCCAGCTCATGGAATTATTTCAAGTAGCCAATCACATCTTCCTGTGGGAATGCAGGCCACCCCATCCTCTGGATACTACAAAGCCACCTTCCACACTCCCTGCTTCTTCACTTTGCTCTCCAGTGCAGTCCTCATGTGGTCCTGTGTGGCATGCAATGTCCCCTGTCAGTATATGTGATAAATTAACTGCCGTCAATCTTATCTACCCAGTGTTGGGTGTCGTGTAAAATTGGCCAGCCTCATAACCCTAGGGCAGGAATCCCTTCTTCACAAATGGGATGAATAAGGGGCAGTTCTTGCAGGAACAGACCAGACCCTAGAGGATTCCAACTGGAAAGACAAGACATAAAAGATCACAAGTGTCTAGTGACATGCATGGACCAGACAAGAAATATCAACCATTCATTCATTCATTCAACAAATACGAATTGAGCCTTCACTATGTGCCAAGCACTGCTCTAGGCCCTGGAAACACCACCGTGAAGAAAACAGATGAAATGCCTGCCTCCACAGAACTTATATTCTGTGGTCAGGCTGGGGAAGCTGACAATAGAGGTTATGAAGAAAAATAAGTAGGGTACCAGAGATAAGGAGAGCTAGGGGTTGCTATCTTGTTTACAGAAGATAGTCATCAAGTTCTTTAACATGAAGATATTTGAACATGGGCTGTAACACAGCTGTGGCCCCAGGGCAAAGCAGAAGTGAGAGCCAAAGCCAGGCTTAGTAGAGAGAGACACCAGGACTTCCAAGATGGGTCAGTGAACCCTGTTTAACCATATACACTAGAGAAGAACTGTGGTGGGAGGCCTAAAATTAAGACTCAATATTATGTGCTGCCCTGAATGTGAGAGCGCAAGCACATGAAAATCTGAGGAAAAAGCATTTGCAACAGAAGGAATAGCCAAGGCTAAGGCAAGGAGATAGCAGCAGGAGAGGATGGAGAGCTTACTGTGCACCAGGAGCTTCTAAAAAGGGATAACTTGAGTTAGACGTAAAAGATCAAAAAGTATAATGACCAATCAACAATGATCAATCAATAAATATAATGATCAATCAATGAGTATATATGCACAGATTAGCAAATAATTATCAATCAAATACTTGTGTGACCACCACTCAGGTCGATAAATAGCAGGTTTTGACCAAAGGAAGCTTGTGAAATTCTATGTTGGCCTCTTCCATTGGCCTCTATGCATGGTGCCCCGGAGCCCAGACACCCGCAGAGAGGGCCTGGTAATGCCCTAGACCCCAAACCTGGAGTCTGAGAACTGGTTGGCATACTCCCACTCTTACCCATATTTTATAAGACTTGGATATTAACAACTTGTATTAGCTACAGACCTGGTTCATCCAGTGACAGGACAAATCAAAGCCCATCTTAGGGGTACTGGGGTTGGCCTCAGTGTTCCCACCTACTTCTGTCGAGAACCAAACTCCTCCTTCCCACCTCTAGCAGTGTGGGGTCACCACTACTCCATGAAGGAGCTTACAGTCTCCTTCCCTTTTTCCAAGAGCAGGACAGTTTGCTTAAAGTCATGAAAGCAAGAACAAAAAAATACTCTGAGCCTCCGGCAAACTGTGGCGTTCTTTAGAGCAATCCTCTCCCCTCGTTATCCAATCATTTAACAATTGTTGAGGTTTTCCACTGGGCAATTCACTGTGCCGGGTGCTAGCCAGACAGAAACAAAAAGACAGACATGAAGTGTGGGTCCTCAATACGGGAGGGGGACTCTTATATCCAGCCCTACAAGACTTCTTGGACTCTGGTTATAGCTCTTCTGGAGTCGTAGGCTTGACTGCGTTTATTTAAATGCCCAGATCAACCATTGGGAGCTACAACCATGGCCCCCAAGCTGCAATGGAAGAACACAGGCTTAGCTATTCCTCCAACCAAAGCAGACATCCTACTGTATCTGCATGACCATGACACACATACGTGCACACACAAACACACACACACTACTTTCCCTACACAGGATTTCTGCCTTCAAGACCAGCTCCATTCCTTCCCTCTTACTTTAGTATTTTTGGTGTTTCATCTTTATAGATAATGCATAAAAGTGTATATGTATCTACTGAAGTATTTATAGGTGAAATGATGTAAAACCTGCAATTGGCTTCAAAATGTCCCATGCTTTCCAAAACTGGAAGGCATGCATAAATGAAACAAAAATAGCAAAATGTGAATAATTGTTGCAGCTGGGTTTATTATATTATGGTTTTTACTTTTGGGAATGGTTGAAAATTTCCAAGATGAAAAATTAAATAAAAATCAATCAATAAGTATAATGTACAGATCAGCAAATAATGAGGCAAATACCTGTGTGACCACCACCGAGGTCAATAAATAGTTGCCAGTCCCCAAATATGTCTTTTTGTGCTCTTGTCAAACCAGACATAATCAGTAGCCTAGTTTTTTTCTTTCCAATTTTTTTATTGTGTTAAAATTTATGTAGCATGAAATTTACCATTTTAACCATTTTTAAGTGTACATTTTTAAGTGTACAGTCCTGTGGCATTAAGTACATTCATATTGTGCCACTATCATCACCACCCACCACCAGAATTTTTTCATCTTGCCAATTGAAACCATATACCCATTAAACAATAAATCTTCATTTCCCTCCCCTGTGAATTAGGGTTCTCTGGAGGGACAGGACTAATAGGATAGATGTATATATAAATGGGAGTTTATTAAGGAATATTGACTTACACGATCACAAGGTGAAGTCCCACAGTAGGCCATCTGCAAGCTGAGGAACAAGGAAGTCAGTCCGAGTCCCAAAAGCTAAAAAGTAGGGAAGCCAACAGTGCCGCTTTCAGTCTGTGGCTGAAGGTCCGAGAGCCACAGGCAAACCACTGGTATAAGTCCAAGAGTCCAAAAGCTGAAGAACTTGTAGTCCAATGTTCGAGTGCAGGAAGCATCCAGCATGGGAGAAAGGTGGAGGCCAAAAGACTCAGCCAGTCTAGTCCTTCTGAGAGGTGACAGCGTGCTGGCAGTCCTCAGCCCCCGCTCGCTCTCGGGGCCTCCTCTGCCTGGGCTCCCACTTTGGCTGCACTTGAGGAGCCCTTCAGCCCACCGCTGCATTGTGGGAGCGCCGTTCTGGGCTGGCCAAGGCCAGAGCTTGGCTCCCTCAGCTTGCAGGGAGGCGTGGAGGGAGAGGCGCCAGCAGGAACCGGGGCTGCGCGCCGCGCTTGCGGGCCAGCTGGAGTTCAGGGTGGGCGTGGGCTTGGCGGGCCCACATTGAGAGCAGCCGGCCGGCCCTGCCGGCCCAGGGCAATGAGGGGCTTAGCACCCGGGCCAGCGGCTGCGGAGGGTGTACTGGGTCCCCCAGCAGTGCCAGCCCACCGGCGCTGCGCTCAATTTCTCACCGGGCCTTAGCTGCCTTCCCGTGAGGCAGGGCTCGGGACCTGCAGCCCGCCATGCCTGAGCCTCCCACCCACTCCATGGGCTCCTGTGCGGCCCGAGCCTCCCCGATGAGCGCCACCCCCTGCTCCACGGCGCCCAGTCCCATCGACAACCCAAGGGCTGAGGAGTGCCGGCGCACAGCACCGGGACTGGCAAGCAGCTCCACCTGCAGCCCCGGTGCAGGATCCACTGGGTGAAGCCAGCTGGGCTCCTGAGTCTGGTGGGGACGTGGAGAACCTTTATGTCTAGCTCAGGGATTGTAAATACACCAATCAGCACCCTGTGTCTAGCTCAGGGTTTGTGAATGCACCAGTGGGCATTCTGTATCTAGCTACTCTGGTGGGACCTTGGAGAACCTTTATGTCTAGCTCAGGGATTGTAAATACACCAATCGGCACTCTGTATCTAGCTCAAGGTTTGTAAACACACCAATCAGCACCCTGTGTCTAGCTCAGGGTTTGTGAATGCACCAATCGACACTCTGTATCTAGCTACTCTGGTGGGGCCTTGGAGAACCTTTGTGTCCACACTCTGTATCTAGCTAACCTGGTGGGGACGTGGAGAACCTTAGTGTCTAGCTCAGGGATTGTAAACGCACCAATCAGCGCCCTGTCAAAACAGACCACTCGGCTCTACCAATCAGCAGGATGTGGGTGGGGCCAGATAAGAGAATAAAAGCAGGTTGTCCAAGCCAGCAGTGGCAACCCGCTCGGGTCCCCTTCCACCCTGTGGAAGCTTTGTTCTTTTGCTCTTTGCAATAAATTTTGCTACTGCTCACTCTTTGGGTCCACACTGCTTTTATGAGCTGTAACACTCACTGCGAAGGTCTGCAGCTTCACTCCTGAAGCCAGCGAGCCCACGAGCCCACCGGGAGGAACGAACAACTCCAGACGCGCCACATTAAGAGCTGTAATGCTCACCGCGAAGGTCTGAAGCTTCACTCCTGAGCCAGTGAGACCACGAACCCACCAGAAGGAAGGAACTCCGAACACATCCGAACATCAGAAGGAACAAACTCCAGACGCACCACCTTAAGAGCTGTAACACTCACCGCGAGGGTCCACGGCTTCATTCTTGAAGTCAGTGAGACCAAGAACCCACCAATTCCGGACACACTTCCACGTTCCTCTTCCTGCTTTTATTCTAGCCACACTGGCAGCTGATGAGATGGCACCCACCTAGATTGAGGATGGGTCTGTGTCTCCCAGTCCACCGACTCAAATGTTAATCTCCCTTGGCAACACCCTCATGGACATGCCCAGGAACAATACTTTGCATCCTTTGATCCAACCAAGTTAACACTCAATACTCACTATCAGACCCTGGTGCTATGATTTGAATATTTGTCTGCTCCAAAACTCATGTTTAATCTCCACTGTGGCAGTATTGAGATGTGGGGTCTTTAAGAGGTTGGGTTATGAGAGCTCTGCCCTCGTGACTAGATTAATCCATTTGTGGATTAAAAGATCAATGGGCTCATGGATTAATGGGTTATCACAGGAGTGGGCCTAGTGGCTTTATAAGACAGGGAAGAAAGACATACTCAGCCCCCTGACCATATGATGCCTGGAGCAGCATCGGACTCTGCAGAGAGTCCCCACGAGAAAGAAGACCCTCACCAGATGCATCCCCTTGACCTTGGACTCCTCGCTTCCAGAACTGTAAGAAATAAATTTTGGGCCGGGCACGGTGGCTGACGCCTGTAGTCCCAGCACTTTGGGAGGCTGAGGTGGGCGGATTGCCTGAGGTCAGGAGTTCAAGACCATCCTGGCCAACATGGTGAAACCCTGTCTCTACTAAAAATACAAAAATTAGCTGGGCGTGGTGGCAGACGCCTGTAATCCCAGCTACTCAGGAGGCTGAGGCAGGAGAATCGCTTGAACCTAGGAGGTGGAGGTTGCAGTGAGCCGAGATCGCACCATTGCACTCCAGCCTGGATGACAAGAGTGAGACTTCATCTCAAAAAAAAAAAAAAAGAATACAGAAGTAAATTTCATTGCTCTATAAATTACCTAGTTTCAGGTATTCTGTTATAACCAACAGAAAATGGACTAAGACACCTGGCAATCACCATTCTATTTTCTGTCTATGAATTTGCCCATTCTAGGTAACTCCTCTACGTGGAATCCTATAGTGTGTGTGTTTTTGTGACTGGCTTATTTTATTTCACATCATGTCCTCAAGGTTCATCTGTGTTGTAGCATCTGTCAGAGTCTACTTACCCTTTAAGGCTGAATAATATTCCATTGTATGTATATATCACATTTTGCTTTTGTGACAATCATTTCCTTGGCCTTTTTATTATTTTGCTACCTAGGTGGTAAAATAAACAATACATTGCTAAACAATACAATTTAGTTTTTCCTGTTATTGAGCTATGTAAATGGAATTATACAGTGTGTGTTCTTTTATGAGAAGAAGAGAAAATTTGAGGGAAGAGCTTGACTGAGTTGGGAAGAGTTTTAGTCTGTCTTTGTATGAATGAGGACACCCAGGCTCAGGGAGAGGGAATTCCCACCCAAAGTCCCACATGAGGAATAGGCTGGCTTCCAGGTCCCTGGGCCATTAGGGCAGAGCTATTCCACTGATCTAACAGTTTTGTTCAAGACCACACAACCAGCAGCAGGACTGAGAAGAGGACAATCACAGTGGGTTGAGTGAACTTCACAAGGACTATTGGCCATTGGCAGATTTGCACATGAGGCTGGCTGCTCTAGGTGGATTCAGTTCAAAGGAGTTTAGTTTGTGAAGGACCAAAATAATTTCTCCCAAGACAAAGTCAAACAGAAGACAGCCCTGGGGGAGCAAATCCAAGCAGCATCATAGGGAAGAAGGGCTAGTGATTTGCACCATAAAAATTTATGTAGTATATGACCTATGATGTAGGCAGGCTGAATAATGACCCCCAAGATATTCATGTCCTAATCTCTAGAACCTATGCATGTTACCTTATATGACAAAGACTTTGCAGATGTGATTAACTTAAGGGTCTTGAGATGGAGGGCCCATCCTGGATTATCCTGGTGAGCCCTGAGTGTCATCACAAGTGTCCTTATGAGAAGGTGGTAGATGGAAACTACAGAAAGAAGAGAAGAAGGCAATGTGACCAAGAAGGCAGAAACTGGAGTGATATTAGAGTGATGTAACCATGTGCTAAGGAATTCCAACAGCCCCCTGGAAGCTGAAAGAGGCAAGGAACAAATTCTCCCCTAGGGCCTCCAGAGAGAGCCAGCTCTGCCGCCATCTTGATTTTGGTCCAGTCAAACCAATTTCAGACTTCTGGACTCCAGACCTGTGAGAGGATAAATCTGTGTTGTTTTAAGCTACTCCAAGTTTGTAGTAATTTATACAGAAGCCATAGGAAAAATAATACAGATGTACTTATTGAGTATCTACAGTTCACTTGGGATTAAAGAATCAATACACAAATAAATAAATCTACAGTTCACTTGGGCACCTGAGATGAAAGAATAAATAAGACCTCGCCTGTCCTAGTCTGTTTGTGCTGCTATAACAGAATACAGAGACCGGATAATTTATAAAGAAGAGAAATTTATTTTCTTACAGTTCTGGAGGGTGGAAAGTCCAAGATCGAGATGCCAACAAGTCTGGTGTCTGGTGAGGGCTGCTCTCTGCTTCCAAGATGGTGCACTGAACACTGCACCTGCCAGATGTAAGGAAGAGTGTCCTAATGTGGTGGAAAGCAGAAAGGCAAAAAGGGGTGAACTGTCAAGCCCTTTCATAAGGGCAACTAATACCATGCTTAAGGGCAACTAGTCTCTGCCCTCATTACTTGATCACCTCCCAAAGACCACATCTCTCAATACTGTTGCAATGGCAATTAACATTCAACATGAATTTTTGTAGGGGACAAAAACATTCAAACCATAGAGTAGTTCCTGGTGTCAAGAAGTCAAAATAGTGTGATGGAAGGAAGGATATATCAAGGAAGGCTTCTTAGAGGAGGTAATGTTTCAGAATGAGAATGAGTGAGGCAGGTGAAGAAAAAGAAGTACATGCTGGCCAGGCACGGTGGCTCACCCCTGTAATCCCAGCACTTTGAGAGGTTGAGGCAGGTGGATCACTTTAGACCAGTCTGGCCAACCTGGAGAAGCCCCATCTCTACTAAAAATACAAAAATACCCAAGCGTGGTGGCACACACCTGTAATCCCAGCTACTTAGGAGGCTGAGGCAGGAGAATTGCTTAAACCTGGAAGGTGAGGGTTGCAGTGAGCCGAGATTGTGCCACTGCACTCCAGCCTGGGTGACAGAGTGAGACTCTGTCTCAAAAAAAAAGAACGAAAGAAAGAAAGAAAGGGAGAGAGAGAGAGGAAGGAAGGAAAGAAGGAAGGAAGGAAGGAAGGAAAAACAAAAGTACATGATGAATAGGAGCACCAGCTACATAGCAAGGAGCTCACAGAAGCTCTGGAAGGATCTGAGAACCATACACAGAGGGTATGCAAGCAGGAACGATGTCCACTGTAAAATGGCTCCACGGAGACACAGCTGCCACTGCATGATGCTTGTGACTCGGGAATCGGGACTGGAAATGCAGCTGCCAGGCCAGCTGCAAAAATGACCCCACGTGGTTCCTGATTCTTCACATCTCTTACTTCGTACTTGGAGTCCAGGCAGGAGCTCATGATCAGCTGAGCCAGGTGATGCAGGCACGCCAACCTGCAAGAGAATCTGAGAAAATGAGTAGCTTACACTTTTGGCTTTTATATTAAAGGGGAGTTATTTCTCTAAAACATATTAAGAGGGGGTCAGATGCTAGGCAGCCCCAAGAGAATAATAATTATCACCTCACCAGGAATGGACATGAGAAGATGGACTTAAATGACATCATTGACTTCCTCGGAGAGAAAGTGCCCAACTGCTGACGGAAATTAAGAAACTCTGATGTCTGGTCATTATGATTTTATTAACTGCTAAGGAGAGCTTTTCACTGCCTAAACGGAAGCTTTAGCACTGCAAATTGAATGCAGCTCTCTGTTGTTGCATAGTGTTTTATGATCAGAGTACGTGGATGCTGTCCTTTGCAAACCGCTGTCCATTACAGAAACAGCAGGTGTTTCAATTGTTCCTTCTCTGATGAGCCCAGTCTGACATTTCAAGTATTTTATATTTCAACCCAGAAAGTATTTGTTAATGTCTTCATCCTGAGCATTGCAGAAGGATGAAGAGATGATTCTGGGAGCTACTTCAGGCCTAACAGGGACTCAAGAACCTCCATAGCATCTTGGATTCTTCAGTCTTTGTTAGGAGGTCTGGCTTCTCCTCAGAGAAGTGTTCTACTTGGAGCAGAATCTTTTCTTGTTTCCTTTCTGGGGGGATTTCTACAAATCCAGACACTTCAGAAAGATGCCCATTTTCCCAGAAAACTTGAACTCTCTCATCATTGTGATAGTTATAATAAATTTTTATTTTTATTTTTTTGCTCAGCCAGGTCATAGCTTCCCTTCATCAAATGCCACAACAGCTTTTTGAAGGTATATATAATTCACAGTATATATAATAAGTATATGTGATCTATAATAATTCATGGTTTACAGATGAGAAAATGGAGACACTGAGTGATTAAGGGGCTTAACCATGTTTAGGGAAGACAGGAGGCCAAGATGAGAACCCAGGTTGTCTGATACCTCAGCGTGCTCCTCTCTCTCAACAGATATATCTTGTATTTAGCCTTAACTTGGCTCACTCGAGAGAGAGGTAGGAGAGCTTCACACTTTTGATAACGGATGTCCAATCTTTTGGCTTGTCTGAGCCACATTGGAAGAAGAATTGTCTTGGGCCACACATAAAATACCTTAACACTAACGATGGCTGATGAGCTAAAAAACAAAAAACAAGAAACGCAAAAAAAACTCATAATAATGATAATTATTATTATTTGAGGCAGAGCCTCATTCTGTTACTCAGGCTGGAGTGCAGTGGTGCGATCTCAGCTCACTGCAACCTCCGCCTCCTGGGTTCAAGTGATTCTCCTGCCTCAGCCTCCTGAGTACCTGGGAATACAGGTGCATGCCACCATGCCTGGCTAATTTTTGCATTTTTGGTAGAGACAGGGTTTCGCCATATTGGCCAGGTGGGTGTCGAACTCCTGACCTCAAGTGATCTGCCCTCCTCTGCCTCCCAAAGTGCTGGGATTCCAGGCATGAGCCACCGCGCCTGGCTCTCATGTTTAAAGAAAGTTTACGAATTTGTGTTGGGCCACATTCAAAGACATCCTGGGCCGCAGTTTGGACAAGCTTGCTTTAGACCCTGCTGCAGTTATAATAAAGGAAGCTTTGGGAGGTGGTGAAGAAATGCAAGGGTTTGCAGCAACTGAAGACTCTGGTTTGGCACCAGGCAATGCCCATCTGAGAAATAGGGGCATCTGCTGTATGGCGGGAAGAGTCAGCAAAGCCTGTTCCATCTTGGAGACTTGGGACAGAGTGACAGTATCCCTTAGGTCCTGAGTGTCAGTAGCAGTCATAGCTCTGAGAAGTCAGATCCCTGGACCGCAGGGTAGGAATTGATCAGCGAGATAGAAACAGGCACAGTCGGGGCTGCGACCAACAACTCCAGGAGCTTGCCTGGGGTACCATCAGCCATGAGGGCTTGACTCGGTCAAGCTGGAGGGGCTGCGTGCTGATGCCCTCGGGCAAGAAGGCACCGGTGAGCCCTCTTGCCCCTGCAAAGTGGTGGCTGCTGGGGGGCATTTGGGTTACTCTGTTCCCCTCTCCCATTTGTCCGGGCTGATGTGGGCTGCATTTCTGCTGCGTTGCTTGCATTTTTATCTTGGCTACTCTCCCTCAATGGTGATCGCCACTTGACCCCTCTCAGACATAAACATTAGTGCTGTGAGGAGTGGTTAATAATATCTCAGAGTTATCACATGGCTAATTTAGGGGAGATAAACAGCCTTGCAGCTTTCATCTTCCCCAAATGAGAGAAAGGAAAAAAAAATTGCGGGCACCAAAATAGATATTTCTGGATAACAGCATCTAACATGGGAATGATGCTGAGATTTTCCATTTATTTTATGCGCTGTGAAGTCAAATCATTTACAGGCAAAAACAAATACACTATCGAATTAAAAAAAAACCCAGATTATTTTAAAATGCTAACTCTTTACATGTATCTGGCAAAACTAGTTGAGCTGAAAAAAAAAAAAAAGTGCCAGGGACTGGGGAACATGAGGACTTCTGTGTTTCAGAGGATGCTGGCCTGGGATGGATGGTCTTCATTGGGTCTAGAATGTGCCCATCCCAGGCACATCATTTCAAGCTTCAGCTTACCCTTTGGCCAGTCAACTTATCACCTGGCACAAGCTGGGTACTGAAGAATATGGCAGGATGTAAGAGTCTTGGCTTGCAAAATCAAAACCATAATGAGATGCCATCTCACATCAGTCAGGATGGCTATTACTAAAAACTCAAAAATTAACTGAAGTTGGCAGGGTTGCGGAGAAAGGGGAACGTTCATACACGATTGGTGGGATTGGAAATTAGTTCAGCCTCTGTGGAGAGCAGTTTGGAGATTTCTCAAAGAACTAAAAATGGAATTACCTTTTAACCCAGCAATCCCATTACTGGGTATCTACCCAACACCCCACAAAATTAAATTGTTCTACCAAAAAGACACCTGCACTCACATGTTCGTCTATTTTCAATAGCAAAGACACGGAACCAACCCAGGTGCCCATCAGTGGTGGACTGCATAATGAAGATGTGGTACATATACACCATGGAATACTATGCAGCCATAAAAAAGAACAAAATCATGTCCTTTGCAGTAACATGGATGCAGCTGGAGGCCATTATCTTAAGTGAATTAACACAGAAACTGAAAACTAAATACTGCATGTTCTCATTTATAATTGGGAGCTAAACACTGGGTACTCAGGGACATAAAGATGGGAACAATAGATCCTGGGGGCTCCAAAAGGATAGAGGCAAGGAGAGAGGCAAGGGTTGAAAAACTACCTATTAGGTACTATGTTCACTATTTGGGTAACAGGTTCAATGGAAGCCCAAACCTCAGCATCACGCAATCTACCCATGTAACAAACCTGCACATGTACCCCATGAATCTAAAATGAAAACTTTATAAAAGGGTCGTGGCATGTGGAAGGAACCCTGATCCATTACCTGCTAGCATAAATGTCTGGGCTTGTCCTTTGACCCCTGTATATCTTAGTTGTCAAAGGGGAGAATATTTTTCCCCCACAGAGATAAATCAATGCACATGTGGTATGTAAATCTACAAATGACCCACATGAATTTGTTATTTCGCATTAGCGTGGTGGCCTTCCTGTTCTTTCTGTTCACAGCTTGCTGCCGTAGGCACTGTGGACCACTTAACCCATCTGATCCCATTTGTTTCCCAGGAAAATAATTTACCCATCAAAATGAGAGAAAGAACAGCTAGGGCCAGAGACACACCAATAGGAAGCAAACAGGTATTGAACTGTTGATTCATTTCTGAAACTAAAGAAGGACATAGTCATGTTTTAAACACGAATAGTGTTTCTGGGTCAGGAAACAGAAATAATTGCTGTCTTATTATTTCAGCTTTTTCTATGTGAATGTGTTCCCGAGGACTCAATTTAGTAGAGCAGACAGAGGAGGACTTTTGTGGGCAACTGAGTTCTGCGGGCATCCTGTGATCTGTGCAATGTGCAAAAGCCATTAGCAGTCTGCACCGCTGCAGGCTTGTATAATCACCTCTCCAGGGTCTTAGCTGAAAGTCTTGAGATGTGAGCCCCTGTTTCAGACTGGCCCACTATGAAAGCCAATTCTGCCAGAGCAGATTAAAGGTGTGAGTGGTAAAACAAATTTCTTCCTCTTTTAAAGTCATCTTATCCTTGCCTTTCGAAGATGGCATGGCTAAGCCACAGCCACCAGCATGTAAACTAGGAGCTGTTTCTCTGGGGCAGAGAGGGATTTATCCTCTTTCATCCATGTGTTCTGGTCTACTGTTTATGCAAGAATTGTCAGGCACCTGGCCAAATTCAGAGGACTGGGACTCAGCAAACTGGCTGAGGAAGGAAGCGACACTGTGACCCCTTGTGCCAGCCAGCCTCATCAAATCTCAGAGGTGAAGGCAAAGATGGGGAAATGGGAGGACCCTTGGAGGAAATACTATCTAGCCTTGCTTCATTGTAAAGCTCTCACAACCTATCATTTTAATCACTGCATTCTTCATGTAGTTTTCAATCAATGGCACCACCCGTCCATTTAATAACGTTCTTAGCACTTGCTTTAGTGAGAACGCTGTTAGGATTGAGGAATAGAGACACCACGGTGCTACAGACTGCACAAGACAGTCAGGACTCAAGAAATATTGGCCAAGCACGGTGGCTCACACCTGTAATCCCAGCACTGTGGGATTCCAAGACAGGAGGATTGCTTGAGTCCAGGAACTGGAGACCAGCCTGGGCAACATAGCAAGACCCTGTCTTCAAAATAAAATAAAATAAATACATAATAAATACATTTTTTTGGGTTTTTGTTGTTGTTGTTTTGTTTTTGAGATGTAGTCTCACTCTGTCACCCAGGCTGGAGTGCAGTGGCATGATCGCGGCTCACTGCAAGCTCTGCCTCCTGGGTTTACACCATTCTGCCTCAGCCTCCCGAGTAGCTGGAACTACAGGTGCCCACCACCACACCCGGCTAATTTTTTTTTTTTGTATTTTTAGTAGAGACGGGGTTTCACCATGTTAGCCAGGATGGTCTCGATCTCCTGACCTCATGATCCACCCGTTTCAGCCTCCCAAAGTGCTGGGATTACAGGCATGAGCCACCGCGCCCAGCCATAAATAAATATTTTTTTAAAGAAATATAAATAGGTGGATAAGCAACCACACACGCGCACACTCGCCGTGCCTCATTCTATCATTCTACAAAAAGGCTCTGAGAAGGCATCCAGGAATATAAGCATTCTGATAAACAGGAAAATCAGTGTTAAATTCTGGCATATGACATATATGTAGAAAATGTACAGATAATAGAAGGACACATCTGGTGGAAATCCAAGAATTTCATACGATTCCATCAGGCAAAAGAATAGGTATGAAAACTCAAATTGAGGAAAGAATCCTGGCCACCAAAAGGAAATGAAAAATATAATTACAAATACTCGCTGTTCCTATTTCCCCTCCCTCAAAGTATATTAATGCTTCAGGATGAACCAAGATTTGCTAGACCAGTGGGTTTAAAATTTTTTCTTTCACATGGAGCTTCACAGAAAGGATAAACAGCAGCTTCAACATCATGTCTAGAGTACTGCAGGAATGAGTTTGTAGAGCAGGTCCTTATTAGCATTCCTCCATGTGAGTGGAGAGGCCATTTAGGAAAATCTCTTCTGTTGCAGGAGCTGAACAATATACACCTTCTCAATGATTGTCTAGTGGTCTTCGAGCTTTGATGTGGATCAGAATTACCTGGGAAACTTAAAAAAAAAAAAGATTCTTAGGCCCTCTGTTATAGAGTCAGATTGAGCAAATTGGCATGGGCATCTGCATTTTTAATAATCTCCTCAAGTGATCACTGTACCTGCCCAAGACTGAAAACTATTGATTTGTTTGGATGCCGGAACTCCATGAGCCTTGCTATGCCCCTGGGTCCACCGGCTGGCATTCTTCACTGGTGGACATCTTTTCAGGTTTGCTTAACATGTTAAGACACATTAGGCAATTGCTTGCAGGGATGCCCCACTGAACTTTCCTAAGTAAACAACCAAATCAATAATCTCCAGACATTTAAAGCTTTATTTTTATATACCAGATCAGCAAGTACAGGGAAACTTCCCCATGTCTTGGGTTTTAGCAGATTTCAATTGCATAGCATGAATTAAAGTTGTATTCATTAAACACCAGGAATGTAATTATGTTTGGGAAGATGTAAGTGCTTTCCCCTGTGGCTAGGAAGAAAGGCATAATAGAATCTCTACTGGATTCATTCGCCTTTCTCATTGTAACTTTTCCCTTCCCAGGATGTTTGGTTTGTGCCTATATGAGGCTCCCAGTTCAGCAATTTTGATGAAATGTCCAGTTGAAAATGGGTCAATTTGGTTAATAAAAAGTTAATTAAACTGGTGACATCAACAAGATGTCAGAATGACCTTGCAGCTCTTGTATCCTTATAGAAACATTAATTTTAACAACTATCCATAAATTAAAATACCTTCACAAGAGCTAAGGAAATCAGGTGAGAGACTACAGCACCTGGATGTTGTACAGAAATAAGAAGAAACATGGGAGAGGGTAAGAAGGATAGTTTTACATCACTCATATCACCCTTCCTTCGAGCTTTGGCAGCACAGCATGGAGACAGAAATGCCACCCATGCAGGGATAGGAGAGTAAAGTGAGCACCAGACTTTGCCTTGAACCCTGACACTGATTGATTCCAATACAACCCCATGCCAGGCAGTTCCCTGCAGCCCCAGGCTCCAGGTTTGCCTTGCAGACTCAGTCTCCAGGCTTACCCCAGCCCTAGGTTGGCTCCCACAGTCTCAGGCTCCAGTCCCAATCTACCATCAGGCTGGCCCCAGGTTCTACACTGGCCCCACAGACTTAGTCTCCAGGCCTGTCCCACTGCCAAACCAGCCACTGAAGCCCTAGATTTCAGGCCAGCACCCATAGACTGAGCCTTTAAACCTGGTTCAATGCCAGGCCAGCCCCTAAGACCCCTGGCTCTGGGGTGGTTGCCTAAACTCAGTCTCCAGGCACACCCCAACGTCAGGCTGGCCCCAAAGACTCAGGCTATAGATCATTCCCAGCACCAGGCCAGCCCCCCACAGCACCAGACTCCAGGTCAGCACCCACAGACCCAGCCTCATGACCCATCCTGGTACCAGGTTGACACCAGAAGACACCCACTCCAGGAGAGCCTCCATGGATACCAGCTCCAGGCTGGGCCCTGTGACCACAAGCTCCAGCCAGACACAGGGTCTAGGCCCAACCCTGTAGACCCCAGCACTAAACTGGCCCCCATGGGATCCAGTCTCCAGGTCCATGCCAGAGCCAAGCCAGCACCTACAACCCCGGGATCCACACCAGGCCTTGTGGACAGAGCTTTCAGGCCAACAGCTGCCCCAACCCCTCCACCCCACAGCCTCCAGGCAGGCTCTGGCTGAGGCTTCAGGTCTATCCCTGTGTCAGGCCAGCCCCTATGGCCTCAAGCATCAAGCCCAAATGCACAGTTCAAAATAATCATCTTAAAGAGGTTCAGTGAGCTACAAGATAGACCACTAAATAAAATTAGCAGGACAACTAGAAACTCAGGATGACTACAGATGAGCAACTAAATAAAATCAGGAAAACAATCCACAAACAAAACAAGAATCTCAACAAAAGGATGAGAAAATAAAAAGAACCAAACAGAAACTCTGGAGTTAATGAACATAATGCCTGAACTAAAAATTTTATAGAGAGCATCAACAGCAGACTGGATCAAGCAGAAGAATCAATGAGCTCAAAGATAAGTCATTTAAAATTATCCAGTCAGAGGAACAAAAAGAAAAAGGCTTGAAAAAGTGAAGAATACCTACAAGAATTATGAGACACCATCAGTCAAACCAATACATGTACTATGGGTGTTCCAGAAAGAACAGAGAAAGAGAAAGGGGAAGATAGTTTACTTGAAGAAATAATGACAGAAGAATACCCAAGTCTGGAGAGGAAAATGAACATCCAGATCCACAAAGCCCAAAGAACCTCAAATAGATTAAACATAAAGAGATCTTCACCAAAATACAATATAATCAAAGGCACAAGTCAAAGACAAAGAGAATTTTGAAAGCAGCAAGAGGAAAGCGACTCATCACATACAAGGGAAACTGCATAAGACTTTCAGTATATTTCTCAGCAGAAACCTTTCAGACCAGGAGACAGTGAGATGATATATTTAAAGTACTGATAGAAAAAAAATATTGCCAACCAAGAATGCCATCCATACCCAGTAAGTCTGTCCTTCAGAAATGATGAAGAGATAAGGACTTTCCCAGACAATCAAAAGCTGTGGGACTTTATCACTACTAGAACTGCCTTACAAGAAATGCTAAAGGGAGTTACTTAGCTGAAAGAAAAAGACACCAATTAATAACGTGAAAACATATAAAAATCTAAAACTCACTGGTAAATATAACCATATAGTGAAAATCAGAAAACTCTAATACTGTAATGGTGGTGTGTAAATCACTTATATCTTTAGTATGGAGTGTGAAAGACAAAACTATTAAAAATAATGATAGGTACAGTAATTGATTAAGGAATACACAGTATAAAAAGATGTAAATTGTGACACTGCAAACACAAAATGTGTGTTGGAAGGTAAAAGTGTATTTTAATGTGATCAAAGTTAAGTTGATATCAGCTTAAAATAGTCTGTTATAGCTATAAGATGTTTTATGTAAGTCAATCATGGTAACCACAAAGCAAAAACCTATAGCAGACCCATGAAAAAATGAAAAGTAAGGGATCAGGCCAGGCGCGGTGGATCATGCCTGTAATCCCAGCACTTTGGGAGGCCAAGGTGGGCAGATCACTTGAGGTCAGGAGTTCAAGACCACCCTGGCCAACATAGTGAAACCCCATCTCTACTAAAAATACAAAAATTAGTCAGGCTGGTTGAGCATGCCTGTAATCCCAGCTACTTGTGAGGTTGAGGCAGGAGAATCACTTGAACCTGGGAGGCAGTGTCTGCAGTGAGCTGAGATTGCACCACTGCACTCCAGCCTGGGTGACAGAGTGAGACCACATCTTAAAAAAAAAAAAAAGAAAAGTAAGGAATCAAAGCACAGTAGTACAGAAAATCACAAAGGAAGACAACAAGTGAGGAAGAAAAGGGCAAAGCATCTACAAAACAACCAGAAAATAATGAACAAAATTACAGTAATAAGTCCTTACCTATCAGTTGCTACCTTAAATGTGAATGAATTCAATTCTTCAATCAAGAGATATAAAGTGGCTGAATGGATTAAAAAACAGGACCCAACTACATCCTGTCTATAAGAAGCTAACTTCACCTTTAATATAGGATACAAAATTAACATACAAAAATCAATAGTGTTTCTATACCCTAAAAATAAACTATTCAAAAAAAAAAAATACTTTGGAATAAATTTAATCATGAACTCAAAAGAGCTGTATGCTGAAAACTATAGAACATTGCTGAAAGAAATTGAAGAAGACACAAATAAATGAATGGATATTCTATGTTCATGAATTAGAAGAATGTTGCTAAAATGTCCATACAACTCAAATCAATCTACAGACTCAGTGCAATTCCTATAGAAATTCCAACGATGGCCAGGAGCAGTGGTTCACACCTGTAATTGCAGTATTTTGGGAGACAAGGCAGGAGGATTGCTTGAGGCCTGGAGTTTGAGACCAGCCCAGGGAACATAGCGAGACCCTGTCTCTACAGAAAAAAGTATTTTAAAAAATTCAATGACATTTTCCACAGAACTAGATAAAACAGTCCTAAAATTACATTACCTGATTTAAAAATATACTACAAAGGTATAGTAATCAAAACAGCATGGTACTGGCACAAAAACAGACACTTAGGCCAATGGATCAGAATAGAAAACACAGAAATAAATCCACACATATACCATCAATTAATTTTGACAAAAATTACAGAGCACACAATTAGGAATGGACAGTCTCTTCGATGAATTGTGTTGGAAAAGCTGGATACTCACAAGCAAAAGAATGAAATTAGAGCCTTATCTCACTTCATTTAAAAAAAACCCAACTCAAAATGGGTTAAAGCCTTAAATGTAAGAACCTGAAAATGTAAAAATACTAGAAGAAAACAGGTAAAAACCTCCATGAAGTGGGTCTAGGCAATGATTTTTTGGACATGACCTTAAAAGCACAGGCAAGAAAAGCAAAAACAGGCAAATCTAATTGCATCAATACTGGGGGAAATTCACCCCCGATATTCCACGTAGGTTCTTTTCTATTTTCCCTAAGTGTCAGCCAGTCTGAGAAATAAAGGGAAAGAGTACAAAAGAGAGAAACTTTAAAGCTGGGTGTCCAGGGAAGACATCACATGTTAGCAGGTTCCATGATGCCCCCCAAGCCACAAAACCAGCAAGTTTTTATGAGTGATTTTCAAAAGGGGAGGGAGTGTACGAATAGGGTGTGGGTCACAGAGATCACATGCTTCACAAGGTAATAAAATATCACAAGGCAAATGGAGGCAGGGTGAGATCACAGGACCACAGGACCAGGGTGAAATTAAAATTGCTAATTAAGTTTTGGGCATGCATTGTCATTGATAACATCTTATCAGGAGACAGGGTTTGAGGGCAGACAACGGGTCTGACCAAAATTTATTAGGTGGGAATTTCCTCATCTTAATAAGCCTGAGAGTGCTACGGGAGACCGGGGCTTAATTCATCCCTTATCTATGACCGTAAAAGACAGCCGTCCCCAAAGCGGCCATTTCAGAGGCCTCCCCTTAGGGATGCATCCTCTTTCTCAGGGATGTTCCTTGCTGAAAAAAGAATTCAGCAATATTTCTCCTATTTGCTTTTGAAAGAGAGAGATATGGCTCTGTTCTGCCAGGCTCAGAGGCAGCCAGAGTTTAAGGTTATCTCCCTTGTTTCCTGAACATCGCTGTTATCCTGTTCTTTTTTCAAGGTGCCCAGATTTCATATTGTTCAAACACACATGCTCTACAAACAATTTGTGCAGTTTACGCAATCTTCACAGGGTCCTGAGGGGACATACAACCTCCTCAGCTTACAAAAATGATGGGATTCAGAGATTAAAGACAGGTGTAGGAAATCACAAGGGTATTGATTGCGAAAGTGATAAGCGTTCATGAAATCTTCACAGTTTATGATCAGAGATTGCATTAAAGACAGGCGTAAAAAATTATAAAAGTATTAATTTGGGGAACTAATAAATGTCCATGAAATCTTCACAATTTAGGTTCTTCTGCCATGGCTTCAGCCGGTCCCTCCGTTCAGGGTCCCTGACTTCCCGCAACATATCAAACTAAAGTGCTTTTGCACAGCAAAGGAAATAACAGAGTGAAAAGATAACCTGTGGAATGGGAGAAAATATTTGAAAATCATACATCCAATAAGGGGTTAATATCCAAAATATATAAGGAGCTCAAACAATTCAATAGCAAGAAAACAAATAATCCAATTTAAAAGTGGGCAAAAAACCTAAATAGACATTTCTCAAAGGGAGACATACAAATGGACAGCAGGTATTAAAAAAAATGCTCAACAGCACTAATCATCTAGGAAATGCAAATTAAAATCACAATGAGATTTCACCTCACACAACTTAGGATGTGTGTTATTAGGATGGTTATTTTCAAAAAGGTGAAAGATAACAAGTGTTGATGAGGATGTGGAAGAGAGTAAACCCTGGTACGCTCTTGGTGAAAATGTAAATTTATTACAGCCATTATGGAAAACGGTATGGAGTTTCCTAAAAAATTTAAAAATAGAACTACCTTATGATCCAGCAGTCTTACTACTGGTGTATATCCAAGGGAAATGAAATCCATTATGTCAAAGAGATTTATACAATCTCACATTTATTGCAGCATTATTCCGATACCCAGGGCATAGATTCAATGTTAAGTTCTATCAATGAATGAATGGATAAAGAAAATGTGAGCTAGGTATATATAAATATAAAATATGAATACTATTCAGCCTTTAAAAAGAAGAAAATCCTGTCATTTGTGACAATACAGATTAACCTGAAAGACATTATGTTAAGTGAAATAAGGCAGGCACAGAAAGATAAACACTACATGACCTCATTTATATGCGGAATCTAAAAAAGGTGAACTCATAGAAGCAGAGAGTAGAATGGTGGTTACCAGGGGCTGGAGGTGGTGGTTAGGGGGAGTAGGGATTTGGGGTGGTGTTGACTGAAGGATACAAACATCATTTTTCCGGGAGGAATAAATTCAATAAATCTATTGTACAACATGATGACTATAGTTAATAACCACGTAACATACACTTGAAAATTGCTAAGAGTAGATTTTAAGTGTTCTCACCACAAATAAACAATAATATGTAAAGTAATGCATACGTTAATTAGCTTGATTTAGCCATTCCACAATGTATACATATTTCAAAACATCAAGTTGAGCTTCACATGGTGACATATGCCTGTAGTTCCAGCTACTGGGAGGCTGAGGTGGGAGGACTGCTTGAGCCCAGGAATTCGAGGTTGCAGTGAGCTATGATGGTGCCACTGCACTTCAGCCTGGGCAACAGAGCAAGACTCCAAGACTCCATCTTTATAAAAAGAATCATGTTGTATGCCATAAATATATGTAATTTTTATTTGTCAATTAAATAAAAATAGTAGTGATAAAATGCTAATTAAGTTTGTTGCTTATTAATTACATAAATAAATGCCACCTGTGTTTAACACAAACTAGACTTACAAGCCCATAAAATTCTTTGCATATATGCACAAAAATTATTCAATGAATCATTAAATATGTGAGCAAAAATGACATTTAAGTGCCCATAAATGAGAGGCGGTTAATTAAATTACATTCCATCCACAGGATAAACTACTATGCTATCATTAAGAGTCATCCATTCACCATAAAAAAGAATAAAGTACTGACACATGCTAAAACACGGCTAAACCTCCAAAATATTCTTTCTAAGAGAAAGAATCCAGACACAAAAGGTCACCTATTTTATGATTTTCTATCTCAAGTGTTCAGGATAGGTGAATCCACAGAGATAACAAAGTAGATTAGTGGTTGCCAGGGGCTAGGGCATGACTGCTCATAGGATGGGGTTTCCTTTCAGGGTGTGGAAAGTGTCTTCGGATGAGATAGAGGTGATGATTGCACAATATTGTGAAATTACTAAATGCCATGGAATTGTGCACTTTAAAATGATGAGTTCTATGTTATAGAAATCTCACCTCAATGTAAGACATGTAATCCATTCATTTCATTTAACAAATACAAACTGAGGACCAACATATTATGTGCTAAGCACTGGGGTTGATGCAAAAGGAGAAATGAAGGACGTGGTTCTATCCTAAACAATCTGACATGGAAAAGTCTCCAAGTCATAAGTGAATGAAAGCAAATCTGTATGTGGTCCCACTGGGCCTCATTCTCTGTTGAGACAACGTCTTATTAACTTAAGATATAATTTGGATCAGGGAAGGTTCTCTTCTTTGTGCTCCCATGGGCCTATGCTATTTTTGTCCTATCTTTTTTTTTAAGAAACAGAGTCTTGCTCTGTTGCCCAGGCTGGAGTGCAGTAGTATGATCGTAGCTCACTGCAGCCTTAAACTCCCAGGCTCAAGCAACCTTCGTGCCTTGGCCCCCACAAGTAGCTGGAATTACAGATATGAGCCACCATGCCCAGCCTGGTCTTATGATTTCCTACAGATGCATACAATTTGCTTATTGTTTGAATAATCATGTCTCTTTCTCCCATACCGTAGGCTCTGAGAGGAAATAGCCAGGTTTGTGTGACTTCTAATTGTAGCTTCAGCACCGTTATTAGCACATAATAGATTTTTGATAAATATTTCTTGAATAAATAACAGAATGATTTCCTTCTGTACTTCTCCAGGTTGGCCTTTTGAGTCTGGGGCTAAAAACTTGGTAGCTTTGACTCTTCCCCCTTTCACCCACATAATAACAATCATGATAATAACAGATGACCCCCATTTATTGAGCTGAGAGTTTTGCCAGCCATGGTGCTGGGTCTCTGTAAGGGTGAGAGATGATACCGTTGACCTGGTCTCATGAGCCTGGTTTTAGAACCAAAGATACTGAGACTAAGATCAGAAAAGTAACAACACAATGTCCATGGGAAGGTTGGTGACACAGCATCTGGATCCAGAGTTAAACCCATCCACAAGGCCTTCCAGGGAAACCAGAGTGTCTAACATCCAAACGACTAGCTCTTCCTACAGATTCCAGGGCAAACACCACATTGGCCCTCTGTGTAACCAACGATCGGCAAATCGGCTTAGCAGATTGCTTCAATTTATCTTTTCTGCTGTCAAGTAGAAACAGACTAAAGTCCTCTGTGATGTAGATTCCATAGCTTCTCCCTGAGAATCCTTGGAGGTCCTGAAATACCATTCCCATCTGCCAGGTTTTGTCGCTTGGCCTGCAAAGACCCTCTTAAAGGCAGGATCCACACAATGGCCACTCAAAGCAGAGGTGAGCCTCCAAAATCCTTCTGCCCTTGGTCCTTAAAGGTAATTTGGTCTTGGAACAATATCTAAGGAGCTGAACTCATCATAGAGAAAAGAACACTGCATAGGAAGTGCATTAGTCAGAGTTCTCTAAAGAAACAGAACTAATAGAATTTATGCGTTTGTGTATATACACACACACACACATATTTCTATAGCTATACAATAAATAAATATTTATATATAATAAACAAATTGTTTATAAAATTATAATTTATACAGTTATATATTTGTAAATAAATAATGCATATATTTACATATTTATAAATTGATCCAGTTTATATGTTTATAGTTTATGTATTTATAACTTGTTTATATACTTATATATTTATAAGATAAATGAATAATGTATATATTTATAAAATAAATATTATATTATATTTATAAAATAAATATTATATTATATTTATAAAATAAATAAATAATGGCTGAGCACAGTGGCTCACACCTGTAATCCCATCACTTTGGGAGGCTTGAGGCAGAAGGATCACGAGGCCAAGAGATTGAGATCAGCCTGGCCAACACGGTGAAACCCCATCTCTACTAAAAATACAAAAATTAGCTGGGCGTGGTGGCGCACACCTGTAGTCCTAGCTACTCAGGAGGCTGAGGCAGGAGAATTGCTTGAACCTGAGAGGCGGAGGTTGCAGTGAGCTGAGATTGCAACACTGCACTCCAGCCTGGCAACAGAGCAAGACTCTGTCTCAAAAATATATATATAAATAAATGATGTATATATGTATAAAATAAATATAAAATATGAATTGACTTATGCAATAATGGAGGCTTGGTAGGCAGGGGTGAGGTGGGGATGGTTAATGGGTACAAAGAAATAGAAAGAACAAATAAGACCTAGTATTTGCTATTACAACAGGGGTACTGTAGTCAATAATCATTTAATTGCACATTTTAAAATAATGAAAAGAGTCTCCTTGGATTGCTTGTAACACAAAGGATAAACACCTGAGGGGGATGGATACCCCATTTTTCACCATGTGATGATGATGCATTGCATGCCTATATCGAAGTATCTCATGTACCCCATAAACATATACACCTACGATGTACCCACGATAATTAACAATTAATTTTTCTTTAAATAATAAAGGCTAAGTCCCACGATCTGCTATCTGCAAGCTGGAGAACCAGGAAAACAGGTGGTGCAGTTCAGTCTGAGTTCAAAGGCGGATGTCTCAGCTCAAGGAGAAAGAAAGACAGAATTGGCCTTCCCTCTGTTTGCTCTTGTTGGGCCCTCAGTGGATTGAATGATGCCTACTCATATTGGTGAGACAGGATGTTCTTGACTCAGCCTACTAATCTCTTCCAGAAACACCCTCACAGACACACCAGAAGTGAGATTTTACCAGCCACCTGGACATCCCTTAGCCCAATCAAGTTGACACATAAACTTAAACATCAGAGGGAGTCAGGTGGCTCCCTGGGTTCTGCAAAAGCAATTAACCACTCCAGACCTTGGTTTCCTTTCTTGTGAAATTATAAGGTTGGAATAAATGATCTGTCAAATTTACTCTTTCCAGGCCAGGTGTGGTGGCTCGTGCCTGTAATCCCAGCATTTTGGGAGACCGAGGTGAGCAGATCACTGAGGTCAGGAGTTCAAGACCAGCCTGGCCAACATGGGGAAACCCCATCTCTACTAAAAATGGCACGGGCCTGTAATCTCAGCTACTCAGGAGGCTGAGGCACGAGAATCACTTGAATCTGGGAGGCAGAGTGCAGTAAGCCAAGATCGCGCCAATACACTCTGGCCTGGGCGACAGAGAGAGACTCTGTTTCATAAATTATATATATATATAAATATATATAAAATGTACTCTTTCCAGAGCCATCCCTCTGTGATTCTAACTCCACTGCCCAGCGTGTCCTGTTGACTGTGACCCTGACTATGCCCCCTCATCCCTTTTCCATGTCCATGGTAGATGAGAGGCCTGTACATTTCCAACAGCAGTCATCACGCTGTTGCCTGAGCCTTGTGAATTCTTCTGGGCATGCTGACTTTTTGTTCTTTACTACTGTCTTTTAGAAGAAAAGATCCCATCATTTGATCAGACAGCCTTTGCTATGCTGACCCAAAACCTGCTGCTTGGAAAATCACAGGTAAAACCTCTGACAGCATCACTGGTGTGAGTCAGTAGGGTATTGTTCAGGCCCAGGTTAATGGGGGGAGTGAAAGTTGAGATTTGCTCGAATACACATATTCTCCTGTAGAATAATTACTTTGCAACCCACACACTTTTGGGGACCCAGAATTCATCTTGAACCAAATCCAGTCTTCCTTGTCCTTTTCTGTAAGACAGAGGCTCCGTAGTCAGGAATGGCAGTGTGAAAAGCAATGGAAGAACAAATGATGCAGGGAGGCAGGATGGCTTTTGCATCACTTGCTGGTCAAAGGCTTTCTTTCCCATTGGGATGTCAACATCCACAAGCTGCGTTGTTTTGGACTTTGACACAAGCCCAAACAGGAGACCTACCCAGCTTCCAAGCAAGGTGGTTTGAGCAGAAAGACATCCCTGGGGATGAAATGTGAGTATTTATCCTGTACTTGGTTCTCCCAGCCTTTTGGGTTATGCCTGAGGTTCCCGCCTCATCTCTGTTCTAAGTTATGAATAAAGACTTGGTAAAATATATAAGGAACTGAACTCATCAGAGAGGAAAAAGCCCTGCCTGAGGAGTCCAGGGTCCTGTCTCTTGGTTCTGACGACTGACCTTGGGAAAGCAAGGAGGCACTGCAGGCCTTTGTTTTCTGTCTTGTAAAAATGATAAGGTTGCGACCGGGCATGGTGGCTCACGCCTGTAATCCCAGTACTTTGGGAGGCTGAGGCAGTGGTGGATCATGAGGTCAGGAGTTCGAGACCAGCCTGACCAAAATGGTGAAACCCTGTCTCTACTAAAAATACAAAAAGTAGTCAGGCGTGGTGGTGTGCGCCTGTAATCTCAGCTACTCAGGAGGCTGAGGCAGGAGAATCACTTGAACCTGGGAGGTGGAGGTTGCAGTCAGCCGAGATTGCACCACTACACTCCAGCCTGGGCAACAGAGCAAGGCTCTGTCTCAAATAAAAAAAAAAAAGATAAGGTTGCAATAACTGTTCTGTAGTGTTCATTCTCTCCAGGGCCAACCTTCTGTGATTCTACTTCTAACATCATTGCCCAAAGCATCTTGTTGACCCTGACCCTTCGTCCCTTTACAACTATGTCCATTGTAGTTGAGAGATCTGTATATTTGAAGACATCAAAGATATACCACTACTGAAGACATACCACTATTGAAGATGTACCATCTTGGTTTCAGTGATTTAGCACAGTCCAATCCACAAGTACAGAAAATACCAGCCCAGTGAAATGACAACCATCATGCTTTCTTTACTATTCAAGTAATAATAGATATTAACCATCTATTTGGACCTAGCTTGGCAGTAGGCACTGTAGGGTATTCCTAAGAAGAATGTAAGCTGTGGTGTGCACCTGTAGTCCCAGCTACTTGAAAAGCTGAGGGAGGAGGATTGCTTGAGACCAGGAGTTCAAGACCAGCCTGGGCAACACAGTTAGACTCCATCTCTAAAAGTAACAATAAAAGAAGAAGAGTGTGACTTGGCCACTGCTTACAGAGTTGAAGGTTCTCTTGAAGGTGTTCACCCCTTATAAAATAAGGAGGGTATAACTGGGGGTTAGTAAGTGGATGACACATGAGAATAAAGTCAGTTCAAAGAAAGGAAAATGCCTGTGGGCAGAAATGGGAAGAAGTATTTGGGAATTAAGGATGCGCTAAGGCTGGGCCACTTCAAGAATGGGTAGAATCTCAATAGGCAGAAAGACCTGCAGGAAGAGAGAGGGAAAGAGAAGCCTCTAGTCTTGAAGATTCTATGCTGTCTGGAGCAGGGATTACATGTTGAAAGCAAGGTAAAGTACCATGCATGTGGTTATAATCTTTCCAATGTAGCACTTTCTCATTAAAGAGCTCTTTTATCAGAGTTACCTCATTTAACTGTTATAACATCCCTTTGGGTTGAAGTTATTATCTCTATTTTACAGATGAAGAAATTGTGACTCAGAGGAGTTAAGTAACTTGCCAACAGGCACAGAGCTGAAACATTTTAGAAGCAGAAACTCATAGCTTCAGAATTTAAGTCATTGTTCCTTTTACTCTACAATGCTTTGGGAGTCAGTGTATAGTGGGTCTTAGTTGATAGGCCAGCTGTCAGGGAGAAAGATCTGAGACTCTAGATTCACAAAGGTTATCATCATTTAACATCGTGACCTCCATTTCCTCAAGTGGTCCAAACAGTTGTTACCTGGTTGCCAGATCAGCATAGATCTGAGTTTCTGAGAGACGCTGTTTGTTGTCAGGTAGACAGGGCAGAGTCCACCTCAAAAGTGAAGGGTGAATTAGCCAGGCATGGTGGTGCATGCCTGTAATCCCAGCTACTCGGGAGGCTAAGGCACAAGAATCACTTGAGCCCAGGAGGCGGAGGCTGCAGTGAGCCGAGATAGCACCATTGCACTCCAGCCTGGGTGACAGAGTGAGACTCTGTCAAAAAAAAAAAAGAAAGAAAGAAAGTGAAGGGTGGGGCTGGCTAAGAATTTTTAGGTGGGTTAGAGCAATAGTAGAGAGGGGGATAATTCAGTTGGAGGAAGTTAACTTATATAGAGCTTGCCACTTCAAAACTCTTTTCACATCTTAAATATTTTATTGAGTGCCTACTATGTGACAGGCACTGAGCCAGGTACTAGTTCTTCTTCTTTCAAGGTCACTGTCAGCCATTCCAACTATGTCCTCATCAGCATCTTACAACACTTGCCCTCCGTGTCCTTCCCGTGTTCTAACCTTCAATCATAAATTCATCCAGCAAATATTTGTTGAGCACCTGTGCTAGGGTTAGAGGAGACACACATGCACACACAAAAGCTATGCTTCCAGCTTTTGGTGCAGGGATTTTAAAAAATTAAATAATGTGATAGAATTAAAATTGAAATATACTCTGAAAGAGACACGAAGAAATTTTAATATCTAAAATATCTAATTTATGGCATTTAAAAAGCACTGGATAATGCTGAGAAAATTAGTAAACAGCTCAGAAAGTCTTAGACTTGAATTCCTACATGCACAATAAGAAGATAGATTCCAAATGGATTTGAGAGTTCAATATAAAGAAGGAAGAAAACCATTACAAGAAACTGTAAGATCATGCTTCTCTCCTCTTACATTGACAGAGACCTTTCTAAGCACAAAAGCAAAGGAAGAAAGAATAGTAAAATGCCAATAGATCTAACCTTACAATTTTTAAAAAAGTACACACACACACTGACACATACTATATACAATATTGACAGATGTCTTTCAGGACAATTTGATGCTGTGAGTTCGTGACTGAATGAGGCTCTTTGCTAGAAACTGAAGGATGATGGATAAAACATCAAAAAGAAAACTGAAAGATGGATCGAGGCTCAAGTACAAGATAAACATCTCATCTATCAGATACAGCAGGAGCCCAAGCTGACACCAGGGCTTTCTGGAGCCTGGATCTGGAATCAGGGTTGGGAAGATAGATAAACCACTGCTCTGTTTGAAGGCAGGGGCTGGAGAGAGACTGAACGTGCTCGTGAAAGGAGGCTGGAAAACATGCTGCAAAATCCTGCCTAAGAAAAATATTTTTAGATTATATATCTAATAAAGGGACTTTCATCTAGAATATATAAAGAACTCTTACAACTCAACAACAAAAACATAATCCAATTAAAAATATAATGAGATACCATCTCACACCAGTCAGAATGGCTATGATTAAAAAGCCAAAAAATAACAGATGCTGGGGGAGGTTGTAGAGAAAAAGGAACGTGTTTATACTGTTGCTGGGAGTGTAAATTAGTTCAACCATTGTGGAAGACAGTGTGGTGATTCCACAAAGACCTAAAGACAGAAATACCATTTGACTCAGCAATCCCATTACTGGGTATATGCCCAAAGGAATACAAATCATTCTGTTATAAAGACACATGCAGGGCCGGGTGCGGTGGCTCATGCCTGTAATCCCAGCACTTTGGGAGGCCGAGGCAGGCGGATCACGAGGTCAGGAGATTGAGACCATCCTGGCTAACATGGTGAAACCCCGTCTCTACCAAAAATACAAAAAATTAGCCAGGCATGGTGGCGGGTGCCTGTAGTCTCAGCTACTCGGGAGGCTGAGGCAAGAGAATGGCAAGAACCCGAGAGGCAGAGCTTGCAATGAGCCGAAATTGCGCCACTGCACTCCAGCCTGGGTGACAGAGTGAGACTCCATCTCAAACAAACAAAAAAAAGACACATGCAGGCATGTGCTCATTGCAGCACTATTCATAATAGCACAGACATGGAATCAACCTAAATGCCCATCAATGATAGACTGGATGAAGAAAATATTGTACATATACACCATGGAATACTACGCAGCCATAAAAAGGAACAAGATCATGTCCTTTGCAGGGACATGGATGGAACTGGAAGCCATTATCCTTAGCAAACTAACACAGGAACAGAAAACCAAATACTGCATGTTCTCACTTATAAGTGGGAGCTAAATGATGAGAACACATGGATGCATAGAGAGAAACAACACTCACTGGGGCTTATCAGAGAGTGGAGAGTGGGACGAGGGAGAGGATCAGGAAAAATAACTAATGGGTACTAGGCTAATTATCTGGGTGATGCAATAATCTATTCAACAAACCTCCATGGAACAAGTTTACATATGTCACAAATCTGCACATGTACCCCTGAATTAAAATGAAAGTTAAAAAAAGAAAGCCCCACCTGCAAAATAGGTAAAGGATTTGAGTAGACATTTCTTAAAACGAGATATACAAATAGCCAATGAATGCATAAAAAAGGTGCTCCACATCATTAGTCATTAGGGAAGCACAAATCAAAACCACATTGAGATACCATTTCATACCCACTAAGATAACTATAATTTAAAAATAGATGGACAATAAAAGTGTTGGCAAGGACGTGGAAAAAATGGAATCCTTATACGTTGTCTGTGGAAATGTAAAATGATGAAGCTACTGTAAAAAACAATTTGGCAGTTCCTCAAAAAGCTCACTATAGAATTGACATATGACTAAGTAATTGCACTTCTAGGCACATACCCAAGATAACTGGAAACATGTTCATATGCAGACTTGCACAAGGTGGGTCATAGCAGGTGCTATGGACTGAATTGTGTATCCCCAAAATTCATGTGGAAGCTTTAACTTCTAGTGTGATAGCATTTAGAGAACAGAGGTACTGTAATTAGGTTTAGATGAGACCTTAGGAGTGGAGCCCATGTGATGGGATTAGTGCCCTGATAAGAAGAGACGCCAGAGAGCTTGTTCTCTCTCTCTTCCCCATGGGAGGACACAGGCAGAAGGCAGCTACCTGCAAGGCAAGTCTACGGTATTTTGTTATGGTAGCCCAAGCTGATTAATTCAACAGGATTGATCCTAATAGTCAAAAGTGGAAATGATCCAAATGCCCACCAATTGATGAGTAGATAGAGAAAATGTGATCTATACATACAACAGATTAATATTCAGCCATAAAAACCGGAATGAATTACTGATGCATGCTACATCATGGAGGGACCTTGAAAACATTGTGCTAAATCAAAGAAGCCAGAAACAAAAGGCTAACTAGGATGTGATTCCATTTATACGAAATGTCCAAAATAGCAAATCCATAGAGACAGAAAGTAGATTAGGCGTTGCCAGGGGTTGAGAGTAGGAGGGGATGAGGTATGACTGCTGATGGGTACAGAGTTTCTTTCTGGGTTGATAAAAATGTTCTGGAATTAGATAGTGGTGATGATTACTCAATTTTGTGATTATACTAAAAACTGCTGAATGAAACATTTATGAGTATTGATTTTATGGTATGTGAATTATCTTAATAAAGCCACCCAGAGTTTTAAAAATCACTATCAAAAAAGCCTTCTCTTGTCTTTGAGACTGCTGAGTCTTATTCTTAGGTCTGTAGCTTTCCAATTTTCTCTTTCATTGTTTGCTAATCTTTGGAAGAACTATTAGAGTGGTGCAAAGGTAACTGCGGTTTATGCCATTGAAAGTAATGGCAGAAACTGCAATTACTTTTGTACCAACCTAATAGTATCCTCTGTATTGGTTCTGATTCTTTGGATGACAGAAGGAGTCTATCTAGAGCTTGACCAATGCCAGAGGTTTGGTCTTTAAGAAATTCTTTAAAAAATCCTACTTAGCCAGCCTGGCCAACATAGTGAAACCCCATCTCTACTAAAAATACAAAACAATATTAGCCAGGCATGGTGGTGTGTGCCTGTAGTTCCAGTTACTCAGGAGGTTGAGGCATGAGAATAGCTTGAACTCAGGAGGCGGAAGTTGCAGTGAGCTGAGATTGCGCCACTGCACTTCCCATCTGGGCAGCAGAGCAAGACTCTGTCTCAAAAAGAAAAAAAAAAAAATTCTATCTAGCCCTATACCTCCTGGCAAGCTGCAAGCCTAAGGTAAAAGGAGAGCACAGACTTGACCTCCAGACTAGGAGCCTCATGAAGCCTTGAACTGGCTCTGTGATTGTTGATATGACGGTCTCCATATCAACGCAAGGCATGGTTTTGCATTGAGGTTATGGAGCAGCAGATGGGGGCAACCGCAGACCACCAGACAGAAGGGAATAAATAAATAAGAACTAAACAAAAACAAAACTCATAGAAAATTAGCCTATAAATCAAAATATCAAAATGCAAGAAAAAGCCATCTAATGGAAGACAATCGATTCTGGAAGACAATCGATTCTATCAATTTTCAGAACAGAATATAAATTCACTCTTGCAGCATTGAATGTATACAACAGCTGGACAAATACTTTAAAATTTATATTATTAGGATGCTCAAATAGAAAAATGAAGATATGTTTTCAATTTGGAAAAACAAGACATTACAAAAATTTAAAAAGCAGAGCTAATAAAACAGGTAAATACAAAAACAAATACAATTAAAGTAGCACAATTTCAGAAAAGAAAAATCATGGTCACTGGAAATTATACAAAATGGAAACAAAAGGAGGATTACTTAATTAAAAGATAGAATTGAGAAATTCACACAAAATGCATCATGGAGAGGCAAAGATGTGTAAAACAGGAAAGAGCAGTTAGAAGACATGGAAGACTTGAGATCTTTCAACATTCAGCCAGTAGGAATTCTAGAAGCCCCAGAACAAAAGAATAGTGGGAGTTATGGAAAATCTATTTTTGGAAAAAAAAAAAGTAATTAATAGGCATTTTCTAGAATTGAATTAAAAATGATCTTCAGTTTGGAAATCCAAGTATTCAACAGGGTGAAGCTGGATAGAAATCTCAGGAACATAGCCTTGGGTATATGGAAACTCCACATAGGAAATAACATGATAAATTAATGGAAAAAGAATGACTGTAGAGAAATATGGACAGTATGTTCTTACTACATATTGTAAATAAAATGAATTTTAAATGAACTAAAATGCACATTTCAAAGGCAAAACTTCAAAATGTTTAGAAGAAAATTTTGAATAATATATCATCTCTTGGTAGGGAGTATTTCTTTAAAAGGAGGCACAAAATATAAAGCAAAAGATTGACAAACTGTACTACATTAATGTATAAAGCATCTTCATAATAAAAATAGAAGAAAGTTAAAAGACAAGTCACACACTGAGAAAAGGTATTTACAATGTACGAGAAAATTATTTACAGAACATTTAAGGAGCTTAAAAAGACAACTCAAAAGAAAAATAGACGAATAGTATGAACAGGCAGTTTACAGAAGAGGAAAGCTATCTGAAAGGAAAATAAATCTTGAAACCCCAAACTCATTAAGTGGAAGGGAAATGTCAAGCTGGGAACTGAGTCACACAAACCTGCCACCTTTTTTGCTTCCTAAATAAGATGGCTACAAGGTGAAAAGCTACATACCTCCCTCATATTTTGCCTACAAGTAAATTCCTAGTGTGCTCCAAGATCCTTGACCTAAAGTGTTTCTGTTAAAATTCACCATAAATGATAGCTTATCTTTACATATGCATTCACCTCTCTGCCCACCTGACACAAGTGCATATCTGATTGTTGCCTTGCCCCCATTTGTCTGTTATTTCATGCAAAAGAGCAGAGTCCCTGCATTTTTGCATGCCCTATTTGTGTATGTTATCTTATGTAAAAATGCAGATTCACTGAGCCAGACAAAGGCATGGATGACTATTCCCCCCACCTCCCTCTCACATTAAAATTGTGTGTTTCTCAATATCCTGCCCTTTCCCCTTTAAATTTGGAGGCCTCAAAATCAACTTTGGAGAAAGGCGTAAACCTGTCTTCCAGGCACACGTCCTTAACTTTGGCAAATAAACCTCCTAGAATGATTTAGATTTGTCTTGGTCATTTTTCTTGATTGACATCTGAATGATTGGTAAATATATAAAAGAATTTCCAACCTCACAAATAATCACAGAAATACAACTTAAAACAACAATGAACACCAATTCACAGCCATCGGATTGGCAAAAATTAAAGTTTGACAATAAAGAGTATAGGTGAGAGTATGGAGAAACAGAAATTCTATTACACTGTTAGTGGGAGTGCAAATTGATGTAACAGCTTTGGAGGCCAATTTGATTACATCTGGTAAAGCAGAAGATTCTCTTTAAGAGACAGGGTCTTGCTCTGTCACCCAGGCTGGAGTGCAGCAGTGAAACCATAGCTCACTGTAGCCTCAACTTCCTGGGCTCAAATGATCCTCTGGCCTCAGCCTCCTGGGTAGCTGGGACTACAGGCATGTGACACCCTTGCCCAGCTAATCTTTTTATTTTTTGAAGAAATGGGGTCTGGCTATGTTGTCCATGCTTGTCTCAAACTCCTGGCCTCAAGCAATTCTCCCACCTCAGCCTCCCAAAGCCCTGGGATTACAGGCATAAGCCACTGGATCCACCATGCAGTAGATTTTTATACTCTACCACTAAGGAAATATAGTCTCACACAGGGATAAAGGAGACATGTTTATAAATACTCACTGCAAAATGGTTTGTTATAGAGGAAAAAGGAAACCATATGAGCATTCATTCATTCATGAGAAAATGGACAATTTGTGGCATGTTAATATAGCAAAATGTACTGCAGCTAAAACAAATGAACTACAGCTACATAGAGGAACACTGAGAAATGCTGAAAAAATTTTGAAATGAAAAGAGCAGTGTATGCAAGTTATATGAGGGGTCTTTAAAAGTTCATAAAAAATGCATATTATGAAAAAATCTATGCATGGATTTCAAAAATTTTTATACCAAAATAAACTTGTGCCAATTTGTTGTAACATGTCTGAACAGGCTCTAGTTTCAAGCACTAAGAAGGATAAGATATTGGTTTGAATTAAGCTCCTATCAGAGCATCATGTATTCTATTAAAATTGAAGCAAGAACAAAAATAACATTTATCATGAAGCTTGAGAGGAAGAATGGTAAAAAGCATTGATCCTTTATGGAAAATTTATGGAGACAGTGCCCCAAAGAAATCAGCAGTTTACAAATGGATAACTCATTTTAAAAAGGGACAAGATAGGCCGGGCGTTGTGGCTCATGCCTGTAATCCCAGCACTTTGAGAGGCCCAGGCAGGCAGATCATGAGGTCAGGAGATCGAGACCATCCTGGCTAAAATACAAAAAATTAGCCAGGCTTGGTGGCGGGTGCCTGTAGTCCCAGCTACTCGGGAGGCTGAGGCAGGAGAATAGCGTGACACCGGGAGGTGGAGCTTGCAGTGAGCTGAGATCGCGCCACTGCACTCCAGCCTGGGCGACAGAGCAAGACTCTGTCTCAAAAAAAAAAGAAAAAAAAAAAAGAAAGGACCAGATAATGTTGAAGATGAAGCCTGCAGTGACAGAACATCCACATCAATTTGTAAGGAAAAAATTAATCTTGTTCATGCCCTAATTGAAAAAGACTGACAATCAACAGCACAAACAATAGCCAACACCATAGAAATCTCAATTGCTTCTGAATACACAAATGTGATCAAAACATTAAAGTTAAGCAAACTTTCCACTTGATGGGTGCCAAAACAGTTGCTGCCAGATCAGCTGTAGACAAGAACATAGCTTTTGTTGGAAATTTTAAACACATGGGATCAAGATTCTGAAGCACTTATTTGAAGACTTGTAACAGGAGATGAAACATGACTTTTCCAGTACAATCCTGAATACAAAACACAATCAAAGCAATGGCTACCAAGAGGTGGAAGTTGTCCAGCCAACACAAAAGCAGACCAGTCAAGAGTAAAGGTCATGGCAACAGTTTTTGGGATGCTCAAGGCATTTTGCTTTGTCTTTCTGGAGGGATAAAGAATGATAACATCTGCTTATTAGGAAAGTGTTTTCAGAAGTTTTGCCAAAGCTTTAGCAGAAAGATGCCTACGAAAGCTTCGCCAGAGAGTCCCTCTCTACCCTGACAATACTCCTGTCCATTCCTCTCATCAAACAGGGGCAATTTTTTGAGTTTCAGTGGGAAATCCTTAACTATCCACCTTACAGTCCTGATTCAGCTCCTTCTGATATATTTTAGTTTCCTAATCTTAAAAAATCTTTAAAGAGCACCCATTTTTTTTCCTTCAACTAATAATGTTAAAAAGACGGCAATAACATGGTTAAATTCCCAGGACCCTCACTCAATTCTTTAGGGATGGAGTAAGTTGCTATCATCACTTACAGAAGTGTCTTGAAGCTGATGAAACTTACGATGAAATGTAGTTTGTATTTTTTTTGCGTTTATTACTATTTTATTTTATTTTATCTTATTTTGAGTCAAGAGTCTTCTCTGTCACCTGGAATGGAGTGCAGTGGCAAGAACATAGCTCACTGCAGCTTCAAACTCCTGGGCTCAAGTGATTCTTCCACCTTAGCCTCCCCAGTAGCTGGGAGTACAGGTGTATGCCACCGCACCTGGCTTATTTATTTATTTGTTTTTGAGATGGAGTTTTACTCTTGTTGCCCAGGCTGGAATGCAATGGCATGATCTCAGCTCACTGCAACCTCTTCTTCCTGGGTTTAATCAATTCTCCTGCCTCAGCCTCCAGTGTAGCTGGGATTACAGGCATGTGCCACCACACCCAACTAATTTTGTATTTTTACTAGAGACGAGGTTTCTCCATGTTGGTCAGGCTGGTCTCAAACTCCCGACCTCAGGTGATCCACCCACCTCGGCCTCCCAAAGTGCTGGGATTACAGGCATGAGCCACCACGCCTGGCTAATTTATTTATTTTTTATAGAGATGGGATCTCCCTATGTTGCCCTAGGCTGGTCTTAAACTCCTGGCCTCAAGTGATCTTCCTACTTGGCCTGCTAAAGTGTTGGGCTTACATTTTTATCTTTTAATTCATTTTCCACAAGCTTTTTGAAGTCCTCTTGTATGTGCAGAGGGATGTATGCCAAATACACATTGTATATGTATTATATAAGTTTAAATCATGGAGAACAGTATCATGGAAAGTCTGTAGAAATCTAAATTTGTAGCAAATATCTAGAAATAATATAACAAACTTATGATAGTGGTTAGCTAACTGGAGCAGTAGGAAAGAGCTTGGGATTGGAAAAGGGACATGGCGACCCCACATTAATCTGTGAAATTTAACTTAAAAAGTGTTTGAACTAAATACAGACTAATGTTAAGATTTTATAAAGCAAAGTAATGGTGTTTATTTTATTATTTAAAAATTTTTATTATATATTTTAGATGTTTTATTATGAACATATTAAAAATCCAAAACACCCCAGTACTAACAGACAAAATATAAATTGGGAAAGGTTGAAACATATGTCAGGCATGGTTGAGGTTCTTATCATATAATCTGCTCTTATTTAGCAATGCAAATGAGACGAGTACCTGGGAGAAAAGTTGGACAACAGCATTAACAGGCAAGGTACAAGAGGAAAATACAAATGACCAGTGAACTTAAGAAAGGAAGTTCCGTATCAGTGCAAAAATGCAGATCGAAGCAGCAATAAAATACTATCTTTTAATCTACCAAATTTTAGGAATTTGCCTGTAGAAAGAGATTCTCTGCTACAGATTCTCACAAAACTTTATTTTCAGAGATATTCTTCGTAGTGAATTACAGTGGTGAAAAAATACACTACACTAAGGTGTGTCCCTCTGTCCAAGCCATCAGTTCTCTTTCCTAAATTCCATGTCACACATTTTTATCTTCACTGTATCTTGTCTTTTTTTTTTTTTTTTTTTTGAGACAGGGTCTCACTCCATTGCCGTGGCTGGAGTGCAATGGCGCAATCACAGCTTACTGCAGTTTTGACTGCCTGGGCTCAAGTGATTACCTCACTCCAGCCTCCCAAGCTGGAACCACAGACATGCACCACCACATCCAGCTAATTTTTTAAATTACTATTTTAGAGACAGGGTCCTGCACTATTGCCCAGGCTGGAGTGCAATGGTATAATCACAGCTTACTGCAGCCTCAACTACCTGAGCTCAAGTGATTCCCCCAAGTCAGCCTCTCAAGTACCTGGGACCACAGACATGTGCCACCACACTCAGCTAATTATTTTTATTATTATTTTAGAGACAGGGTCTCACACTGTTGCCCAGGCTGGAGTGCAATGGTGCAATGATGGCTTACTGCAGCCTCGACTGCCTGAGCTCAAGCGATTCCCCCACCTCAGCCTCCCAAGTAACTGCACCACAGTCATGTGCCACCGGGTCCAGTTAATTTTTTAAATTATTATTTGTAGCAACTAGATGGTGTTACTATGTTCCCTAGGCTGATATCTTCACATTTTAACATCTGTGAAATTGAGGTGTGTCTTACAATCACTGTCAGGGGGCAGTCATGATGAGGCTTGTTGTCTATACATGCTTATCATAACTCACAAAATAAGTGTGTGCCTCTTTCCAAGCAACCAGAAGCACACACTTCTTCTCCAATGCTTCCTAAGGGCTCTATAAACTGTACCTGTACAAGCAGGCTTGGAAATGTACATTCATCTCAAAGCACCATCCTACTTCAAGCTAGAGCAACTTAACATGAACCAAAGCAGGTTAAGTGAAAACAATGTCAAGAATCACACATTCATAACAAAAGTAACTTCTTAAGGTGACAGGGCTAAATGAAACTAAGCAGAATTTGTGAAAGCAAGCAGGAAAGGACACTTTTAATTTAAATGAAACGTGAGTTAGAGCAAGTTTAGACAAAACTAAGCAATTTATGTCAAACTCCGAATTGATCATTCTTTTTAAAATTAATTTCTTACAAGGCATTCAAGAAAATCTAGTTAATACTAAGCAGTTTACATGACACCAAACTCAAAATCACTTGTTCCTTTCCAAGAAAACTTCTTATTGCCCATTGGAGCTAACAAATATATGTAACTCAACAATTTATATGAAACCAAGCGCAGACTCAAAACTTCTCAAAATGCATTTCTTACAATGAGTTAGAGTGTATGTAGTTGAAACTAATCAATATATGTGAAATCTAGTTCAATATCACTCACTCATTTCAAACAAAACTCATAAACCTCATAAACTTTATATGTGTAAACAAGACTAGAGAGGTATTCCTTGCCCCGTTATCAAGGAGTCATTGGATTTTACAGTGATCCTTTATTCCCCAAACCCTTTAAAATTAGATTTGTGTTGCTTTGGTTGAAAGAGATCATCTTAGCATCTCTTTGGGGAAAGCATTTTAGGAGGATTTGTGGCTACTCTAAAGCTGTAGTCCCCATCTTTTTCTGCACCAAGGACTGGTTTCACGGGAGACAGTTTTTCCACGGACCAGGGATGAGGGATGGTTTTGGGATGATTCGAGCACATTTCATTTATTGTGCACTTTATTATTATTAGATTGTAATATATAATGAAATAATTCTACAACTCACCATCATGTAGAATTAGTGGGAGACCTGAGCTTGTTTTCTTGCAACTAGATCGTCCCACCTGGGGGTGATGGAAGATAGCGACAGGTCATCAGGCATTAGACTCTCATAAGGAGCACGCAGTCTAGATCCCTCGCATGCACAGCTCACGACAGAGTTCTTGCTCCTGTGAGTATCTGATGCTGTGGCTGATCTGACAGGAGGCAGAGCTCAGGCAGTAATTTCAGCTGTTGGAGGTGGCTGTAAATGCAGATGAAGCTTTGCTTACTCTGCTGACTTCCTGCTTTGTGCCGGGTTCCTCACACCTAAAGGCTGAGAGCAGTACTGGCCTGGGGGCTAGGGACCCCTGCTGTAAAGGAACGTACAAACAGTGATGGGGGATGAAGAGTTATTATCCTCATCGTGCAGGAGCCTATGAAAATAGATAAGAAACTCTCTAAGTATGCAAAAGATGAATGGGTCAAGAACAGAGGGCTGGCTGAAAAGGAAAACAACCAGGGAAGAAATATTTGAAGCATATGTAACTTCTCCGCAAGTCAGAGAAATGTAGACTGGGAAAATAAGTTGATTTTTTTTGCCTATCAAATTATGCAAGATTTAAAAGCTAAACTATCCATGATGCTCAGGTTACAGTAAAACAGGAACTATTATGTTCTCTTCATAGGAGTGTTAATTGAAGCAGCCTTTCTGGAGAGTAATTTGTCAGTATGTAAAAAGAGCTTTTAAAATACCCATACGTTGCTCATTTATGCAAAAAAAAAATACAGGAAGGATAAATCAAACTAAACAAATTGTTTAGAGAAGGATGGGCATAAGAAAGAAGAAGAGGTATGAAATAGGAACAGAGAGACATTTTGTTGGGAGAAAAGCTGAGTGTTGGGAAAGAAGCTGAGGCAGGGCTTGCATGTCTGCTAGACTTGCTGGCTCCTTGCTTCTTCCACTCCCATTATCTCAAGCAGCCATATGTTTCTCATTCACTTGATACACCATTTCCTTTCAACCCCCACATCCTCACCACCTGTTTCTTTGTTTAAGCACCAATAAATAGCGTGGGCTCCCAGAGCTCAGGGCCTTTGCAGCCTCCACACTCGCGATGGCCCCCTGGTCCCACTTTCTCTCTTACTGTCTTTTTCTCATGCCTTTGACTCCACTGGACTTAGTCGCCCCCACGACCTGGTGTTGGGCCTGATCACCCCAACAACATTTCTCCTGTATATATACCTTTGACATGGTTCAATGGACTAGAAACATAGTAATGTTTTCCATACCTCTAAAATAATTGAAAAATTAAAATCAACCGTGATGGGGCACAGGAGTGGGGTCACCAAAAATAGAAGACAAACTGGGCAAACTGGTTCACACCTGTAATCCCAGTGCAACATGGTGAGAGCTGTCTCTTAAAAATAAAATGCAGATAGCAACATATGAACCTAACTGTGTTATAAATGATTAGCCACACTAAAGAGAGTGAGGGAGTGTGGGAGGAAAGAACTAATTTTAGAAACTTTGGAAAATAGGATTTGTTTATTTTTTAGAGTTGGGGGGCGGGGTCTTGCTATGTTGCCCTGGCTGGACTCAAACTCTTGGCCTCAAGTGATCGTCCCACTTCAGCCTCCTAAGTAGGAAAGTATGATTTTTAACTGGACACTACAAGACTGAAAACAAAAAGAACTATACACAAATACTGTACTCAAGCTAGTAAATGTGTTTCTTAGAGAGGTATGAGTTAACAATTCTGAAACTATGGGTTTACTTGGATTGAATAGATGAATAAATATATTGTAGATGACATCTTCAGGGTTTCTCACTGTCAGATAAATAAATTACAGGCTGGGCACAGTGCCTCATGCCTGTAATCCCAGCACTTTGGGAGGCTGAGGGAGGCAGATCACCTGAGGTCAGGAGTTAGAGACCAACCTGGCCAACATGGCAAAACCTTGTCTCTACTAAAATACAAAAAATGAAACTGGCATGGTGGTGGGTGCCTGTAATCCCAGCTACCTGGGAGTCTGAGATAGGAGAATTGCTTGAACCTGGGAGGCGGAGGTTGTAGTGAGCCAAGATTGCACCACTGCACTTCAGCCTGGGCAACACAGCAAGACTCTGTCTCAAAAAATAAGTAAATAAATAAAAATAAATAAATAAATTACAAATAAGGAAAGAGGGAAGGCTAGAATTAACCCTGTGGCTTTGGATTGTCATAGGAAGTATCAATATGAACTCACAGTTTTAAATATATATGCAGAGAGGGCACAAATATAATGGTGTTCACAAATGTGGATCAGAACACATACATATATTTTCTAGCTATGTCCACTATGAAGGCTTAGAATTAATGACACCCTAGTAGCAATGAGGACATTTAGTACACAGATCTTTGTTTCTAAATACCATTCCCAATCAAAGAAACCAGGACTACTTGGAGAAGCGGATGATTCCAGAGCTGGGGGAGGGAAAAATCTAAGCTAAACCCGGATCATCTTGTGTTGTCAGAAATTAAGTGCTCAAGAAAGAATGGGAGCAGGTGAGAAAAACACAGGAGCCCCCACTATAGGAGATCCCACTGGCCAAAGCTAGACCAAACTTAGCAGCAAAAGAAATAACTATATTATTGGATTGAAATCCACAGAGTGAAAAACGAAAACAAAACAAAAAAAGAGAAGAAAATTCAGAAGTTTGTATTGATGCAGATACAATCATTTGCTGCATAATGACATCTTGGTCAACAACAGACCACATATACGACAGTGGTTCCATAGGATTATAATAGTGTTTAAAAATTCCTATTGCCTGGTGATATCATAGCACTAGTAACATCGTAGCGCAATGCATCACCTTTTTAATGCTTAGATATGTTTAAATAAACAAATACCATTGTGTTACAATTGCCTACAGTATTCAGTACAATGACATGCTGTACAGGCTTGTAGCCTAGGCACAATAGGCTATACCATATAGCCTAGGTGTATAGTAGTCTAGACCATCTAGATTTGTGTAAGTACACTCTGTGATGTTCACACCACAATGAAATTGCCTAAAGATGCATTTCTCAGAATGTGTCACCATGATTAAGTGATATATGACTGTAAATAATTGAATGAATTAATTTATAGGAGCAAAGAGATAGCTCTTTACAGAATAATTCCAGTTAATAAATGTAAAAAGATGAAAGAAATAGAAAACCGCCATTAGGCAAACACCACAGTAATAATTGCTGTAGGCAAGTTCCATCAATAGATGCTAAAATTAGTAGTCAAAAACTTGAAATCTCTTGCATTTCGATACACTAACAATGCACAATCTGAAAAGAAATTAAGAAAACAATTCCATTTACAATAGCACCAAAAAGAATAAAATACCTAGAAATAAACCTAACCAAGAAGATGAAAGACTTATACACTGAAAATTACAAACATTGCTGAGAGAAACTAAAGAAGACACAAATAAATGAAAAGACATCTTATGCTCATGGATTGGAAGACTTACTATTAAACTCCCCAAACTAACCAAACCAAACTACCAATTTGATCCAATTCCTATCAAAATCCCAGTGGCAGTTTTTGCAGAAATAAAACAAATAATCTTAACATTCCAATGGAATGTCAGGGGATCCCGAATACCCAAAATAATTTTGGAAAAGAGGAACAAATTTGGAGGAATCACACTTCCTGGTTTTCAAACATATTACAAAATTACAGTAATCAAAACAGTGTGATACTGGCATGCAGACAGACATATAGAACGATGGAATAGAAAGACCAGAAATAAACCCTTCATGTGTGAGGGGAACATCACACACTGGGGCCTGTCATGGGGTGGGTGGAGAGGGGAGGAACAGCATTAGGAGATATACCTAATGTAAATGACGAGTTAATGGGTGCAGCACACCAACATGGCGCATGTATACATATGTAACAAACCTGCACGTTGTGCACATGTACTCTAGGACTTAAAGTATATAAAAAAAAAAGAAATAAACCCTTCATGTGTGGTCAAATGATCTATGACAAGGCCATTAAGACCATTCAATGGGGAAAGGTTACTCTTCTCAACAAATGATGTGAGAAAAACTGAACATATACATGAAAAATAATGAAATTGGACCCTTATCTTAACAATACACAAAAATTAAAAATGGATTAAAGACCTAAATGTAAGATCTAAAACTATAAAACTAGAAGAAAACAAAGGGGAAAAACTTCACGACATTGGACTTGGCAATGAATTATTGGATATGTCACTAGAAGTGCAGGCAACTATAGCAAAAATAATCATAGGAGGCTACATTAAATGTAGAAACCTTTGTGCATCAAAGAACATAATCAGCAGAGTGTAAAGATAACCTATGGCATAGGAAAAAATATTTTCAAATCACAAATCTGGGAGGATGTTAATGCCTAGAATATGAAAATAACTCCTACAACTTAAAAACAACAAAAAATCAAATAACCAGGCCAGGCATGGTGGCTCATGCTTGTAATTCCAGCACTTTGGGAGGCCGAGGTGGGTGGATCACTTGAGTTCAGGAGTTCAAGACCAGCCTGGGAAAGATAGTGAAACCCCATCTCTACCAAAACTATAAAAAATTAGCCAGGCATGGTGGCAGGCACCTGTAGTCCCAGCGACTTGGGAGGCCAAGATAAGGGGATCACTTGAGCTCAGGAGGCAAAGGTTGCAGTGAACGAAGATTGCGCCAGGGCACTCCAGCCTGAGTGACAGAGTGCGACCCCATCTAAAAAACAAAACAAAGCAAACAACCAACCAAATAACCCAATTTTAAAATGGGCAAAGGACTTGCATAGGCATTTCTCCAAAGATTGAGAGGTGACAGCCTGCTGGCAGCCCTCGCAGCCCTTGCTCGTTCTGGCTCGCTCTCGGTGCCTCCTCCGCCTGGGCGCCCATTCTGGCTGCGCTTGAGGAGCCCTTCAGGCTGCCTCTGCACTGTGGGAGCCCCTTTCTGGGCTGGCCGAGGTGGAAGCCGGCTCCCTCAGCTTGCGGGGAGGTGTGGAGGGAGAGGCGCAGGCGGGAATCAGGGCTGCGCGGCGGCACTCGCAAGCCAGTGCAGTTCCGGGTGGGCATGGGCTTGGCCGCCCCACACTGGGAGCAGCAGGCCGGCGTCACCAGCCCCGGGCAGTGAGGGGCTTAGCACCCGGGGCAGCAGCTGTGGAGGGTGTGCCAGGTCCCCCAGCAGTGCCGGCCCACCAGCGCTGGGCTCCAATCTTCGCCCGGCCTCAGCTGCCTCCGCGGGGCAGGGATCGGGACCTGCAGCCTGCCATGCCTGAGCCTCCCCCCGCGGCAGTGGGCTCCTGCGTCACCCAAGCCTCCCTGACAAGCGCTGCCCTCTGCTCCCCCGCGCCTGGTCCCATGGACCATCCAAAGGCTAAGGAGTGCAGGCACATGGCCTGGGACCGGCAGGCAGCTCCACCTGCAGCCCCGGTGTGGGATCCACTGGGTGAAGCCAGCTGGGCTCTTGAGTCTAGTGGGGACTGGAAGAATCTTTATGTCTGGTTAAAGGATTGTAAACGCACCAATCGGCACCCTGTCAAAACAGACCAATCAGCTTTCTGTAAAGTGGGCCAATCAGCAGGATGTGGGTGGGGCCAGACAAGGGAATAAAAGCAGGCTGCCGAGCCAGCAGCGGCAACCCGCTGGGGTCACCTTCTACTCTGTGGAAGGTATGTTCTTTCTGTCTTTGCGGTAGCTTTCGTTGCTGCCCACTCTTCGGGTCCGAACTGCCTTTATGAGCTAAAATACTCACCGCGAAGGTCTGCAGCTTCACTCCTGAGCCAGCGAGACCACGAACCCACCAGAAGGAAGAAACTCCGAACATATCCGAACATCAGAAAGAACAAACTCCAGACACGCAGCCTGTAAGAACTGTAACACTCACCGGGAGGGTTCACAGCTTCGTTCTTGAAGTCAGTGAGACCAAGAACCCACCAATTCCGGACACAAGATGATATACAAATGACCAACAAGCATATCAAAATATGCTCAGCATCAGTAATCACCAGAGAAGCGCAAATCTAAAACAAAGTGAGATATCACTACTCTGACCCATTGCAATTGCTGCTAGTAAAACAAAACAAAACAGAAAACCAAAAAAAACAGAAGTGTTGGCAAGGAAGTGGAGAAATCGACACCCTTGCACACTTTTGGTGGAATTATAAACTGGTACAAATGCTGTGGAAAACAATGTGTTTTTTTTTTTTTTTTTTGAGACGGAGTCTCACTGTCGCCCAGGCTGCAGTGCAATGGTGCAATCTTGGCACACTGCAACCTCTGCCTCTTGGGTTCAAGCGATTCTCCTTCCTCAGCCTCCTGAGTAGCTGGGACTACAGGTGCACGACACCATGCCTGACTAATTTTTGTATTTTTAGTAGAGATGAGGTTTCACCATGTTGGCCAGGATGTATCTCCTGACCTCGTGATCCACCCACCTTGGCCTCCCAAAGTGTTGGGATTACAAGTATGAGCTACTAAGTCCGGCTGGTGTTTTCTTAAAAAAAATTGAAATAGAAGTACCATATGATTCAGCAATTTCACTTCTGGATATATATCCAAAAGAATTGAAACCAGGGCCTCAAAGCGGTATTTGTACACTCATGTTTATAGCAGTACTATTCGCTATAGTCAAGAGGCGGAGGCAACCCAAGTGTCATCAGTGGATAAATGTGATATATACAAAGAAAATGTGGTATATACACACAATGGAATGGTGTTCAGCCTTACAAAAGAAGGAAATCCTGTCACATGCTACTACATGGGTGAACTTTACCGACATGATACTAAGTGAAACAAGCCAGTCACACAAAGACACGTACTGTATTTCACATATTCGAGAAACCTATAGCAGTCAAATTCATACAAACAGAAAGTAGAATGGCATTTACCAGGGGCTTGGAAGAGGGAGAAAGGGAAAAAGGGTGATGTTTAATGGGTATAGAGTTTCAGATTCCATGAATAAATAAATAAAAATTTGAGAAGAAACAGGATATTTGCATAGTTCCAAAGAATCATGACTCATTCAAGGTCGGGCGCGGTGGCTTACGCCTGTAATCCCAGCACTTTGAGAGGCTAAGGCGGCGGATCATGAGGTCAGGAGATGGAGACCATCCTGGCTAACATGGTGAAACCCCATCTCTACTAAAAATACAAAAAATTAGGCGGGCGTGTTGCCGGGCGCCTGTAGTCCCTGCTACTCGGGAGGCTGAGGCAGGAGAATGATGTGAACCCGGGAGGCAGAGCTTGCAGTGAGCTGAGATCACGCCACTGCACTCCAGCCTGGGCGACAGAACGAGACTCTGTCTCAAAAAAAAAAAAAAAAATCATGACTCATTCAAATGCATATTAATTACAAAGAGAAAAATCATAACTTTACAGTGGAGAAGTCTGGCAGATATCAGACATCACTTTAACCAAGTGATCAAGGCTAACGTCACCAGCATAAGACATATCAACCTAGGAACACCTTCATATCATGCGCCGAGAAGGGCACAATGTCACTTCTGAGATTTTCTCACCCAACATGCATAACTTCAATTGAATCTAAGAAACCATCAGAGGAACCCACATTTGGGGACATGCTCCAAAATACCTGACCAGTACTCAAGGTCACGAAAAGATAGACTGAGGAACTGTCACAGATGGGAGGAAATACAATAAATGATAATGAAATACAACATGTGACCCTGGATTGAATCCTAGACCAAAAGGAAGACATTAGTGAAAATATGGTGAAATTTGAATAGAGTAGGCTGGGTGCGGTGGCTCACGCCTGTAATCCCAGCACTTTGGGAGGCTGAGGTGGGAGGATCACGAGGTCAGGAGTTCGAGACAGCCTGGCCAATATGGTGAAACCCCGTCTCTACTAAAAATACAAAAATTAGCCCAGTGTGGTAGCACGCACCTGTAGTCCAGCTACTCTGGAGGCTGAGGCTGGAGAATTGCTTGAACCTGGGAGGTGGAGGTTGCAGTGAGCTGAGATGGCACTACTGCACTCCAGCCTGGGCAACAGAGCAACACTCTTGTCTCGGAAAATAAATAAATAAATAAATAAATAAAGGAGTAGAGTTTATAGTTTAGTTAATAGTGTTCTACCACTTCCTAAATTTTGGTAATTGTCCTATGATTATATAAGACATTATTAACATTAGAAGAAGCTAGATGAAAGGTTTGTAGGAAATCTGTACTATTTTTGTAACTTTTCTGTAAACCTAAAATTATTTTAAATTACAATTTTTTTTTTTTTTTTTGGAGGCGGAATTTTGCTTGCAACCTCCACCTCCCCGGTTCAAGTGATTCTCCTGCTTCAGCTTCCCCAGTAGCTGGGACTACAGGCACCCGCCACCATGCCCAGCTAATTTTTATATTTTTAGTACAGACGGGGTTTCACCATGTTGACCAGAATGGTCTCGATCTCTTGACCTTGTGATCCGCCCACCTGGGTCTCCTAAAGTGCTGGGATTACAGGCATGAGCCACCACGCTCGGCCCAAATTACAATTTTTAAAACTCTATACACATTCCGCCCCCGCCCTGCCAGGAGTTTCTTTTTCAGAAATCTTTTCTAAAGGAACAGTCTAAAATATAAAAGTGTTTATATAAAAAGATTTATCATAGCATTATCCATAATAATTAATACATCAGAAAAAAGAGCTATAATATGCTCATGAATAGGATGACAGCTAGTAAATTATTATCTTTTCTGAGTTCTTGGATTTTTTGTTGTTTGAGACTGAGTCTCGCTCTGTCACCCACGCTGGAGTGTAGTGGCGCCATCTCGGCTCACTGCAGCCTTCACCTCCCAGGTTTAAGCAATTCTCCTGCCTTGGTCTCCCAAGTAGCTGGGACTACAGGCATGCATCACCACATCCAGCTATTTGTGTGTGTGTGTGTGTGTGTGTGTGTGTGTGTGTGTGTGTGTGTGTGTGTGTGTGTGTTTGTATTTTTAGTAGAAACAGGGTTTCGCCATGTTGACCAGGCTGGTCTGGAACTCCAGGCCTCAAGTGATCCACCCGCCTTGGCCTCCCAAAGTGCTAGCATTACAGGGTGAGCCACTGAACCTGGCCGGCTCTTGGATTTAAATACAACCTCTACACTGACAACTTCCGAATGTACGTCCCTCCTCTTATAGCTGGCTGGCTGCTGGCTCCACACCTGTACCCGGAAGAAAGACTGAGGGGTGCATCAAAGTGGTATCTCTAAAAGAGCTTCGGATTCCTTCCCCCCATCCCAACTTCAGACTTCTCTGTTGCTTAAGTGAAATTTTTGAAGTCATCCTCATTCCTCTGATTTCCTTGCCTTCTGAACTTGCTCTGTAAGCAAGTCCCTTAGTTTTCCCTCCAAGACACATTGCTGGGCCATTTCCTTCTCTCCAGCATCATTCCTTCTTCCTGCTACAAGCCACCATCATCTCTCCTGGACCACTGCAAAGCCTCCCAACTGGTCTACCAGTTTCCTTGGTTACTCTTCTTCACCATTCTCCACACGGCCTTCTGAATGATGTTAAATACATACACAGACCAGGCAAGGTGGCTCATGCCTATAATCCCAGCACATTGGGAAGCCAAGGCAAGAGGATCACTTGAGGCCTGGGCAATGCAGCGAGAACCCATCTCTCCAAAAACTTTAAAACTTAGCCAGGTGTGGTGACACACACCTGTAGTCCCAGCTATTCAGGAGGCTGACCAAGAGGATTGCTTGAGTCCAGGAGACAGAGGCTGCAGTGAGCTATGATCATGCTACTGCATTTTAGCCTGGGCAACAGAGCAAGACCCTGCCTCAAAAAAAAAAAAAAAAGACCTACACCAACATACCCCAACCTGTTCCTCCTCTACCCAAATTGTCCCCCATTGCTCTTAAAGTCCAATTTCCTTACCGTCTCCTACTGGGTCCTCTGGCAGCTGGCCAAGCTGTCAGTTGGGACCCACCCTCCACCTCTCCCCTCCTCTCTCCTGTGTTCTGAACACAGTAGTCTGCACTCAGTTTCCTGAACAGACAAATTCTTTTCTTCCTAAGGGTGTTTGCTCTTCCATTTGCACAGAAGGTTCTGTGCTCAGATCTTCCATGGCTGTTTCCTTCTTGTCCTCAGGACCCAACTACCACCTCCTTAGTGAGACCTGCCTTGACCACTCAACATAAAGCAGTCTCATCCCCACCTACCGGACATTTTCTATGTCAACATGACTTTGAAAAATGTTTGAGCACTAGTAATATGCAATAAGCAAAAATGATTTTGTTCACTCATTTGTTCAATGGTTAACATTGTGCCTCCCTTCTGTAAAATGTAATCTTCATGAGAATGGCTTTTAAAAATAATTTAATTTTATTTTAGATATAAGGTCTCTTTCTGTTGTCCAGGCTGGAGTTCAGTGGTGCAGTCACAGCTCACTGCAGCCTCAGCCTCCTGGAGCCAGGTGATCCTCCTGTCTCAGCCTCTCATAGTGCTGGGATTGCAGGTGCGAGCCAATGCACCAAGCCAAGAATAGCTTTTTAAATTGTGAATTTAAAAACTTTTCAGAACTAAAGAGAAGTTGAAAGACTAGTACATGAACTTCACCTAGTTTAATCTAATGTTAACATTATAACACATTATCTTTTTCTCTTTATACACACATAAACACATGTGCACACACACACATACATGCATACATACGTACTTTTGTCCTTACCTATTTGAAATGAGTTGCAGACATTGTGGCATTTTACCCACAAATACCTCCTCATGTATTTCTTAAGAGTAATGACATTTCTCTACATAATATTGTCACAATTAAGAAAATTAACACTTCCATAAATTCATCTAACATACAGTACAAATTTCTCTGTCTTAAAAATGTCTTTGATGCCAGTTTTATTTGTCTCCCTGATTCAGGATCTTATCAAGTATCACACATCGCATTTGGTTGTGAAGTCTCTCTAGTCTTTTACTCACCTTGCCTCTTAACTTTTCATGGCACTGACTTTTTTGTTCTTTTTTTTGAAAAGCCCAGGTTATTCAAAAAGCCCAAAGACCTCATCTGTCTTCTTTCGTTCTCCCTTCCCTTCCCTTTTCCTTTCCCTTCCCTTCCCTTCCCTTCCCTTCCCTTCCGTCCCCCACCCTCCCCTCCCCTCCTCCTCCCCTCCCCTCCCTTTTTTCCTTTCTCCTTCCTTCCCTCCCTCCCTCCCTCCCTCTCTCTTTCTCTCTCTCTTTCTTTCTTACAGGGTCTTGCTCTGTCACCCAGGCTGGAGTGCAGTGGCATGAACTGCAACCTCAACCTCAACCTCCCAGGCTCAAGTGATCTTCTCACCATGGACTTCTGAATAGCTGGGGCTACAGGTGTGCACCACCATGCCTGTCTAATTTCTTTATTTTTATTTTATTTTATTTTACTTTTTGAGATGGAGTCTCACTCTGTCGCCCAGGCTGGAGTGCAGTGGCATGATCCCAGCTCACTGCAAGCTCTGCCTCCCAGGTTCACGCCATTCTCCTGCCTCAGCCTCCTGAGTAGTTGGGATTACAGGCGCCCGCCACCACGCCTGGCTAATTTTTTTGTATTTTTAGTAGAGACGGGGTTTCACCGTATTAGCCAGGATGGTCTCGATCTCCTGACCTCATGATCTGCCCACCTCGGCCTCCCAAAGTGCTGGGATTACAGGCATGAGCCACTGTGCCTGACCTCTTTATTTTTTTTTTTTAATAGAGATGGGGTCTCGCTATGTTGCCTAGGCTGGTCTCAAACCCCTATCCTTAAGCAATCCTCCCGCCTGGCGTCCCAAGGTACTGAGATTGTAGAAGTGAGCCACCATGTCTGACCCATCTGTCTTATAGAACACATTACATTCTGAATTTGCCTGATGACTTACTTGTTATATTGATTAATTATGCCTTCAGTGTTTCCTGTCTCTTTCCAGTCAGAGGCTCACTCCAGAGCTGCACTGTCCAACCAGGTGGCCACCAGCCACATGTGGCTGCTGAGCACTTGAAATATGGCTGGTGTGGCCAGGCACGGTGGCTCACACCTGTAATCCCAGCATTTTGGGAGGCCGAGGAGGGTGGATCACCTGAAGTCAGGAGTTCAAGACCAGCCTGGCCAACATGGTGAAACCCCGTCTCTACTAAAAACACAAAAATTAGGTGGGCATGGTGGCAGGCGCCTGTAATCCCAGCTATTTGGGAGACTGAGGCAGGAGAATCGCTTGAACCCAGGAGGCGGAGGTTGCAGTGAGCCGAGATGGTATCGTTGCACTCCAGCCTGGGCAACAAGAGTGAAACGCCATCTCAAAAAATAAAGAAAAAGAAAGAAATATGACTGGTGCAACTGCGGAACAGAATTTTTACTTTTCTTTAGTTTATATTAATTTACATTTAAATTTTTAAAAATGATGCTTTTCAGTTTTGGAAACTGAATATGTTTGGAATAACTTGAGTGTGTGAATCTACTTTTTAAACTGTATATTATGAAATCTGTCTGGTTAGAGATCTGCTATAAGTGTAAAATACAAACTAGATTTTGAAGACTTAGACTTAAAAAAAAAAATCCATCCATTGCATCCATCTGTCCATTCACAAAAATCTAAATTTAATCATCTTCTTCTTTTTTTTTTTTTTTTTGATAGGGTCTTGCTCTGGTGTCCAGGCTGGAGTGCAGCAGTGTAATCATAGCTCACTGCAACCTCAAACTCCTGGGCTCAAACAATCCTCCCATCTCAGTCTCCCAAGTAGCTGGGACTACAGGTGTTCACCACCACGCCTGGCTAATTTTTAATGTTTTTGGGTAAAGACAAGTTCTAACGATGTTTCCCAGGCTTGTCTCAAACCCCGGGGCTCAATGGATTGTCCCACCTCGGCCTCCCAAAGTACTAGGATTACAGGTGTGAGCCACTGTCAGGCCAAAGCCATTTTTTTTTTTAAGTAACAACATACACTCACAATGTGAAAATCCGAGAGGAGTAGCAAGTCTAGGGAATGCTGCAAATGACTCGCCAGGTTGCCAATTCTCCAAGGTGGGAATCACATATCTCTTGATTACCAATGTATCTCAGCACCTACCTAGCACCTCACACAGAGTGGATGCTTAATCCATGTTTGTTGAGTGAATGAGAGTCAGTGAGTGAGTAAATGATGAAATGGTCAATCCTTTGGCCAGGGAGCTGAGGGGTCTTCTCCAGCAGACCAGCAAGCATCATCAGGCCAAGTGTGCTTTAATATTAAAAAGAGGAATATAGGCCAGGCGCAGTGGCTCACGCCTGTAATCCCAGTGAAGTGGCTATGTTGTCTGGGGTAAATACCTGGGGTTCATCATCTATCTCATGCCAGGAAAATTTAGGACACACTAGGAGTTTAGGAGCGGAGGTTTAATAGGCAAAAGAAAGAGAAAGGAAGACAAGGGAAGGCCGGGTGTGGTGGCTCACACCTGTAATCCCAGCACTTTGGGAGGCCGAGGCAGGCGGATCACGAGGTCAGGAGTTAGAGACCAGACTGACCAACATGGTGAAACCCCATCTTTACTAAAAATACAAAAATTAGCCAGGCATTGTGGCACGCCTGTAATCCCAGCTACTCAGGAGACTGAGTCAGGAGAATTGCTTGAACCTTGGAGGCGGAGGTTGCACTGAGCCAAGATCGTGCCATTGCACTCCAGCGTGGGTGACAGAGGAGACTCTGTCTCAAAAAAAAAGAAAAAAAAGAAAGAGAAGGGAAAACAGCTCTCTCTCTAGTGAGAAAGAGAGGGGACTTCCCAGAGGGAAAGACCAGCCTGGTGGATGCCGGGACTTTATAGTCAGGCTTGAGGAGGCAGTGTCTGATTTACATAGGGGTCACAGATTGGTTAATCAGATATGACATTTACATAGCAGGTGGGGAAGGCTGGTGGTCCACCCTAATCTTATTATGCAAATGAACTCTCCCCTTGGCCGCAGCCATCTTGTCAGCTCCTTATTGTACCCTTGGCTGGCGGAGAAGGGAGGATGGAGCCACCATTTTGAACATGTCTAGTCCTAGGTAGTTCTTTCCTGCCGGCATCTACCCGTGCAAGCGCCTGGCTTGCTCGTCTATGTCTGTAGCTTGACTGTATAGGTTGCTGTTTGTTAGAAAATGATTTGGGGCCGGGTGCAATGGTTCACGCCTGTAATCCCAGCACTTTGGGAGGCTGAGGCGGGTGGATCACCTGAGGTCGGGAGTTCGAGACCAGCCTGACCAATATGAAGACACCCCGCCTCTACTAAAAATACAAAAATTAGCCAGGTGTGGTGGCACATGCCGGTAATCCCAGCTACTTGGGAGGCTGAGGCAGGAGAATTGCTTGAACCTGGGAGGCGGAGGTTGCAGTGAGCCAAGATCATGCCATTGCACTCCAGCTTGGGCAACAAGAGCGAAACTACATCTAAAAACAAAAAAAGAAAAGGAAAAAAAACCAGAATTATTTGGGGCTGCTTTTCATGAAAAGGAAAATGTTACCAAGAACTTCTGCACCCTCACTATCTGCCTAAGTAATTTCTTAACTCCTGTATCACCAGCACTTCAGGAGTCTGAGGCGGGAAAATCGCTTGAGCCCAGGAGTTCGAGATCAGCCTGGACGACATGGTGAGATGCCATCTCTACAACAAATACAAAAATTAGCCAGGTGTGATGGCATGCACCTGTAGTCCCAGTTACCTGGGAAGCTGAGGCAGGAGGATAGCTTGAGCCCAGGAGGTTGAGGGTGCAGTGAGCCGTGATTGCACCACTGCACTCCCACCTGAGTGACAGAGTGAGATCCTGTCTCCAAAAAAAAAGAAAGAAAAAAGAAAAAAAAAGGACTAGAGAGAGAACACAATCAGGGAGGGTGGAGAAGGATACTGGGGACAAAGCCAGGGCGGGAGTGAGTGTTCTTGGAGCTTGTTCTGCAGAGGCAACAGGGTACCAGGCCAGCGAAAGGAGTGGCAGGAGGAGGCGGGACCTGGTCTTTTTCCTTCCTTGGGCATTCTTTGTGTAGGCCTGTTTTGGGCCAAAGCAGCCCTTGAGGGTGGCAATGTGGCTTGGCTCTCCTTTCTGGGACATGACCCCTGACAAGACGACCTGCCCTGGCAATACCTGCATTGGTAGCTGTCCAGGTCCTGGAGCTGCACTCACACAAGCATTACAGAGACCATCCTTTCCCAGGCACAAGCTCTGTTTTTCTTTTATAATAGAGGATTTCGCACATCAGGGACAAATACCTTAAATCACTAGAGTATATTTGCCAGGACATTCCATATATCATTTGATATGGTTTGGCTCTGTGTCCCCACCCAAATCTCATTAGAATTGAAATGAGAATTGTAATGCCAAGTGTTAGATGAGAGGCTGGGTGGGAGGTGATTGGATCAAGAGGGTGGAGTTCCCCCTTGGTGTTCTTGTGGTAGTGAGTGAGTTCACGAGATCTGATGGTCTAAAAGTGTGTGGCACTTCCCCCTTCACTTTCTGTCTCCCTCTCCATATGTCCCCCACCATATGAAGAAGATCCTTGCCTCCCCTTCACCTTCCGTCATGATTGTAAGTTTCTTGAGGCCTCCCAGTCATGCTTCCTGTTAAGCTTGTGAAACTGTAAGTGAGAAGTAAACCTCTTTTCTTCACACGTTACCTAGTCTCAGGTCATTCTTTATACAGTGTGAAAACAGACTAATACATTATTCTAATCCTGATAAACACGTTTCAGGGTAAGTATCATTATCCCCAGTTTCAATATGGAGAAACCTGGTTTCAAGTAGGTTGAGTAATTTACCTAAGGTCATACAAGTCATCAGTGTCTGTGTTGGCTGCTGAGAGTAGCTGGGCCCCAAGTTTACAGTCTTTACTGCTCTACCTTCCTCCATTGGCAAGTGAGGCCGGTTGTGGTGGCTCATGCCTGCAGTCTCAGCATTTGGGGGTGAGGCAGCAGGATCGCTTGAGATCAGGAGTTCAAGACCAGCCTGGGCTGGCCTTGAACATAGTGAGACCCAGTCTCTACAAAAATTAATAAAAATAGGCCAGATATGGTGGCACCTGCCTGTAGTCTCAGCTACTCAGGAGGCTGAGGTGGGAGGATTGCTTAGGGCTGGGAGTTCTGGGCTGTAATGAGCTGTGATCGCACCACTGCACTCCAGCCTGAGTGATAGAGTGAGACCCTGTTTCAAAAAAAAAAAAAAAAAAAAGAGGAAGACTGTTTTGGGCTCCCAGGATAGTCCTTGTAGAGCTGTGGAATCTGTATACTATAGTAACTATCTTACTAAGTGGTGCTGTCCCTGAGACATATATAGATATGTGTGTGTATGTGTATATATGCTACTTTGTGCATTTATATATAAAAATAAATATTATATATGTATCTGTAAAATACATACATATGCCCTGCATTTTTTCTAATTACAGGCAGCAAGCCTTACCATCCAAATTTCCAGATCGTATTGAAAGCTTGAGGGAAAAACGATGAATTCATAAGTCAACTGGCACAAGCTTATCCCTCTGAAAATGATTTTTCACTCTTGAATCCCTGGGACAGCACCGGAACTATCTCCTTGCAAGAGGACACGCCCAAACATCAGTGTCAGAATGTGTGGTTTGCTTTGAAATTGCAGCCTTGGCTAAAACCACCAAACCCAGGATAGGAGAACACAATCCCTGTCTAAAATGTATGTATCTATACATTTTTCCATTGAAAGGTTGAGTGTTTTCTTAAGAGAGGGTCCCACTTGATCAGAAAGGGGAAGTTGGATGTTCTGAGTCCTCACGTGAACAGCATTATTCCGAGGAAAGCATTTAAAAGTTACTGAAAAACAAGATCCACTTTAGAATTACAGGCCAGGTGCAGTGGCTCACACTTGTAATCCCAGCACTTTGAGAGGCCTAGGATTGCTTGAGTCCAGGAGTTTGAGACCAGCCTGGACAACATGACGAGACCCCCCTCTACAAAAAAAAAAACTCCACAAAAATTAGCCGGGTGTGGTGGCGTGCGTCTGTAGTCTCAGCTACTCATGGGGGCTGAGGCAGAAGGATCACCTGAGCCAGGGAGGTCAAGGCTGCAGTGAGCTGTGATCCTACCACTGCACTCCAGCCTGGGTGACAGAGCGAGACACTGTCTCCAAAAAACAAACAAACAAAAAACAAAACTACAAATAGACTTCATGTAACGGTGTCTGGGAAAATTGCATTTTATAGAGCTGCTCAGGAATCTTGGGTTAAAATGTGGATTGAGTGTGCACATTTGTTTTTATTTTTTCCCTAAATTACACCAAGACTGCAGAAAAGAGATCTGAGATACATATATATATATATATATATATATATAATACATGTATATATAGAGAGCGAGAGAAAGAGAGAGATGCGAAAGTATGGGGAAAACGATAGAAAATAGCAACAAAATTTTGGAAGATAGAAGCAGATACATGTGTAGTGACTGACTTAGGAGCTCAAGTGAAATTAAATCCTAAGCCACCAGTGGGTGGAGCTGAGACTTATTCTGATCTATACCACAGAATTCTGAAGAGGCTCAGGAAGTGTATTTCTGGATCTAAGGTGAAGGTTGGATCTAGTGGCTAGAATAAGACAATTGGATAAAAACTGAGACGTTAGATCCCTGCAATCCTTGCCCTGATTCCAGGCCCCTAGCTGTCTATTTCTCCTCCATCCTGGCCAAAGATTAGAGATTTATTCTCTGGAGAGAGTTTTTGGGGACAAACAGGGCCAGTGAAACGAGACTCATTAGTTACATATTGAATGCTGGATTTTGAGACTCCCAGAGTCCTGCCTCCAAATGCTTAAAGCCGAATTGTACCCTCCAGTCTTTTTTTCTTTCTTTTTTTTTTTTTTGAGATGGAGTCTCGTTCTGTCTCCTGGGCTGGAGTACAGTGGTGTGATCTGGGCTCACTGCAACCTCTGCCTCCTAGGTTCAAGCGATTCTCCTGCCTCCGGCTCTCGAGTAGCTGGGACTACAGGTGTGCCATCATGCCCTGATAATTTTTTGTATTTTTAGTAGAGATGGGGTTTCACCATGTTGGCCAGGCTGGTCTCAAACTCCTGACCTCAATTCATCCTCCCACCTTGGCCTCCCAAAAGCCTGGGATTACAGGCATGAGCCACTGCGCTGAGCCCAAACAGTCTTTTAAGAGGATATATATATTTTATGGCAAATCTGACCAGTTTAAGGGAGGAGGCCTGTAGATACTGACACTTGAGTCATCATCCACAGATGAGCTCGTAATCAAAGTCACATTGTCCCATCCACATGCTGAGTGCGCCTAGTAAGATTTCATTTCTCAACTCTTAGTCCTGAACAGACATCTGAGGATGGCCAGGTACCTGAAGAATGCTGCTAACATGGAATACAGGCACCCACGCAGCAAACAAACCAACTAAAGCAATTTTGAAGCCATATAAACTGAGCAGGGAGGAAAAAAAAAACGTAAAAAAAATCAATTTGTCATTGTTATTTTTAGAAAGGTAGGGGAAAATATTGCATCTGTGAAACAGAAACAGAAGAAAAAATATTCAGAGAACAAAAATAGAGCTCTTAGAAATGAAAAATATGACAGGAGAAATGAAAAATCCAAAAGATTTGGAAGACAGGAGATGAAAAAAGTCACCCAGAAGGCAGAGCAAAAGGACAAAGAGATGAAAGGCAAAGACCAAAGATTTTTATTTAAAAAACAAAATAAAACAAAAAAACAGAGTAAACAGATAAACTACAGGTGGGAAAAATATTTGCAAACTGTGCATCTGAGAAAGATCTAATATCCAGCATCTATGAAGAACTTAAATTTACGAGAAAAAACCCAAACAACCCCGTTAAAAACTGGGCAAAGGACATGAATAGACACTTTTCAAAAGAAGACGTAGACACGACCAACAAGCATATGAAAAAAAGCTCAGTATCATTGATCATTAGAGAAGTGCAAATCAAAACCACAATAATATACCATCTACATCAATCAGAATGGCTATTATAAAAAGTCAAAAAATAACAGGTGCTGGTGAGGTTGTGGAGAAAGGAAACATTTATACACTGTTGGTGGGAGCATAAATTAGTTCAGCCATTGTGGAAAGCAGTGTGGTGATTCCTCAAAGAGGAAACAGAACTACCGTTCAACCCAGCAATCCCATTCCTGGCTATATACCCAGAGGAATATGAATCATTTTATCACAAGGATGCATGCACACATATGTTCATTGCAGCATTATTCAAAATGGCAAAGAAATGGAATCAACTCTCTAAATGTCTATCAACAGTAGACTAGATAAAGAAAATGTGGTACATATACACCATGGAATACTATGCAGCCATAAAAAAGAATGAGATCATGTCCTTTGCAAGGACATGGATGGAGCAGGAGTCCATTATCCTTAGCAAACTAATGCAGGAACAGAAAATCAAATACCACATATAAATGGGAGCTAAATAATGAGAACACATGGACACATGGAGGGGAACAGCACACACTGGGGCCTACCTGAGGGCAAAGGCTGGGAGGAGGGAGAGGGGCAGAAAAAATAATTATTGGGTATTAGGCTTAGTACCTGGGTGTTGAAATAATCTGCACAACAAGCCCCATGGCAGGAGTTTGTCTATATAATAAACCTGCACATGTACCCCTGAACCTAAAATAAAAGTTAAAAAAAAATAGCTTACAAAACAAAACAAAAAAAGAAAACAAATGAGACAAACAAAAGATAAATGTAGAAGATATGACATCCAAATAGTAGGAGATATCGTAAGTGTATATCATAATATATCATAAGAGGAAGTGAGTGGATAGTATCTAAAACAGATGAACCAAATAAAAGCAGTAGCTATTATTTAGAACAATAGGGATGTGTAATGCCAGAAGAAACCACCTCTGTGGGAAGTGGAAGAAGTTGTGGGTCAAAAAGCTGTTTTATTTTAGCACTGTGAGACTTTTAAGGTAGACATACATGTCTCTTTAAAATAAAATAAAAATAAAAACAAGCATGACTACATATTAATAACATAAAATACAAATTGATTACAAAAAAGAATACCTAGAAAAGGCTTCCCATGTGATTCTGATGATCAGTCACTCTTTTTGTTTTAGAGACAGGGTCTCACTGTGTTGCCCAGGCTGGAGTGCAGTGGTGAGGTCGTAGCTCATTGCAGCCTCCAGCTCCTGGCCTCAAGCGATCCCCCCACCTCAGTCTCCCACGTAGCTGGGAGTGCAGGCTTGCCCCACCATGTTCAGCTAATTTAAAAAAAATTTTTTAGTAGAACGATGCCTCACTGGTCTTGGACTTCTAGCTGCCCAGGCTGGTCTCGAATTCCTGGGCTCAAGTAATCCTCCCACCTCAGCCTCCAAAGTGCTAGGACTATAGGCCTGAGCTACCACACCTGGCCTGATTAGTCACTTTTGGAGCCATTTAATTTATCAAGGACCTACTGAAGTGCCAGCACTGTACTAGGCAAGAAAAAAGGAAGGTGGATACAAAACGCATATGATTGCTTCTGTTTTCTAGGAGCTCAGAGTTTAAATGGAAGAGACCGAGGCTTTGTCAGCAGCAATCACACAAGCTATTGGGTGAAATGACAAAGATGCTCTGAGCATGTGAAGTGGAGTAGAGAAGACGGCTGGGGGCAGCATGGAGGCTGGTTGGAAAGGCTTTCTGAGTAGGGTGTCACTCAAGCTGAGTTTTAAAGGGCAGACAAGCTTAGAAGTTTAAGGAAGGGGATGTGAGGGCGTTTTAGGAAGAGAGGATGTCTGAGCCAGAGGGCAAGGTCAAGAATCAACGTGCAGAGGTTGAGGGAGACAGCGGTTCTTCTTGCTAAAGTGGAACTTGCAAGGTGATCTACACGGCTGGAGAAGCAGCAACGATGGATCATAAATGACCAGGAGGGAGAAGGGCCAGTATGTGGACTTTATTCTAAGGGAACAGAGAACGAATAATGGCTGTATAGGCAAGAGACAGATACGTTCAATTTTGTCTCTTAGAAAGATCAGGATGGTTGCTATGTGAAAAACAACTTGGTGTGGCACAAGGTAGAAGGCAAATAGGCCAGTTAGATGGTGGCTGCCATTTTCTAGGTGAGGAATGATGGTGATGGTAGGGACGGAGACAGAAAGTCAATTTTATAGACTTAAGATGTAAGATTGGGGCTGGGCGCAGTGGCTCACACCTGTATTCCCAGGACTTTGGGAAACCGAGCCATGAGGATTGCTTGAAGCCAGGAGCTCAAGATCAGCCTGGGCAACAAAGTGAGATCCCATCTCTACAAAATAACAATGAAAATCAATCAATCAATCAATCAGTCAAACTAGCTAGGTGTGGTGGTGCACACCTATAGTCCTGGCTATCTGGGAGGCTAAAGCAGAAGGATTGCTTGAGCCTAGGAATTAGAGGCTACATTGAGCTGTGATCATGCCTTGTACTCCAGTCTGGACAGCAGAGCAAGGCCTTGTCTTCAGAAAAGAAAAAAAAGACATAAAATTGGCAGGACCTGTCATGGATTTGATGTTGAGGTTGGGAGAGATGGAGAAGGTGAGGGGAAAAACAGGAGTCTAGGGATACCCTTGAGATTGTGTCTTGGAGCTGACTGCATGAGTAACCTACGAGATCTACACAGGCCTATCCCTCCATGAAGACCAGGTAAACTGGAGCAAGGAAAGTTTTGGACGGAGGAAGGCAGAGAGAATGCAGTTTTGCAACCTACCTCCTCGTGTATGTAAAATCCAAGCCCATCTTTAAAAAAAAATAACGTTGGCCGGGCACAGTGGCTCACGCCTGCAATCCCAGCACTTTGGGAGGCCAAGGCAGGCAGATCATGAGGTCAGGAGATCAAGACCATCCTGGCTAACACGGTGAAACCCCGTCTCTACTAAAAATACAAAAAATTAGCTGGGCATGGTGGCGGGCGCCTGTAGTCCCAGCTACTCGGGAGTCTGAGGCAGGAGAATGGCGTAAACCCAGGAGGTGGAGTTTGCAGTGAGCCGAGGTCACGCCACTGCACTCCAGCCTGGACAACAGAGTGAGATTCTGCCTCAAAAAAAAAAAAAAAGTTAATTAATTTTTTCTTTCTTTCTATTTATTTATTTATTTGTTTGTTTATTTATTTATTTTGAGACAGGGTCTCACTCTGTTTTCCAGACTGGAGTGCAGTGGTGTGATCATGGCTTATTGCTGCCTCGAACTCCTGGGATCCAGTGATCCTCCCACCTCAGCCTCCGGAGTAGCTGGGACTACAGATGCATGCCATCATGGCCAGCAAATTTTCCAATTCCATCTTGAGAGGGCTGAGCTAGGCAAAGCCTTCAGCGGGCTTCTCCCAGTTGCCTAAAATGAAACACATCAAGTTAAAATTGTTAAAAATAAATGTCCAAAGGCAACAACTTGAGGATGTAAACAGGGGTGAGAATCTGTAGATTAATGGTACATGTACAATAATTAGGAGGTTTTTGGGAGCCCCAATTGAAGTAATTCTCTCACTTTGTGAACCTCCCTGAAGGTAGGAGGTGGGAAATTTCCAAAGCATAGTGCTCCTGGGTAATGACGCTCAATTTCTAGGAGCTATTGGGCCCACACAGCCTTTGATGTACAGACTATCAGTTCCCTAGAATTTCTTTCTTGTCACCCACTGATATAAACACCTTTGAGTTACACATTCCTGAAACTCACCAAGAATTATCTTCCAGAAATGTACTGAAATGTCTTTGTCTCAGCTTGGCAGCTTCATTTTTCAGCTCTCTAAATCCAGCTCTGGGTCAGATGTAGCAACTTGCCCGTGTGCCAGCACCAATGTTATTATAAAACCACATTGAAATAATTTTTGTGACAGGTTTGAGTAGTAAATAGAGAGATAGCTTAGTCTAGCAAAGCACTTTTCAATTTTAAATAAAAAATCTCCTTTAAAAGGAAAAACAAATCCCCTCATACCTCTAGCATTGGCTGAAATTATTTTTTGTTACTGAATCATATACATTGAATGGGACATAAATTCCTTATGCTTACAGTTCTTAAACTATAAAACCAAAAGAGATACTCAAATTAAATTTAAACAAAAATAAAATACAGCAAAAAAATCACAAACCTTGTAAGTTGGTAACATTGAGTCCCTCTGTAGTTAAGATATAGAAGGCGTTGGCAGATTATTGCTCTGATCATAGTGACTAGAAAATAACTGGATCATGTGATATTTCACGTACTTCAAATCTGTGGGTGCAAATACGTTTTAAGGCGTAAATTTCAGATGGGAGAGAGAACTTTCTAGGCAACCAGAGATTGACAAGCTTCTTTCCTAGTGGAATTTGCCAAGTTTGGGCAAAGGCAGAGGTTCAGGATGACAATGGGCAGAAAACACTGTGAGGAAAAGAGAACCACTGTGATTTTTAATGACCTTGTGGGTTGGCATGAAGAATTGGAAGCTGGTTTTTTCTACCTGCCAGTTGTCTCTCACCTGACTTTTACTGAATGCTGGGGCTGTGATTAAGACTAGAGTTTGGTTATGTTGAAGTCAAAATAAAAATGTAGAGATAAATCGCTAAATGTAACATTTTATTTGGGAAGCAAGAATTGCCATTTGGGGCATACACAAAGACCAGATGGCCTTCAATATGTCCAAAGAACAAAGAGAAGGTTGGAGGTCTTATGAAAAGGAGAAATGTTATGTACTTTTTGGAAAGACAGTTCATTGGCACTAGTAGAGTTTTTTGGGGAGCTGGCAAGCTCTGACTGCTGAGTGACTGCAATGGGTAAAACTAGTCTTAGATTTGCAGCAGATGGTTTCAGTTGTTGTTAGATAAAACTGGTTTCAGATTACAATAGGCAGTTTCAGCAGTCAGGCTTGCAAAGAATCACATTTTTGGGATCGTGTCATGTGCCCCAAGTAACTTTTCCTTCTGGCCTCTGGACTGTGGTTTTGTTCAACATGACAAGGATGGCCCAGTTCACATGATCAATTTTCACAGCTAGAAAGGCAGAGAAGGAGTCCCTGCAAACTTTCAGTCCTTGGAAGCAGGGGCTCTGAAATAAACACAAAAGACGTCTCACCCTTGATATACTTGAAATCAAAGGAGAACTAAAACTAACTTAACCTGAAACCCAATCCCAATGCATCTCAATTTCTTGACAGAGAAAAGAAGATATCTTGTCTGGGGAAAATAACATTGGCCTCAGTCTCTATGGTGCTTTTATACACAATATTTGACATGCAATGACAAAATAAGAGATGTGCTAGGAAGCAGGAAAATGTGTGCCAGTAATACAGAGAAATAACATCTTATGGAAGCAGATCTATGGATGACCCAGGTTTTAGAATTTGCAGGGGAACTATTATGGATATGTTTTTACAAAACGAAAGAAAATCTAGACCAAAAAAGGATGAAAGATAAAGAATTTCAACAAATAAATAGATTGTATATAAAGAACCAGTGTCATTCCTGGAACTTAAAAATGCAGTCTTTGAAAGGAAGAATGCATGGTGGATATGTTGCAGGTTGGGGTGACATTGAAGACAGGACTTCCAAATTGGTGGAGTGAAAAAAATCAACAATTCCTCTCTTTAAGAACAACTATAGGCTGAGCGTGGTGGTTCACACCTATAATCCCAGCATTTTGGGAGGCTGAGGAGGGTGAATCATTTGAGGTCAGGAGTGGGGGACCAGCCTGGCCAATATAATGAAACTCAGTCTCTACTAAAAATACAAAAAAATTAGCTGAGCATGGTGGCACACTCCTGTAATCCCAGCTACTCAGGAGGCTGAGGCAGGAGAATCCCTTGAACCTGGGAGACAGAGGTTGCAGTGAGCCAAAATTGTCAAAAATAACAATGTATAGAATTCCATACTTTTGTATGTCTTTTGTCAGTTTCTGGAATCCTAAAGAATAGAGTAGCATCATGTTCAAGAATCTCTCAAAACAACTGGATCTCAGCTAAAATCAGTGGGAATCTGTGGTATTTTAGCCTAGGGATGCTCCCATTCATCTTGCTCCCCTTCCCAGCTCTGTTGGGGCAAGTCATGGGATTAAAATTGGGGCTGTTGTGATTTGCTGTTGAGTGCAGGAAAACCCATGCCCAGGGACATTGTTGAAAACAATAATGGTCTTGGTAGCAAACAATCTGAGATGGCAAACATCACAGCTAGCCTATCGTTGAAGTAGGCAACAGACAGGTGCATTAGCCAGAAATGTGTGAGATCCAGGTAATGAGATAGCCATAGTGAGATAGTCTTGATATGCTCCCATTTATTCCTGCTTATCTGCAAGTTTGCATGCATGTTCAGAGTTGCTCATGCATTCGGGAGAAATTGGACAGGGCCCCATTTACATTATCTGCAAGCAGAAGAGAGGACAGAAGGCCCAGTAGAAAGTACAAAGTAGGACCAGGACCAGCTACATAATTTGCAGCACCTACTGCAAAAATGAAAATGCAGGACCCCTTGTTAAAATTATTGTAAGAATTTCGAGATGGCAATAACAGAGCATTAAACCAAGTATGAGATCTTCCTAAACAAGGGACGCTGTGTGACCACACAGGTTGCCTACCCATAGTTGGCCCTGGCTGAAGCTGAGTTTGAAACAGCCTAAACTTTGTGTTTTCTAAACTGGTAAAGAGTGAAAGGACTTACTGGCTAAAGGTATTTAAGCACAACCTTTGACCAGTCATTGACTATCACTAGGCAAAGCTGACTCAGAGTCAGACCCTAGAAGGGCAGGCTTAAAAATAAATGCAAACGGCTGGGTGCAGTGGCTCACACCTGTAATCCCAGCACTTTGGGAGGCTGAGGTGGGCGGATCATGAGGTCAAGAGATCAAGACCATCCTGGCCAAAGTGGTGAAACCCCATCTCTACTAAAAATACAAAAATTAGCTAGGCATGGTGGCACGCGCCTGTAGTCCCAGCTACTCAGGAGGCTGAGGCAGGAGAATCACTTGAACCCAGGAAGCAGAGGTTGCAATGAGCTGAGATAGTGCACTCCAGCCTGGCGACAGAGTAAGACTCCATCTCAAATAAAAATAAAAATAAAAATAAAATAAATAAATGCAAACAAGCAAGCAAAAACATAAAAAACTGGGCAGACACTCCAGCAGCTATACACCATGTGGGAGATAGAGTCTACAAAAGTAACCCAGGCAAATCACTGAACAAACAAAGTCAGCAACAAGAATGACCCTAGAAGGAGGGAATAAGAAGCCAGAGTTGCAACATATTACCTAAAATATTTAACTTTCAACAACAGCAATAACAAAAAGGATGCAAAGAAACAGAAAAGTATGACCAATACCCAGTAAGCAAAGCAGTCAATAGAAACTAACTTCAGATATTGGTATTAATAGGAAATACTTGAAAGCAGTAGAAACCCATCATACTGAGGAAAAGTATGATGAAAATTTCTCATCATCAAGAAAAAAATCAATTAAAAGATAGTCACAATAAGAATTTAAAAATAGAAAATAAAAATAAGTAATAAAAATATGTAAATTGTGGAATTGAATAGTACAAAAATTTAAAAATTTATTAAAGGGATCAAAAGAAATTGTGATGTGAATTGGCAGAAGAAAGAATTGGTGAACTGGAAGATAGACCAGTAGAAATTATCTAATCTAAAGGAAAGTGAGAAAAAAGAATAAAGAAGAGTAAACAATGCTCAATGACCTGTGGAAAACTATTAAGCACACCAAAAAGGGGTTCTAGAAGCAGATAAGAAAAAAGGGCAGGAAAAATACTCGAAGAAATAATGGCTCAAACCTTTTGAAAAGGTTTCATGAAAAACATTAATCTGTACATCCAAGAAGGCCAACACACTCTAAGTATTATAAATATGAGGAGACACAGTCCTAGATACATCAGTGAAAGAAATTAAAAATCTAAATAAATGAAGAGAAATTCTATGTTCATGTATTGGAAGTCCAATACTGTTAAGATAGCAATCCTCTCAAATTGAGCTATAGAGTGAATGCAACACCTATCAAAATTATAGCAGTCTTTTCTAATTTTTGGAAAAATTAACAAGCTAATACTAAAACTTACATGGAAATGTAAAAAAAAGTCAGAATAGGCAAAACAACTTTGAACAAGAGGAAGAAGGCTTGAGAACTTTCAGTAGCTGATTTCAAATGTTATTACAAAATAATAATGACAGTGTGATAATAGCATAAGGATAGACATATGTGTTAATGGAACAGAATAGAATAATCAGAAATGAACCCTTACATTTATGGTCAATTGGTTTTGACAAGGGTTTCAAGGCAGTTCCATGGGGGAAAAGATAATCTTTTCAACAAATGGTACTGGAAAAATTGGATATTCATATGCACCAATAAAGAACTTATACTTTCACATCAAGTCATATGCAAAAATTGGCTCAAAATGGATTATACAGCTAACTGTAAGAGCTAAAATTATAAAACTTCTTAAAAAAAAACTAAGAGAAATTATTGTAACCTTGGTTTAAGTAAAGATTTATTATGTATAATACTGAAAACATGATTTTTATGAAAAGAATTGATGAATTGAACTCTTTAAAACAATAAAAAAACTTTTGTACTTCAAAAGATATCTTTAAGAAAATAAAAAGAAGCTACTGACAGGAAGGAAACATTTTCAAGTCACATTCTTGAGAAAGTACTTGCATCTAGAATATAGAAAGAACTCTCAAATTTTAATTAAAAGATAAACAACTTAATTAAAAACAGCCAAGAAATTTGAATAGATATTTTACCAAAGAGATATACAAATGGTTAATAATTACATGAAAAGATGCTCAACACCCTTAGTCATTAGGGAAATGCAAATCAAAACCATTATACACTGCTAGAATGATTATAATAAAAAATATTGACATTACCAAGTGCTAGTCAGTGTATGGAGGAACTAGAAATTTCATTCATCACTAGGGGGAATGTAAACTGGAACAGCAATTTTGGGAAGCAATTTGCAGTTTCTTAAATTGTTAAACCCATACTTATGATATTACTCAGGAATGTCACATTTAGGATCTACAAAAAGAAATGAAAATATATTTCCACACAAAGACACATATGTGAATGTTTGAGGCAGGATTATTCATAACTCAAAACTAGAGGCAGCCCCAAATATTTATCAACTGGTGAACAGATTAACAAAATGTGATGATTGTATACAATGGATTGCTATTCAGCAATAAAAACAAATGATTTATATATGTTACATCATTAGACCTCAAAAATGTTTTGCTAAGGAAAGAAGACAGATGCAAAAAAAGTATGCATTGTAAAATTATGAAAACATTTATAGGAAGCTTTTGGGGGTGATGGAAATGTTCTGAAGTTGTGTTGTGGTGATGGTTGCGGAACTGTATAAACTTACTAAAAATCAATGGAATGTACACTTATGATGGGTACATTTTATAATATATAAATTAGCTGTCTATAAAGCTGTTAAAATGTGACAGGACATTATGATAAACAAAAATTACAAGCCCATCTTACTCATGACCACAGATGTAAAAATTCTATCCAGAGCATTAACAAACCAAATCCATCAATATATAGAAAAGGATACAGGCCAGGTGCAGTGGCTCATGCCTGTAATCCCAGCACTTTGGGAGGCTGAGGTGGGTGGATCACGAGGTCAGGAGATCAAGACCATTCTGGCTAACATGGTGAAACCTCGTCTCTACTAAAAATAAAACTTAAAAAAAATTAGCCGGGTGTGGTGGTGGGCGCCTGTAGTCCCAGCTACTCAGGAGGCTGAAGAAGGAGAATGGTGTGAACCTGGGAGGCAGAGCTTGCAGTGAGCCGAGATAGAGCCACTGCACTCAAGCCTGGGAGACAGAGTGAGACTCTGTCTCAGAAAAAAAAAAAAAAGGATACTATATTACCACTAAACTATGTTCATTCCAGGAATGCAAGGATAGTTGAAGGTTCAAAGTTGACCAATGCAGTTATCCCAACAGCTTCTGTTGGATTAATGACAACATCTCTGCTGCCTGGCTCAGTGTGTGCCCACACAGCTGGCTAACTAGTTACCTGTCTTCCCCAGGTGGTTTTTTCACAGCCTGATGGATTCTTCTTGCCCACTGCCTCCCACCACAAAAACAATGAGAACACCAGGTATTGCAGCAATTAAAGAGTTTAATAATTGCAGTGCCAGCCAAGCAAGAAGACTGGGAGAAATTTTCTTAAATCCATCTCCTCAAGAATTTGGAGGCGGCCGGGCGCGGTGGCTCACGCCTGTAATCCCAGCACTTTGGGAGGCCGAGGCGGGTGGATCATGAGGTCAGGAGATCGAGACCATCCTGGCTAACAAGGTGAAACCCCGTCTCTACTAAAAATACAAAAAAAAATTAGCCGGGCGCGGTGGCGGGCGCCTGTAGTCCCAGCTACTCGGGAGGCTGAGGCAGGAGAATGGCGTGAACCCGGGAAGCGGAGCTTGCAGTGAGCCGAGATTGCGCCACTGCAGTCCGCAGTCCGGCCTGGGCGACAGAGCGAGACTCCGTCTCAAAAAAAAAAAAAAAAAAAAAAGAATTTGGAGGCTAGGGTTTTATAAGGGCACTTTGGCAGGCAGGGGGCTGGGACACTGAAACAACTGATTGGTGGAGGATGAAATCACAGGGTGTCTAACATCGTCTTTACACAATTGAGTCAGTTGCCAGGAGGACACCTCAGGACCAGGTGGCTTCGCTTGGTCTGCTGAAATGCTAAATCTGAAAAATAACTGTAAAGACCAGTTCAATAGGTTTCACAGTAGTGATGTTATCTACGGAAGTACTTGGGGAAGTTATAAATCTTTTTTTTTTTTGAGAGAGAGAGTCTTGCTCTGTCACCCAGGCTGGAGTGTGGTGGCACAATCTCGGCTCACTGCAAGCTCCGCCTCCCGGGTTCATGCCATTCTCCTGCCTCAGCCTCCCAAGTAGCTGGGACTACAGGGTGCCCGCCACCACGCCTGGCTAATTTTTTGTGTTTTGGGTAGAGATGGGGTTTCACCGTGTTAGCCAGGATGGTCTCGATCTCCTGACCTCGTGATCCGCCCGCCTCGGCCTCCCAGAGTGCTGGGATTACAGGCGTGAGCCACCGTGCCCGGCCAGGAAGTCATAAATCTTATGACCCCTGCAGTTATGTGACTCTGAGGCAGTAAGCAATTTATTAAAAAAATAAGCTAAGCAATGGCAGCTTATTGTTTACCTTTGCCTATTCTTTAGCAAAGTTTAAGCCGCTATTATAATTTTATTCTTGTCTTATGCAATATCCTAACAAGGGGTAGGCATCAGTTTTTCTTCTCTCAAAGTTTAACTACAAACTAAATTCCTCTTATAGTTATCTTGGCCTCCGCACTAGAATAAGCAAAGCAAAACAAAACAATTCAGCCTGTGAAGTTAGAAGCAAGATGGATTCAATCATGTTAGATTTTTCCCATTACTTTTAATTCTGCAAAAGCAGTTTCAATTTAGGCATCCAGTCCCCTGCCTTGAGTGTAGCTTCATCTGATACATGGACTGGGCTGCTACCTGTGCCTATACCATGAGGCACATGCTACACTTCTGACTGAGTGAGGCTCAGCTGCAGCTTGAAGCAGATGGGCTTTCCTACAGTTAACTTTCCAGAGTAAGCAGGAGATACCCATCCAGTCCATGTATTTGGCGGCCATTACTATGGCTGTGCAAGTGCTGGTAATGCCGTTGTCCATGATGGTAGTGAAAAGTCCATGAAACTCACTATACATAATCTTTAAAGAGGATTTCTGTAGAGGAAACCCTCAATGTGGCCACTTTTTTTGCACTGTTGGAGAATATTTAATTCCATTATAGAGGAAAGGAAATAAATAGGATGGGTGAAAATTTATAAAATATGTTAAATACACATAATGATTAACTTATCAGCTTGCAAAATATATGCAGAATTCTTGAAAAATGTGAAGTTTAGATAGCAGTTAAGTGGGTAACCAGAAAGACATTTTCTATGATAAAAAGGATGGAACAGACAAGAATGTTCCTTATGGGTAGAAAGGGAGGGAAATGGCTGGGCACAGTGGCTCACTCCTGTAATCCCAGCACTTTGGGAGGCTGAGGTGGGAAGATCACAGGTCAGGAGTTCAAGACCATCCTGGCCAACATGGTGAAATCCGACTTTACTAAAAATACAAAAATTAGCTGGGTGTGATGGCACGTACCTGTAATCCCAGCTATTCGGGAGGCTGAGGCAGGAGAATCGCTTGAACCCAGGAGGCAGAGGTTGCAGTGAGCTGAGAATGCACCACTGCACTCCAGCCTGGCAACAGAGCGAGACTCTGTCTAAAAAAAAAAAAAAAAAGAGAAAAAAGAAAAAAAAGAAAAAGAAAAAAAAGAAAAGGAGGGAAATAACTTTCTTCAGGTACAGATCATTGATACGGTTTGGTTCTGTGTCCCCACCCAAATCTCACCTTGGATTGTAATAATTCCCACATGTCATGGGGGTAACTGGTGGGAGGTACTTGAATCATGGGGGCGAGTTTTTCCTATACTGCTCTTGTGATAATGAATAAATGTCACAAGATCTGATGGTTTTATAAGGGGAATTCCCCTGCACAAGCTCTCTGGCCTGCCACCATGTAAGACGCCCCTTTGCTCTTCCTTCATCTTCTGCCATGATTGTGAGGCCTCCTCAGCCATGTGGAACTGTGAGTCTATTAAACCTCTTTCCTTTATAAATTACCTAGTCTCAGGTATGTCTTTATTAGCAGCATGAGAGCAGACTAATACAATCATGTCCCTACTAGAATGACAGATATGTCACCCTCAAATTGGCTACCCATGAGTGCGCCTGCTATGATCCCATTCTGGCCCACATTGCTCTGCTCAAGAAAATGCAGATAAAATCCTTCGATGTTCATTAGCCTAATTGTTGCCTTCCCTAGAGGTGGGCATACAGTGGTATCCAGGGATGCTCAAGTCTCTTATATTATATATTTGCATATAACCTACTCACACCCTCCTGTATACTTTCTATTTTGTTTATTAGAGACAAGGTGTCACTCTGTTGCCCAGGCTAGAGTACAGTGGTGCGATCATAGCTCACTGCAGCTTTGAACTCCTGGGCCCAAGTGATCCTCTTGCCTCAACCTTCTGAGTAGCTGGGACTACAGTTGTGCATTACCATGACAAGCTAATTAAAACAAATTTTTATTTGTACAGTCAGGGTCTCGCTGTATTGCCCAGGATGGTCTTGAACTCCTTTGCTCAAGAAATCCACCCTCCTTGGCCTCTCAAAGTGCTAGGATTACAGGTGTGAGCCACTGTGACCAGTCTTGGCCCCATGTATTTTAAATCATCTCTAGATTATTTATGATACCTAATGCAATGGAAATACTATGTAAATAGTTGTTATACTGTATTTTTATATGTATTCCTTTTATTGTTGTACTGTTATTTTTTATTGTTTTTCTTTTTCTGAATATTTTGGAGCTGCCATTGGTTGAATCCATGGATGCAGAACCCGGGGATATGAAGGACAACTGTGCTTGCCTCTGAGATCCAATGTGTTTCTCTCACAGATCCCATGTGTTTTATTGACTTCAGCCTCTTACTCAACTCTGCATGGACCTCAACTCTGGTCATTGTAACCACACCATCAACAGGGAAGACTGATGCAGGGAAAAAAGAAAGGGAACATATGAATATAATTGGAATTCAGACCGTGTGCTTCTTCCACCTGCTTGCACCTTATCCTAAGTATACACCTATCCCATCTCTTTGTCCTGGCTTTTTTTCTGTGTGTGTGTGTTTTTTGTTTTTTGTTTTTTTTGAGATGAAGTCTCGCTCTGTTGCCCAGGCTGGAGTGCAGTGGCGTGATCTCTGCTCACTGCAAGCTCCTCCTCCCGGGTCCACGCCATTCTCCTGCCTCAGCCTCCTGAGTAGCTGGGACTACAGGCGCCTGCCACCACGCCTGGTTAATTTTTTGTATTTTTAGTAGAGACAGGGTTTCACCGTGTTAGCCAGGATGGTCTCGATCTTATGACCTCGTGATCTGCCCGCCTCGGTCTCCCAAAGTGCTGGGATTACAGGCATGAGCCACTGCGCCCGGCCGCAATGCCATATTATGTTTCAAATTCTATATTAAATCCATGTTGCAAGAGTACAGAGGTTAACTTAAAATTTAAAACTCTGCTTTCCTTTTCTCCTTCCTTTTTTTTCTTCTTTTCCTCTTTCTTTCCTTCCTTTCCCTCACCTTCCTAAATAATCAGTCCTAAAGCCATTAGGTAGGGCAGAGCAAGAGACGTATCCATGGTGGTGTTATGGGAAAGGGGTCTGAATCCAGACCCCAAGAGAGGGTTCTTGAATCTTACGCAAGAAAGAATTCGGGGTGAGTCCATAGAGTGAAAATAAGTTTATTAGAGAAGTAAAGAAACAAAAGAATAGCTACTCCGCAGGCAGAGCAGTGGTATGAGCTGCTTGGTTGAGTATACTTACAGTTATTTCTTGATTATGTGCTAAACAAGGGGTGGATTATTCATGAGTTTTCCTGAAAAAGAGCAGGCAATTCCCAGAATTGAGAGTTCTTCTCCCTTTTAGACCATATAGGGTAATTTCCGGATTTTGCCATGGCATTTGTAAAATGTCACGGCACTGGTGGGAGTGTCTTTCAGCATGCTAAGGCATTATAATTAGCATATAAGGAGCAGTGAGGACAACCAGGTCACTTTCATTGCCATCTTGCTTTTGGTGGGATTTGGCCGGCTTCTTTACTGTATGCTGTTTTATCAGCAGGGTCTTTGTGACCTGTATCTTGTGCAGACCTCTTATCTCATCCAGTGATTAAGAATGCCTAACCTCCTGGGAATGCAGCCCTGCAGGTCTCAGCCTCATTTTACCCAACCCCTATTCAAGATGGAGTCACTCTGGTTTAAATGCCTCGGACAGTGGGGACCCATGATGGCCCAGAGTAGAGAGTCAGAGCCCAAGTGGGGAGAGAGGAATGTCCATGCTGGGATGGCCAGAGTAGAACATCAGAGCCTTAATGAATTGATCACATCGCATGTAAAATTCAATTCCAGATTCATTGTAGCCGTAAAGTGAGAAGCAGAACAACAAGCCTCTAGGAAATGATATACAAGAATATTTTCTGACCATGGGGGTAGGAAAAGTTTCCTTAAAAAGGGCCATGAAAATCACAAAAGAGATTACACATTAAAAATAATAGCCTGTTTGAAGATAAAAGATTTTCTTAATTAAAAAAATAAGATAAAACACCTTTAAGAGGGGGGAAAAAAAGGCAGTCTTCCTCCTGTTTCCTGGCATACAACTCCTAAAATCCTTGGACTTGCCAAAGTGCAGGCTTTTTGTATGCTCATGTTGACTGATAGCTGCAGGGTGGAGCTGGTCACCTGAAGACAAATGTATGATTAGGGGGTTGAGACTTAACCTCGTCTCCCAACCTCAAAGGAAGGGTGGGAGCTGAAGGTCAAGTTGATCTGATCACAACAGCCAATGGTTTAATCAATCATTCCTAAGTAATGCATCCTCCATAAGAACTCAAGAGGACAGGATTTGGAGAACTCCCAGATAGCTAGACACATGGAGGTTCCTGGAGGGTAGAGCGACTAGGGAGGGCATGGAAGTGCCACACCCCTTCCCCCTTACCTCACCCTAGGCATCTCTTCATCTGTATCCTTGGTAATATTGATACAGGAGATATAAAGAAACTATTTAGGCAGATAGGGCAAAAGAGTCCTTGGTACGGTTTCCCTTTTAACAAAAAGCAGCCCCAAATCATTTCTTTTCTAATGAAGAGCAGTCTGAAAAAGCAAGCTGCAAACGTAGATAAGCAAGCTGGAAGCTTGCTTGGGTGAATACTAGCAGCAGTGCCAATAGAGCAGGGCTACCTGAGGGCCAGGCATGTTCAATATGGTGGCTCCATCTCCCCTTTTCTTTGTCACCATGTGTGCAGTAGAGGAACAGGCCACATGGGTGGCCAGCTTCGTTGTGTGCTATGCAAATGGCACACCTAGTCCTAACCAGTTTTTCGCGCACTATGTAAATGGCACACCTGGTCCAACCAATCTTTTGCACCCTATGTAAATCAGACCCCACCTCCTCAAGCTCATCTATAAAAGCTTCTGCATTTCACTGCAGAAGCGGAAACCCATTCTCTCCAGGACCCCCTCTCTGTGCTGAGAGCTCTTTTCTTTCTTTTGCCTATTACACTTCTGCTCTTAACCTCACTCTGGAGTGTCTGCATCCTAGTTTCTGTGGCCGTGAGAAAACAAATCTTGAGTATTTACCCCAGACAATGATGTCGCTTCAACATCCCTTACAATAAACCAGTAACTGTTAAAGAGAGAGAGAGAAACAGAGAGAGAGAGAGAGAAAGAATGAAAAGGCAGTCAAACAAGTGAAAAGAGACATTTGTGATGAACAAACCAACAAAGGGCTTGTGAAAGAATATATAAATAGCTTCTATAAATCAATAAGAAAGACAAACAACAAAAACTAAAACTGGATAAGACATCTGAATAAATACTTCAAAAAAGAGCATATTTAAACATCCAATAATCACATGAAAAGGTATTAAATCTCATTAGTAATTATGAAAATGCAAGTTAAAACCACAAGTTATAGCACTACCCATTGGGTCTGCATAGCTGAAATTTAAAAGTCTGACAATAATAAGTTTATTGGCAACGATGTGGAGCAGAGGGAATTTTCATATACTACTTGTGGTGTTTAAATTGTTAAAACCACTTTGGAAAATAGTTTTTTAAAATGTATTAAAGCGAAAGATACCACATATCCTGTGACCAAAAAAATTTGCTCCTAAACATTCCACCCAATATAAATGCGTCCTTATTGCATGCTGAAAGACATAAAGAAGGATGTTTCTTGACAGCATTACTCATACAATATATGTCAACAATAAAGAAGTCATAACTAAAGTATATAAAAAACACAAGCCAATAAGAAAATAACCAATAGAACTATAGACATAAAATACAGTCACTTTACAAAAGAAGATATTCAAACTACCAATAAACAGGGGCTAATTTCATGAATAATCAGAGAAACCACAATAAACTAAAACCACTATTCAATAACCCTGTACATCCATCTGAATAGTTAAAAGCAAACAAACCGAACCCTCTGACAATTCTAATGGTTGACAAGGATATATGGAGTAATTAGAACTCTCATATATTGCTAGTGGGAGTTTAAACTTTTACAACATCATTTGGCTGTTTTTATTAAAGTTAAACATATGCCTACTCTGTGACCTAATAATTCCACTGCTAGGGAATATACCTAAAAGAAATGTGAACACATGCATCAAAAGACATTAACAGCGGCAGTATCTGTAATAGTTCTAAAATGAGACAACTCAAGTTCATAAACAAATAATTGTGATGTATTAATTCAGTGGAATGCTTTACAGCAACAACATTAACAAGCCAGTTCTACACACAACCACTCAAATGAGCCTCACAAACAATGTTGAAAGATGTCCTGCACCAAGAAGGCGTCACGTGTGACTTCATTTGTAGGAAGTCAAACAAATAAGAAAAACGGAAATAGAGTGATTAGGGATGCATGGTTAGGTGGTGAAACTGCAGCTACACCAGACCAATCTGGTTCAACTTTTATGTAACAGAGTTGTGAGTTGCTTTTCAGCTGCCATGAACCCTCAGGCATGCCAAGATGCCTTGAGCATGCCAAGAGGAAACAAATGTGCAACCATAGGGGGAACCTAAGTGCTCAGGCCAGGAAAGGGGACTGAATTAAGAAGGGGACACCACATGGCAGGATCCAGGATCCAATCAGATTGTGCTCTGGCATCACCCCATTGCAAGATGCCTCCAAGCATCACCTCATTGCAAGATCCACTCAAATCACACCTCATTACCTGACCTGAGTGCACAGCTTAAGGAGGCACTGCTTTGGGAGCTGTCTCTGGTGTTCTCCTTACTTATTACAAGTAATAAAATCCTCATGCTAAATCCTCCTTAGTTGTGGTCATTGTGTTGCCACCGGCCAAGTGACAAAACCCACTTGTTGTGTAGGTCACAGAACTATGAGAAAAAGCAAAAAAGTGCTTACCGTTGACAAAGATTCTCTCCTTGGCCAAACTCTAGCCAGGTTCCTTGGAGTGCTTTTGAGTAGACCTTGACTTTGGCTTATAAAAACTAGAGATTCTCAACATAAATGATTTAGACTTAAATGAACACTAACGTAGTTTCTAGCAACTCAAGAATATATCCCTTAGATGATCCTGGACCCCCTTAAGCAACATACCTGAGGACCTCAATGCTATCAAGTGAACTTACTGTTTTTTCCAGCCAACACCTGACCATAGGCCCCTGACCGTACTTACAGTATTTACTAAAAAGTTCTTACAATTGTGAATCCTTCCTCTGTCCCTTTGGGATGTATATGTATCTCCTACAACTAGGAGTGGTTTTCACAAGGATAGAAAAGCCATTCCTTTAAAAATGTAATCATCAGGAAGGAGATGGCCACTGCCTCCCAGTCTGTATGGGAAGATAGAGTTTAACTTTGATATTGCCAGCTAGTACATTCAGCTGGCCTTATCAGCACTTACACTCACAAACCCTTTGTAATTTTTCCACTCCTTGCTTCTCCACTTGCCCACTCCCTATTCCTTCATCTCCCTGTAAAATGCCCAGTCACCTCTGGACAAATTAGAGTTCAGTTCATGTAGGATCCTCTTCCCTAGTGCAAAAGTTATCACAGATTAAAATGGGCTTACCATTTTAACTAGTGTTCTGCCTTTGTTTGTATTTCACGCCATAAAAATGGAGTGAGGGAGAGGGTAGAAAATAGTGATGGGAAGGCACAGAGGGAGCTTCTGGGTGCTGTCAACAGAGAGAGTCAAACTCTGTAAAATAGTTGAAAAGATTTATTTTAGCCAAATATGAGTGACCCATGGCTCATGACACAGCCCTCAGGAGCTCCTGAGAACATGTGCCTCCTATGTGTTCAGGCAAGAACTTGGTTTTATACATTTTAGGGAGACAAAAGGCATCAATCAAGACATGTATGATGTACATTGGTTAGGTCTGGAAAGGTAGGACAACTGGAAGTGGGGACTTCTAAGTCATAGGTGGATTCAAAGATTTTCTGATTGGCAATTGGTTGAAAGAGATATTACCAATAGAAAGGAATGTCTGGGTTCCTGTGATAGGGGTTGTGGAGACCAAGGTTTTATCACGCAGATGAAACCTCCAGGTAGCAGGCTTCAGAGAGAATAGATAGTGAATAGTTCTTATCAGACTTAAAGAGTCTGTTCTATCAGTAATTCCAAAAGAGAGAAGAGTATAATGAGGTATGTCCAGCTCCCCCTTCCTATCATGGTGTGAAGTAGTTCTTCAAGCTAACTTTGGAATGCCCTTGGCCGAGAGGAGGGGTCGATTCAGATGGTTGGGAGACTTGGAATTTTATTTTCGGTTTACAGTGCTGATGTTCTGTTTCTCAACCTGAGTGTTGGTTACTCAAGTGGCTGCTTTGTGCTAAGCCTTTGATCTGTCCATTTCTTGATTTGTCAACACTTCTGTAGGTGTGTGGTTGTACATAATGTTTAAAAAATGTTTTAAAAAGAGATAACTTGTAATCCCAGCACTTTGGGAGGCCAAAGCAGGCAGATCACGAGGTCAAGAGATCAAGACCATCCTGGCCAACATGATGAAACCCTATCTCTACTGAAAAAAAAAAAAGTACAAAAATTAGCTGGGCATGGTGGTGCATGCCTGTAGTCCCAGCTACTCAGGAGGCTGAGGCAGGAGAATGGTATGAACCTGGGAGGCAGAGCTTGCGGTGAGCCAAGATCGCGCCACTGCACTCCAGCCTGGGCAACAGAGTAAGACTCCGTCTCAAAACAAACAAACAAACAAACAAAAAACAACAACTCTGATCCCCGGATGCTTGGGGAGACTGATTTGAGTAATAATAAAACTCCGGTCTCCCACACAGCTGGCTCTGCGTGAATTACTCTTTTGCCATTGCAATTCCCCTGTCTTGATAAATCAGCTCTGTCTAGGCAGCTGGTAAGGTGAACCCAGTGGGCAGTTACAGAACGCAAGGGATGCTGGCCAACTTCTTTGGTATAGCAAGCTCTGAATAAATTGCCTTTGCCTGTTCTTATTTGGGTAGTCTCCATTTGTTTCCACAAGTGACGACAATGGCATGACATCTGAAAGGGGAGTTGTTCTATATGGAAGGGGCACAGCCACCATCTGCATCACTGAAATACATTTCTGAGTCACTAACTATACTAATCATGCTTTCACCTCTGTGGACACATGATCTCAGCCATTATCTAACCGCTTCCACCAGTCCGCCTCAAGTTTAAGGAATATTGTAAATTGAATCCATGGTAAGGATTCTTGGGTACCACAGCAAATGATTCGTTCTTCTTTATCTATCCTCCTTTACCTGGATTCACTGACATTTCTCTTTCATAATTCATTCTCCTGCTCGTCCCTCTTTATAACCTTTCTGCATTCCAACCCTTTCCAAGCTTCTAGCCAATGTTCATTTTCCCTCTCTTACTTCCAAGGCCAGTCTTAGTCCCCAGCCCCAAACAAGGAATAAACTTTGGAAGAAGTTTCCAAAAACAGGCTTGGAATTTCCATCTGGGATATAGTATGTCTTAGGGAGATTCCATGGGAGGTCTATTCGTGATGGGTTCTGCAAAGAGGAAGAAAGAAGACCTATTTGACTTTGAAAAGCCTTGTTCCAACTGTGAGAGTCTGTAGCCTCCCGATTAGACAGAATGAAGGATGGAGTCCTGGCATTTACCCATTAAAGCAATGACGAGTAGGTCTAATTTGTGGTATCTCTAACTGATAGTTTGCATTTTAAGGTTAAGATATTTTATTGCTTCCAGATGGTCAGCTAACTTCCAGTCCGAAGAGCATTACTGCAGAGTTTAAGAATAGCTATGATGCAGAGAGAGATTTTAATTATCATGTAAAGGATCTAATTAAAAAGACACACAGTGGTCGGCTTTTCATGCGCTCAAGCCTATGAAAATCAGTAGTTTAAAAAATTACCTTAAGGAGGAAATTGGAAAATTATTCAATTTGGAGCAGAGATACTTGAAAAATTTCTCAAATTGGTGAACTAGAATTAGGTTAACTGCCTGTTTCTAGGTACCTTGATTTTCATGTTGTTCCTTCTATCCTGTTATATGGCACAGACTTGTGAAGGTTCCCTAAGTCTTTTTACTTGTTAGTTTATTTCCGGAAGGAATAAGGAAGATTCTCTCCAATCAGTCAATCAAGCAAGCAAGTAAGCAAGCAAGCAAGTGATCAGTTTCTTGGGCTCTGAACTAACTCTGGGTTCAGATCCTGATACTTCCATTTATTGCATGATGTTGGGCAAAGTACATACTCCCTATGAGCCTCATTTTCCTGATCTATAAAATGATAAGGTTTCTGGAGATTTCACAAGGCAATCAATGAAAGTTAGCTCTTGCTATCTGCAGAGTTTTAGAACCTGCACCTATTCACAGGTGACGGTGAGGACTCTATAGAAGACAGATGATTACTGGGGAAGATTCTACAGAGAGATACTCCGCATGTGCCCTGTCTTCTCTGTAACATCCTCTTCCTGATGCCTGAGCTGTGCAGCATACGAATATTTTGCAAGAAGAGCAGTGATGTTGGTAGAAGTTGTGGGACACAGAGTCCTGCTGGGGCCAACTGGGATCTTTGGAGTTAATGACTTAGAACCAGGAAGCTGCTGATGTGTGATACAGCGAGCTTGAATAGAAAATGTTTTTCCCACTTCCCTCCCTCCTTTCCCTCCCTCTCTCCTTCCCTCTTTTCTTCCTTCCTTTCTTCTTTCCCTCCCTCCCTCCCCTCTTTTTCCTTTCTTCTTTCCTTCCTTCCTTCTTGCCTTCCTGCCTACCTGCCTTCCTGCCTTCCTGCCTTCCTGCCTTTCTGCCATGTTCAGAAGTCAGACTTAAAAGAATAAGAAAAAGGTTTCTAGGCCATACCTCTTTTTTCCAAGAAAAAAAAAAAAAGCACAGAACACTAACTAAATGCAGCAGATGTCAGCCACATCCAGAAGTCCAGGCCAGTTCACCTAACTCTTGTGGACACTGAGGTTCTGATAATTAGTATAACTAGTTCTGATAACTAAGATAGGCCAAGTCACTCCCTGCTGCCAGTTACACAGAGGAGTGGGACTTGTGCCCAGAATGTATACAGAGCTCTAATGACTCAATAAAATAATAAATGATCTATAGAAAAATAGGAAAAGGATTTGAATAAATACTTCACAAAAGAAGATCTATGAATGACCTACAGGCACATGAGAAGGTGCTTTCCATAATTCATCATCAGGGAAAATGCAAACTAGAACCACAATGAGAAAACATTTCCTACTCACTAAAATGGCTAAAATGAAAAAGACTGATTTTACTAAGTACTGGTGAAGAGGTAGAAGAGCTGAATTTCTGATGTGTTGCTGATGGGAACACAGCAACTCTGGAAACCAGTTTAGGAGTTTCTTATGAAGTTAAATATAAAGGTACCATATGTTCTAGGAATTCTACTCCTAAGCATTTATTTACTTAAGAGAAATAAGGTGGGGCTCAGTGGCTTATGCCTGTAATCTCAGTACTTCGGGAGACTGAGGCGGGAGGATTGCTTGAGCCCAGGAGTTCCAGATCAGCCTGGGTAACAGTGAGACCCAGTATCTATTTAAAAGAAAAAAAAAGAGAGAAATAAAAACATACATCCATACAAAGGCTTATGTAGGAGTGTTCACAGCAGTTTTATTTCTACTAGCAAAAACTGGAAACAATCTAATGTCCATCAACATGCGAATAGATAATAAAATTGGAATATCTCCATAACATCCATAACATGGAATATTATTACTCAACATCAAAAAAGTATGGATTATTGGCTGGGTGTGGTGGCTCATGTCTGTAATCTCAGCCTTTTTGGGAGGCCGAGGTGGGTGAATCACTTGAGGTCGGGAGTTCAAGACCAGCCTGGCCAACATGATGGAATCCCTGTCTCTACTAAAAACACAAAACTTAGCTGGGTGTGGTGGCATGTGCCTGTAATCCCAGCTACTCGGGAGGCTAAGTCAGGAGATTCACTTGAACCCGGGAGGCAGAAATTGCAGTGACCCAAGATGGAGCCACTTCACCCCAGCCTGGGCAACAGAGCGAGACTCTGTCTCTAAAAAAAAAAAAAAAACAATGTGTGAACTATTGATAGATGTTACAATATGAATGAATCTCAAAATATTTTTTATTCTGAAAGAAAGAAGTCAGCCAAGAAAAAGTATCTATTGTATAAATGCATTTATACGGAAAGTAAATTAATGCTTTTCTGGGCCTGGAATTGGGAAAGATTGACTGCAGAGGGGCATGAGGGAAGTTTAGGGGATGATGAAAAGATTCTCTGTCTTGAAAGTGGAGGTCATATTTTGGTTGTTACATGAATGAATGTATTTGTGAAAACCCACTGAAATGTACACTTAGGTGCATTTTATTCTGTGTAAATTACACTTAGATAAAATTGATTTAAAAAAAAAAAACAGAGAAGGCTAACTCTAAAGCCAAACCAAGCTGGGTGCAGTGGCTCATGCCTATGATCCCAGTGCTTCAGGAGGCTGAGGCAGGAGGATTGCTTGAGGCTAGGAGTTCAAGACCAGTCTAGGCAATATAGCAGGATCCCATCTCTACAAAACAAAACAAGAAACCAAAAACACTTTTCCAGGCATGGTGGCATGTGCCTGTGGTCTCCTAATCGGGAGACTGAAGTGGGGGAATTGCTTGAACCCAGGAGTTCAAGGCTGTAAACAGCTATGATAATGTCACTGCACTCCAGCCTGGATGACAGAGCAGACTCTGTCTCTAAAAAAACAAACTTAAAATCCAAACCAAAAACACAACCACAGTTTTTTTTTTTTTTGAGACGGAGTCTCGCTCTTCGCCCAGGCCGGACTGCAGTGGCACTATCTTGGCTCACTGCAAGCTCCGCCTCCTGGGTTCATGCCATTCTCCTGCCTCAGCCTCCTGAGTAACTGGGACTACAGGTGCCCACCACTGCACCTGGCTAATTTTTTGTATTTTTAGTAGAGACGGGGTTTCACAGTGTTAGCCAGGATGGTCTCGATCTCCTGACCCCCTGATCCGCCCGCCTTGGCCTCCCAAAGTGCTGGGATTACAGGTGTGAGCCACCACGCCCGGCCAATCACAGTTATGTTAAAGACTTCTGAATGGGCTGAAGAATTACTATGGACCTGTAACCAAAACTCATAGGAGGAAGGAAACTCAACTGAGCCAAATGAGAAATTTTCATGGTTTCTTCAGGAAGAATTTCTTTCTTTTTTTCTCTTTTTCTCCAGAGGAATTTCCCATCTATAGTGGTTTACAGACAGCTGTGTTTCTCCAACCACGTTTGTGGTCTGGCTGGTGAAGACTGAAGGACAGATCGTGGTTACATGGTTCTATGTAAAATGACATTGATCACGTTGAGAATAAAACTAAGTTTCTTGTAAGTGGCAGATGATAATGGAAGATTAGGGGTTTCTGGACTCAGAAAATGCCAGTGAATATGCTTTCATAAGTCTATACTGAGACAGGAATGTTCTAAGATTGGTGATGATATTATACATGTGAAGGCACAGGGCAGATATTTTGCTGTTGGCTTCATGGATCCCCATAAAGAAAATCTTGCTGTGAATTCTCTGCTGTATAGAGCACATGTGGGTTTTCTCCTCCTATGAGATTCAAATATCACCTTTATTTTTTGTATATAGAAATAAAAGTCTGTACATGCAACCGCAGACACAAACCAAATTCCAGTGGAAATACTCTGTATTTCAGGCTGAAGAACATAAAACAAGGACCACGGTGGTCAGCCTTGTGACCCATCTAGTCCAGAGACCGGTCTTTTATTTCTTCAGTTCATGAATTCATTGGCTTATTCAGCCAACATTCATAGTGAAGCTACTATGTGCTCAGTGTTGAAGACACAGAATGTGGCTTCTTTCTTTTTTTTTTTCCTTGAGACACAGTTTCACTTTGTCCCCCAAGCTGGAGTGCAGTGGTGTGTTCTCAGCTCACTGCAACCTCCACCTCCTGGCTTCAAGGACCTCTCGTGCCTCAGCTTCCCAAGTAGCTGGGGTTCAGGCACAGGCCAACATGCCTGGCTAATTTTTGTATTTTTAGCAGAGACGGGGTTTTGCCATATTGGCTAGGCTGGTCTCAAACCCCTGACCTCAAGTGATCTGCCCACCTTGGCCTCCCAAAGTGCTGGGATTACAGGCGTGGGCCACAGTGCCTGGTCCAGAATGTGCTTTCTGACTTTTAAGTCTCTCACAGCCCACTGGGTAACACAATAAACAAATAATTACAATGCAATATGACAATCTAGGTGAGCATCCATAATGTTTTGAGAATGCACACAGGGAGTAATTTACACAACCTAGGGAATTAGGAGAGATTTTGCGTGCACGCGCACACGTGCACACACACACACACACACACACGCATGCACGTATGCACGCACACAGAGATGCCCAAGTCCAGTTTGGTAAGAAATCGTTGGCCTTCAACATTTTCTCAAACAATCCATGATGAACATATCATCCATGGATTTCTTTAAACCAACATAAGGCTGAAAATAACAAACAAAAGAAATAAGTAAAAGAGAAAAGTTGCTTCGTATGTTTCTTCTAGTTCTGTGATAAAAAGGATGTATCATCATATTTCCTTTATCCTACTAATGCAAAACCCATCTTCTGGATATGAAAAAAGAAAATAGCATGTTGGTATAATTTTTTTATTCTTCTACTTTTCTTTTTTTTTTCAGTCGGAGTCTCACTCTGTTGCCCAGGCTGGAGTGCAGTGGCTCAACCTTGGCTCATGGCAACCTCTGCCTCCCAGGTTCAAGTGATTCTTCTGCCTCAGCCTCCTGAGTAGCTGGGATTATAGGCACCCATCACCACGCCCGGCTGATTTTTGTATTTTTAGTAGAGACGGGGTTTTGCCATGTTGGCCGGACTGGTCCTGAACTCCTGACCAGGTGGGTGTGATCTGCCCACCTCTGCCTCCCAAAGTGCTGGGATTACAGGCGTGAGCCACTGCACCTGGCCCATCTAATTTATTAATGTATATGGATGTATTTACTGGTTGCTATTATGCAATTATGCAGATACATTTCCCCCCAGATCCACAAGATACTTGGATTTGGTTACCTAATTCTTGATTTCCATTCTTTGTCCTGACTTTTTTTCCTTTGAGATAGCTTCAACCTACTTGTCCTAGGCAAAAAAGATCAATAAGAAAAAATGTCATTTGCGATTTTTTTAATGACATTATGAAAATGCAGTTTAATAATACAGCACTCTGGGCTGATTGTGTAATGAGAAGGAGAGGAAAGCCTTTATTTCTTGCTCCTTGATTTGAATCCAAACCAGGTTGGTGTCCAATCCTCTGAGAAACCTATGGTGTCAGCCTCTACGCCCTGCTTTCTCCAAGGGATCTCTGTCCTCCCAGTTGTGGGTGTGTGATGTCTACCCACTTCAAGCCATACCCAGGCTCAACCCCATTCCCTGGTCTGAGAGTCAGCTTGGCCTCAGTCAGCAGGACGCTTAGACTCAGGGAGATAGGATATACAGTGTTTACAGGCTCAGCATCTGCTGGGCCCGGCTGCTGATCCAGCTCTGACCACATGGCCCAAGCTCAAGGCTGCCCTTGAACCCTCATTCTCTCTCTGGTTCCCTGTATCCAGGCCAATTCCTCAATCCTCTGCTTGGTAGCCATTAGTTAGGTGCCAGCTATTTCATTGTCAATGTCCTCTCCTGGGTCCCTGTACCCCCAACCTGTGGCTTCCTCTGTGGCCTGAGGACAGAGCAAACTGGTATGAATAAGATCCCTGTGTATCTCCTACCCTCAGGTGATCTGGCACTCAGTTTCCCGTTGCTGGGCCTCTCACCTATTGTTGCTCCTTGAATGTCACCTTTCACCTGCCCACCTGGGCTGTTTCCATCACCTCCTATTGGTTTTGCCTCCATCCCCAGTGCCTGCTGTCCTGCCCTCCTACCTCCCACAGTGCCCTGTGGACACCATCCCCTGAACGACACCCAGCCACACCTACACCTAGCAGCCCACCTTCGGTCTATCTCATCTTCCTGTGGTTGGATCTCCCATATATAGTGAAGATAAAAAATGGTCATTTGCAAGACTTTCCTCATTTGCTCTACGGCAGTATTTGCTAAAGTGTGGCGTCCATACCTCTGACGCCATCAGGGACGTCTATGGATGGGCATGTTTTGTAAAAAAGTTAATCACTTAATGTACATTATGAGCAAATATAGCTTGCTTTCTCCCTCCTTCCTTTCTTTCTTTCTTTTTCTTTCTTTCTTTCTTTTTCTTTTCTCTTTCTTTCTCCCTTCCCTTCCCTTCCTTCCTTCCTCCCTTCCTTTCTCTTTTTCTCTCTTTCTCTCTCTCTTTCTATTTTTGGACAGAGTCTTGCTCTGTCACCAGGCTGGAGTGTAGTGGCATGATCTTGGCTCACTGCAACCTCCGCCTCCCAGGTTCAAGCAATTCTCCTACCTCAGCCTCCCGAGTAGCTGGGATCACAGGCATGTGCCGCCACTGTCAGCTAATTTTTGTATTTTTAGTAGAGACAGGGTTTCACCATGTTGGCCAGGATGGTCTCAATCTCCTGACCTCATGATCTGCCCACCTCAGCCTCCCAAAGTGCTGGGATTACAGGCATGAACCACCACGCCCAGCCAAAATATAGCTTTCAAAACAAACCAGCGAGAAAGGCATCAGCCCACTCTGGTTCAGAACTCAAACTCAGACTTCCCGGTTCAAAGCCTGGTTCTTCAGCAAGCAACTAAACGTCTCCATGCCTCAATTCCCTAATTTGTTAAATGGGCATGATAATAATGGTACCTACCTTATAGAATTCTTGGGAGGACAAAAATAATTTCATGCACGTGAAGCCTTCAATAAGTTAAAACAAAGCATGAGGCATAGTAAGCATCTAATGATATTTGCTTTATTACTTTGTGAATATATAGCTAATTGAAAAGAGGAGTGAGCTTTTTTAATTAAAAAATGGGGCTGGGCATGATGGCTCATGCCTGTAATCCCAGCACTTTGGGAGGCCAAGGCCAAGAGTTTGAGACCAGCCTGGTCAACATAGTGAGACCCCATCTCTAAAAAAAAAGAAAGCAGATAATAGTACAGTTGGTACTTACACATTAAGAGATTGATAAATATACCCATTAGGGAAGGCTAAGCTGCTGTAACAAACAGATTGCTCAAATTCAGTAGCTTAATGTACAAGAAGTTTATTATTTTCTTAACGGTATAGGATAAGTATTTCTGGTTAGCAAGTGGTTTTCCTCCATGCGGTATCTCAGGGCCCCAGGATACCTTTGTCTTGTCATCATCATCTGCATGCTCAAGGCTGGGTTTCAACTTTCAGATTCTAGCACACAGAAAAGGGGAAAAGAAGAACTTGAAAGAGGCCTAGAGATATCTGAAAGCTTCTAACCCAGACAGCTCACATTTGACTATAACTTAGTTATACGTTCACTCCTAACAACAAGGGAGACTGGGAAAAGAAGTCCAGCATGTCCCAGGCTTGGATGCACAGGTAGGTAACTCAATGTAAATGAATGAAGTTTGGGAAATACTGGTTTCGAAGTGTGTGGCAGGATTCTTCTTAGGGGCAGGGCCAAGGAGCAAGATAGCAGGAAAGGCTTCCCCATGACAGGCAAGGGCCGGTGAATTTTAGGCCCACTGATACTTAATATTGAATTTTACTTTTCCCCATTCTCCATTGTAATTCCCTGACACACTCTGCTCTTACATAAAATCTGTTAACATACAACTTGCTTGGAGGTGCCTGGGGCAGGAAGAATGGAATTTGACAGAATAATCCCCACCGCAAAGATGTCATTACTGTAATACCCAAGAACCTATGAATATACAGTGTTAGCTTACATGGCAAAAGGGACTTTGCAGATGTGATTAAAACTAAAGACCATGAGATGGGAGATTATCCTAGATTATCCAGGTGGACCCAATCTAATCACACGAGTCTTCAGCAGTGGAGAATCTTTTCTGGTTGTGATCAGAGAACCGGAGACATGGCAGCGTGAGAAAATTACAGCCTGACATAGTTTGCTTTGAAGACGGAGAAAGGGGTCATGAGCCAAGCACAGTGGGAAGCTTCAAGAAGCCAGAAAAGGGAAGAAAAGATTGTTCCCTGGAACTTCCAGAAAGGAGTGTAATTCTGACAACACCTTGATCCTAGCCCAATGCCATCTGTGTTGGATTTCTGACCTCCAGAACTGTCAGATAACAAATTTATGCAGTTTTAAGCCACTGAGTTGGTGGTAATTTTTCACAGGAACTACAGAGAACTAATATAGGAACCTACGTCCCTGGTTGAGAAGAAATGTTAGTGAGGACTGGGCTTGGTGGCTCATGCCTATAATCCCGGTGTTTTGGAAAGCCCAGGCTGGAGAATTACTTGAGGACAGGAGTTTCAGCCCAGCCTGGGCAATACAGCAAGAACCCATCTCTACAACATAAATAAATAAATAAACAAATAAATAAATAATTAGCTGGGCATGGTGGCACATGCCTGTAGTCTCAGCTACTCGGGAGGCTGAGGCAGGAGGATTGCTTGAGTCCAGTAGGTCAAGGCTGCATAAGCTATGATCATACCACTGCATTCTAGCCTGGGTGACAGAGGGAGACCCTGTCTCAAAAAAAATGTTAATGAAGGGAGATGAAGACATGGACAAATGTTGACCAGGTGACCAAAAGTTCTATGGAGCCCAGCGTAGCAACCAGAGTTAGGTGGCTTCCAATCTAGATGAGCTAGATGAGCAACCCAGAGAATCTCTCCCTTGGAAGTACTTGGAGAGGGCACTGGACTTCCCGTAGCAGCTGAGATGGAGGATATTAAATGGAAGGGTAGCCCATGAGCCTGGGGAACTTGAGGATGATCCATTTACATGTTCTTGGCTATGAATTAAGTTAAAGATGGCCAAGGTAAAATCCCACAAACTTTTATTTATCCCAGAAATTCTACCTGTGCCATGAAAACTCCAGTAATCTTGCTCATTTCCAAAGCTCTTGCAGAATGCTATGGGCTATTCTGAGTGAGCTGTTAAAATTATGCTTCCCTGGGTGTTTTCTCCAAACAAGTTGTCCCATTCAGCAAAAATAACTCAAGAAGCTGTAGTTTCAAAGACTACCTCCTGAGGCTTTGTGAAACCACCCAGGGTAGCTGGCCTTGAGGCTAAGTCACCACCCATTACAGAGAGGTAGTTCTCCCCTATCAACTAGCAAATATAGAATGAGAAAGGCATTGAGGGTAAACAAATATGCATTTATTACAACTTTGGTGTGTAGGTGATTGGATATCTGGTTGTGACAAAGGAAGTGAAATGGAGCAGAGATCCCCCTTTTTAGGGCCCTGCACTGTCCCCCTAGAAACCTGGACTCCACCCAGAAACCTTTTCAGAAATCTGGACCCGACCTGGACCCCACCAAATGAATCCACTGACAAGCAGACTTCAGGTAAGAGGAAACTCAAGACTGAACTCTAACCACCATTCTTTTTTCTAAATTTCTTCCTGAGGGGCCTGAAGAAGGTCACGTCCACGAGCCAGAGCTAACGTTTTTTTTCTGCTGATCCCAAATTTTTAGACATAACTTGCTTTCTGAATCAATCACAAATCAGAAAGTCTTTGAATCTGCCTATAACCTGTAAGCCCTCACTTCAAGATATTCCACTCTTTTATACCAAAACCAATGTGTAAGCTCCACAATTTTGCCTGTAGCTTCTGCTTTCCTGAAATTTACCCTGCCTTTATTTTATTTTATTTTATTTTATTTTATTTTAGGAGACGGAGTTTCGCTCTTGTTGCCCAGGCTGGAGTGCAATGGTGCGATCTCGGCTCACTGCAACCTCCACCTCCTGAGTTTAAGTGATTCTCCTGCCTCAGCCTCCAGAGTAGCTGGGACTACAGGCACCCACCACCATGCCCGACTAGTTTTTTTTTTTTTTTCAGTAGAGATGGGGTTTCACCATGTTGTCCAGGCTGGTCTCAAACTCCTGACCTCAAGTGATCCACCCACCTCTGCCTCCCAAAGTGATGGGATTACAGGAGTGAGCCACCGTGCCCAGCCAACCCATGCCTTTAAAAACCCTTACCTGTGAGCCATCGGGGAGGTCTGGTCTTAAACATGAGCTGCCCTGATTCTCCCTGCTTGATGCTGTGCAAATAAATGACTTCCCTTCCACCGCTGGAAAAACCTCCGTTGGAAGTCTGGACCTTACTGCATTGAGTTAGCAGACTCCCATTTAGGTTTTGTAACAGAAGGTGTATCTAGAACACTCACAAGCAGAGTTCTAGACCTTTAAAAAGAGGATGGAATCAGTGGCTAAACAAATAAATGCCTCCAGCTCGTGACCCTGAACATCCATATTTATTCTTGTCAACTGAGAGCAGGACTTGCCAGGCAGGACCAGAATTGCATGGGCACTGAGTGCAGTCAGGGGGTGTGGGTGAGTATGGAGGGCCCTCCGTAGCTGTTCCCCTTGTGAGTGATGTTCCTTTGAGGTTTGAACCCTGGTCATCCCCTGTCGTTCCCAGATGCCCCACTCAGGCCTGAGTCCTGCTGAGCAGGGTCAGGCCGACACTGCATCTGTGTGGCCTGTGACAGTGACAGCTCAGTCTCTCGGCCTCTCCACACACTCACCCCAAAGCAAGCACTGATCCTATTAAGGGTTTATTCATAGCAACAACAGGAAATGGAGAGGCAGTGAAAAGTCAGTGAAAAGTCACCTCCTGTGTTCCTCCTTTTTCCTTTTTCCACTTAGAATCCTTAAAGACAGGCAGTCTTCCGGTTCTACAAACCTTTAATACATTTAGAAAAGATACACAGATTGAGTAAAGTAGAGGTTTGCCCCTGAGAAGGACTGGAGTGAGGCTCATCTACATTTCAGATCTTTCTTTACTTTTCTTTTCTTTTCTTTTTTTGACATCAAGGCTTGCTCTGTTGACTAGGCTGGAGTGCAGTGGCACAATCTCAGCTCACTGCAACCCCCACCTCCTGGGTTCAAGCAATTCTCCTGCCTCAGCCTCCTGAGTAGCTGAGACTACAGGTGCCCACCACCACACCCAGCTAAGTTTTGTATTTTTAGTAGAGATGGGGTTTCACCATGTTGTCCAGGCTGGTCTCAAACTCCTGGACTCCACCCGCCTCGGCTTCCCAAGGTGCTGGGATTACAGGTGTGACCACCGTGTCCGGCCTCAGAAGACCTTTCCTAGGCCAAGGCATTGCCAGGCAGGTGGGCCTTGGGAGGAGTGTCTGGGATGCTGAATTAAGACAGAGATGGGGACTGGGAACAGAAAGGAGGGAAAGGGTGTTCCCCAAGGCAGCTGGTTGGATTAGATCCCCTGAAGTTCGATGACAGGACAACAGGACAGGCACAGAAGAGCCCATCCTTCAGGGGTAGGCCTCATTGTTTCTCCTAGCTACAATTTATTTATCATTTATTTATTTATTTATTATTTATTTTGAGACGGAGTCTTGCTCTGTCACCCAGGCTGGAGTGCAGTGGCACAATCTTGGCTCGGCTCACTGCAAGCTCTGCCTCCCGGGTTCACGCCATTCTCCTGCCTCAGCCTCCCGAGTTGCTGGGACTACAGGCACCCGCCACCACGCCCAGCTAATTTTTTGTATTTTTAGTAGAGGCGGGGTTTCACCATGTTAGCCAGGATGGTCTCGATCTCCTCACCTCGTGATCCGCCTGCCTCGGCCTCCCAAAGTGCTGGGATTACAGGCATGAGCCACCGCACCTAGCCCTAGCTACAATTTAATAACGTTAACATTATGATTTATTTACCATTTGTCTTTCCTGGTAGACAATAAGCCCCATGGGGGCAGGAAACATGTACCCACCCTGCCCTGCACAGAACAGCACATTGTAAGCCCTCATTAAGAGTTCAGTGGATGAATAGTCACTTAGTAGATTTTAGATACATTGTAGATGATTTCTAGACAAACAGTTGCACGTGTTAGGAGCTCTTTGATAGGGCTCTGCAGAGGAGTGGGATTTTAAACTGGGCCTTAAGAGGGTCTGGTTAAAGGGAATCCAACAGTAGAAAGGATGTATCTTAATGAAAATACAACCCCAGGGCTGCTATGCAACTTGGCTAGTAGGCTTCAATTGCTTTTTCATGGTGGATCTTATCAGGAAAAGACGTGAAACATGCACACCTGTTACATGTATATTTATTTAAAAATTATTTACATGCATGACTGCTTGTATTAGTTGCATATACTAGAAGACAGAAGCTCCAATATTTTCTTCCTGTATCCCAGTGGGTTGTCTTATATCCACACTTTTTTTTTGTTGTTTTTGAGACAGAGTCTTGCTCTGTCGCCCAGGAGGGCAGGTGCAATCTCAGCTCACTGCAACCTCTGACTCTCTGAGTTCAAGTGATTCTCTTGCTTAGCATCCTGTGTAGCTGAGACTACAGGTGCACACCACCACATCCTGCTCATTTTTTGTATGTTTTCAGTAGAGATGTGGTTCACCATGTTGGCCAGGGTGGTCTCAAACTCCTGACCTCAAGAGATCCGCCCGCCTTGGCCTCCCAAAATGCTGGGATTACAGGCATGAGCCACTGTGCCCGGCCTTGTACCTACACTTTGCAAGCCACTCGTGCTGGCTGATGACATCTTGGTCAGAGAAAGTGACGTGGGGTACAGGGGGCATGGCCTAAGTCTCAAAGGCAAGTGGATTCTGATGCTTGTTTTCACCAACTACTGGCCTTTCTCATTTGCAGTACTTTTTTTTGTCTTTTTTAGAGTGAGTGTCTCACTCTGTTGCCCAGGCTGGAGTGCAGTGGTGCAATCATAGCTCACTACAGCCTTAAACTCTTGGTCTCAAGTGATCATTCTGCCTCAGCCTCCAAGCAGCTGAGATTACAGGAGTGTGCCACTATGCCCGGCTAAAGTTTTTATTTTCATTTTTGCAGAGATGGGGTCTTGCTATGTTGCTCAGTCTGGTCTTTTTTTTTTTTTAATCTTTTCTTTTTTTGAGGAAGAGTCTTGCTCTGTCTCCCAGGCTGGAGTGCAGTGGCAAGATCTTGGCTCACCTCTGAATCCTGGGTTCAAGCAATTCTCCTGCCTCAGCCTCCCATGTAGCTGGGACTACAGGTATGTGCCACCATGCCTGGCTAATTTTCTGTATTTTTAGTAGAGATGGGGTTTCACCATGTTGGGCAGGCTGGTCTCGAACTCCCGACCTCAAGTGATCCGCCCACTTTGGCCTCCCAAAGTGCTGGGATTACAGGCGTGAGCCACCGGATTCAGCCTCAGACTGGTCTTGAATTTCCACCCTCAATAGATTCTCCCGCCTCAGCCTCCCAAAGTGCTTAGACTGCAGGCGTGAGCCACTATGCCTGGCCAACTGTAGTAATTTTAATAGTTAACTATTGTAACTATTGTAGTATTGTAGCCAATTGTAGTAATTAATAGTTAATAACAACATTAACTATTAGGTTGGTGCAACAGTAATTGTGGCTTTTGCCATTAAAAGTGATGACAAAACCCACAATTACTGTTGCACCAACGTAATAATACTTATTGAGTGCAGAAAGGCTGAAATTCTAACAGACAATGGCTAGGCCATATGTGACAATAGAACTCTGACCGGAAGACCGGGAATGGTGGCTCACGCTTGTACTCCCAGCACGTTGGGAGGCCGAGGCGGGTGGATCTCTTGAGTCCAGGAGTTTGAGGCCAGCCTGGGCAACACAGGGAAACCCACCTCTACTAAAAATACAAAAATTAGTTGGGCACAGTGGTGTGCACCTGTGATCCTAGCTACTCGGGAGGCTGAGGTGGGAGATCCCTTGAGCATAGGAGGTTGAGGCTGCAGTCAGCCGAGACTGTGCTACTGCACTCCAGCCTGGGCAACAGAGTAAGACCCCGTCTCAAAAAAAAAAAAAAAAAAAAAAAAGAACTCTGACTTGAAACATCTGCCGCAAGTGGCTCAACATGGCCAGGACATGGCTGCCAGCTTCTCAGATTTTTGCCCAATTTTCAATTTTGAACCAACCAAAGAAAGTGAAATATGTCCTCCTCACTGATCACATGGAAACCCTGCTTCTAAGTTAGCCCACCTCCCGCTTCCCCAGACCAGCGGCCTTCAGTCAGGGTGCACTTGTCCCTTTCACGCCCCAGAAGCTTTTCTTTTTCTTTTCTTTCTTTCTTTTTTTTTTTTTTTTTTTGAGATGGAAACTCACTCTGTCGCCCAGGCTGGAGTGCAGTAGGGCGATCTTGGCCCACCGCAACCTCTGTCTCCTGGGTTCAAGTAATTCTTTTGCTTCAGCTTCCCTAGTAGCTGGGAGGTGTCCCACCACGCCCAGCTAATTTTTGCATTTTTAGCAGAGACAAGATTTCACCATGTTAGCCAGGCTGGTCTCGAACTCCTGACCTCAGGTGATCTGCCCACCTTGGCCTCTCAAAGTGCTGGGATTTCAGGCGTGAGCCACCTCGCTCAGCCCCTAGAAGTTTTTCTTTTCTTTCCTCTGCCTGCCTTTGAGTTTCTACCACATGCAAGGAATGATGGCTGACTCCCTTGCAATAGCAAGCTCAGAATAGACAGCCTTTGCTTGTCCTCACTTGGGTGGTCTTTGTTTATTTCCATGGTGCTTATTAGATGCCTAGCACTGAGCTAAGCAATTTACACATATTAGCTCATTTATGCTTGCAACTTCAAGAGGTAATATTATGGATATTATTCCTGTTTGACAGCTAGAAAAATAAAAATGGGTAATGCCCAGAGAAGTGAGGTAATTTGCTCAAGGTCACACAGCAGATTCAATGGTGAGGCTAGGCTGATGCATGTACAATGCCTGACACACAATACCTAGGCACTGAGCACAGTCAGCACAGCTTGGTCTCTCCCTGTTTACTTATCTCCCGTGTAAGCTCCCCACCACTGCTACACTGTGAATTCTTGAAGCGGGGAGGTAGATTCATGTCTTTTTGTTTCCTCCTTTAAAAAATCTGTAGCTGGGCGCGGTGGCTCACTCCTGTAATCCCAGCACTTTGGGAGGCTGAGGTGGGCAAATCACCTGAGGTCAGGAGTTCAAGACCAGCCTGACCAACATGGAGAAACCCTGTCTCTATAAAAAAAAAAAAATACAAAAATTAGCCTGGTGTGGTGGCATGTGCCTGTAATCTCAGCCACTCGGGATGCTGAGACAGAAGAATCGCTTGAACCTGGGAGGCGGAGGTTGTGGTGAGCCGAGATCATGCCATTGCACTCCAGCCTGGGCGACAAGAGAGAAACTCCGTCCAAAAAACAAAACAAAACAAAATAAAAAACACCCTGCAGGTAGGAGGCCATAATCCTAAGAGGATTAACGCAGGAACAGAAAACCAATTACTGCATGTTTTCACTTATAAGCGGGCACTAGACATTGAGTATGTGTGGACATCAAGATGGGGACAATGGACACTGGGGCTACTACAAGGGGGGTGGGGGGGAAATGGATTGAAAAACTACCAGCCGGGCACAGTGGCTCACTCTTGTAATCTCAGCACTTTGGGAGGCCGAGGCAGGCAGATCACCTGAGGTCAGAAGTTCGAGACCTGCCTGGCCAACATGGCGAAATCCCATCTCTATTAAAAATGCAAAAATTAGCCAGGCGTGGTGGCCCTGCCTGTAATCCCAGCTACTTGGGAGGCTGAGGCAGGAGAATCGGTTGAACCCAGGAGGTGGAGGTTGCAGTGAACCCAGATCGTGCCACTGCACTCCAGCCTGGGCAACGGCAAGACTTCTCTCAAAAAAAAAAAAAAAAGAAAGAAAGAAAGAAAGAAAACTACCTATTGGTTCTATTGGTTACTATGCTCATTAGTACCTGGGTGACAGAATCCGTACCCCAAACCTTAGCATCACACAATATACTCATGTAACAAACCTGCACGTATACCCTCTGTGTCTAAAATGAAAGTTGAAATTATAACAACCAAAACTCCAGTATCTTTTGCAATGCTCAGGGTTTTATGAGAGTGAAGGCTTTGCCTCGCGAATTCTAGCAAGAGTAAATGAGTTGGCCAAACCTCTGTAGAGAGATGAGTCCCTGGTTTCCCTTGGCGAAACTCCAAGTATTTTAACTCCTGTTATGGACTCAGATGAGATGCGATACATTTTTAACAGACAAACAAAGGGGACAGAGTCATGTCAAAGGCATATGTTATTTGAACCATGGTTGAGTGAAAAATGTATTTGAAATAAAAAATCCTTGCACAGAAATACCATTGGTCTCTTTCCTTTCAGTTTGCTCAACCAACCAACCAAAGAAACTCTTTTGATAAAGCTTTTGTAGTTAAACTGAGTTTTATGACTGGGAATGGTTTTGGGTGCCATCCAAGATAAATTTCTTCTTTTAAAGTCAAGAACAGATTTATTCTTTGGTGACCGAAATGGGACTGGAACCCAGACCTTATGGCGAGCAGACCACACAGCCACTGAAGTGTAGTTTTGTTGGTTTCAGAAGCAGCTGGTATATAATAAACGTTTAGTTGATTATGTTTTTGCATATATAACATGCTAGGCAGGTCCTTAAACTTTTAGGGTCATTGACTATGTTGAGAATCTGATGAAACTTACAGGTCTTTTCCCCAGAAAAATGTCTATGTAACATGCAGATACACTTTTTCATCTGATTGAGAGCTATTCATGAACTCCTGAAGTCTAGCTAGGGTGTCTCTAGGGAGAGGAGCTGGCTAGGGACATGGAATAGAGCTTTTCAGTAGAATCGAAGGCCCAGGTAAGGTTAGACACCACCAATTGGAAATGCCTGCAGGCTTTGAGATGATGTGGTTTTTCCCTGGGTACACTTGCTCTTGCCTTTGTCCTTGGGTTGAGAAAGAAGAAGGTGAAATTGATTCAGAGTTGGGGATTGCTAGGCTGGGGCAGTGGAAAAATATGATATACATGTGCATGATCCTTAATAGCAGGCCCTATTAGGAATGTGTTTGAAATAAATGACTAACCATGAACTCCAGAAAGAGGAGGGAAGGAACTCCAGAGGGGATAGAGAGGCATGGACACCTGGGAAGGAGAAGGAAGTTGTTGGCTGGAGAATATGTTTGTTTGGAGTTGAGAATGGGAGAGGTAAAAAGCTAGGGAACAGTAATAACAGGCTGGGATTTTAGTGCAGGATTGCAGGAGTGGAAGGCTCCTCTGTGAATACAGGGTTCAGGATGAGGCCATGACAGTGGGTCACTCATTGAGTAGTGTCCAGTGTCATTTTTGAACACAGAAGCTGCCCAGAATGCGTGCAGGAGCTGAGAGGAGGCTCCTGGAGGATGCATGATAAAGCCAAAAGTTAATTTGCATCAGGGACCTCTCTGGCTTTAGAGAAAGCACAGAAATCTCTCTGAAATTGAAATTTGCCTGGAAACTTCTCGATTACTCTGAGGCTGTTTCCTCTACTTTGTTTCCTGTCTTCCACTCCCAAATATGCACACGCTTGAGAGTCAGCCTCAAGCACATACTTAGAGCCACTTACTGCTTCTCGGGCACCCTAGCCCAATGCCTCAGCCTCCCTGGCTTCAGTCCTGCGGCTGAGTGAATGTTCAAAAATTATTTTTGCAGAAGCTTCCATTGATTGTGCTAGCTCCATCTGTAGTGTGGTTATAATAACACCCAACTCAACTGGATACTCCATGAGATGCTCAGTAACCCAAGTTTCTTCCCACACAGCCTCTCTCTTGCCTAACATGTGTGGCTAAAAATCATCCCTTGGGCCTTTTTAACTGTTTTGTGTCCACTTTCAGGTAGATTTTACAAAGCATGCGCCCTGAGGACCCGATTGCACCCAGGCAGAGAATTCCAAGGGAATGAAATAAAAAGACTATTTTTTTGCATATACATTTCTATGTTAAAAATCAAAACTTAAAATAATACACAGGCAAAAACAAAACAAGAAACCAAGCCCCAGAAAAAACCAAAACAACCGCAAAAACAAAAACAAAAACTTTAATGAGATCAAAATGATGAGGGGAAAACGATCAGCTCCATTTAGCTTTGCTGCCCGATTTTTATTAGTTGGCGGCCTGATTTCTATTTTAGACCCAAGGAATTAAATGGATCAACCGGGGTGGGGGGGCGTTGAATTCCAGTATTTCGAGTTCCTGGGTTTTGGGAAGAGGAAGAGGTAGTGGAAAACCAGGAGCCAAATGAATATGCTTCTTATAATAAAATTTGAACAGAGCAGCGGGTGGGCCTAGAAGCAGTGACTGGGGAGGTTAGAATTCTTGCACGCAGAGAACCCCCCCAAGCCCGCTCACGCCCGGCCTGGCTCCGAAGGTCTCAGAATCCGAGCCTCCAGGCCAGATTTTCCCTCTAGCCATTCCTGGCCACGCAGCGCGGAGCCGCGAGCACACAGAAAAGGATGTCTTCATCGCCAACCGGGATGGAACGAACCCGCCCGCTCAGGGAGTACTGAGAACTAAAGGGTCCCTCCAGCGCCGGCCGCAGCCAGCATGCCTTGACTGCCTCCATCCCGCGCGGTCCCCACTCTCCAGAAGCCCCCGCCCTGCCCGGGTGCGCGCGCGCACGAGTCGGCGAACCGGGGAGCTGTGCGCTCGGCAGCCTGCGGGCGGCGGCGGCGGCCGCCGACAGCCTCTCGGGGACAGGGTGGCGAAGAGCGGCGGAGGAGGAGCTGGCGCCGCCGCCGCTCCCCTCGGGCCGCGCCCCGCCCTCCGCCGCCACCTGCGCGTCCCCTCCGGGCTCCTCAGCTCCGGGGCTGTGTGGCTCTCGGTGCCGCAGCGGCGGTGTCACCGCGTCCGCCAATTGGGAGACTCGGCGTTTTGGCTCCCGGGGGCGCGGGACGAGCCGCGCGGCCGGATCTGGCGAGCGGAGGGTGATTCGGCACGCGTACCTCCCCGCCGCGCTGCCCGCGACGTTTTGGGAGGGGGTAGAGAACTGCTGTGACTTTTGAGGTCCGACTCCTTCCGGCCAGCCTCGCGACGCGCCAGCTCCGAGACAGGCCGGTGTGCCCTGAAGGCCCCGAAGGCTCTCGGCGCGGTTTGGGGGCTTGGAACGTGTCCGGGAGCCGGCGGCGCTGTGAGCGCTGGTGAGTTTGCCGGCGGGGTGGGGTGGACTCCGCGCGGGGGGCGGAGAGGACGTAGCGCTCGGCCCGGCGCCCGCCCCCTAGTGCTGCCCCCACTTTGAGAGTAATTGAGACTTGAGCGTGACTGCGGAGCCTGGAGGATGCGGGCTCCCCGAGCGGGCTTCCCCTCTGCCCGGCGCGATGGAGCGGGTCGGTGAGCGGAACAAAGGCGCCTGCCCGGGGGAGCGGGTCTTCCGCTGAAGAGCGCGGGTGGCGCGCCGCGACGGCCGCCTGCGGGCCAAGGTGGGAGGCTGTGCGGCCCCAGGCGCGGCGCGCTCCGCCGTGGGCGGGCGGCGATCCCTGAGTCCGGCACCTGTGCGCCGCTCCCTCTGTGCCTCCCGGGCAGCCCCGCCTGCCGGCCTCGGAGTCCGCGGCGCCGGCGGCTAGAGGTCCAGAGGCGAACCACTTGCTGGTGCAGAAGAGAAACCCTCAAATCCCTGGCCTTTCGCGGAGACGCCTGGACGGGGCCGTGCGCCGTGGACTGAGCAGGCGTCTCGGGGAGCACTTCTGCAGAGCGAGGACTTCCATGTGAGCGATTCCGTTCTCCCCACCACCAATCCGACCTCCCAGCCGTCTCCGCCGCCCGAGCATCCTTGAGGTGGGACGAGCAGGGGCTTGGATCCCTGCCGGCCGTCTGGTGTGTGAGGCTTGCACGGCCCCTGGCTGCCCCGCGCCTCGCCGGAGCCCGAGGGGGCGCAGGTCCGGGGCGAGGGCCGGCCGGGCTGTTTGATGGCTTCACTGAGAAGAGTCAAAGTGCTGTTGGTGTTGAACTTGATCGCGGTAGCCGGCTTCGTGCTCTTCCTGGCCAAGTGCCGGCCCATCGCGGTGCGCAGCGGAGACGCCTTCCACGAGATCCGGCCGCGCGCCGAGGTGGCCAACCTCAGCGCGCACAGCGCCAGCCCCATCCAGGATGCGGTCCTGAAGCGCCTGTCGCTGCTGGAGGACATCGTGTACCGGCAGCTGAATGGTAAGGACGCACGCCGGCGCCTCCGGGGCTCGACGCGGGCGGGCCGGGCACAGGGTGAGCCCCAGGGTCCTTGCGCGCTGCGCCCTGTGCCTGGGAGCCGGCACACCCTGGCTCCCGCGCGCTCCTTCTTACCCTTCCTGCCCCGTTTCGGGCAGATGGCCGGGGCTGCTGGAAAGAACAACTTGCCTGATTCTTTTCTGTGCCCCACCTGCAAATTTGGTTTTATCCTGGAAACATGTCAGTACAGTTGGCTCCCGGTCCCCGCGTGCGGACTGGAAATCATTCCCTGGCGACTCCAGCCCGAGCGCAGAAACTAGTGGAGGGGCCACATGGGACTGGAGGCGCGCGGGCAGACGTGTAGGAGGAAATAGTCTTAGAGCCCAGCGTTTGGTGGGGTACCAGTAGGGAACCTGGGAGATTGGAGGGCTTGGATGTCTGCAGACAAAGTCAAGGCCCCAGGTCGCGGAGCTAATGCGCTTAGGTAGTATATGGGAGGAATATGTCATCTGTCTATGAGGCGAGCTGCTCAGCTAAGAATGAGGACTCCTCCCTTCCTGCCGCCTGTGTTTCTCCTTGGGGGCTGCGGAGGGGCGATTGTTAAAGCTCAGGGTGGGCCTGCGAAGTTTCCAGAATGTAGCACAGAGAGATGTGGCATCCCATTAGTGACAGTTGTCTGAATCTGTCCCATCTAAAATGTTGTGCTCAGTACTTCAGGAGAAGAGGGAGACTTTTTATGTGCTCTTGTCACACCTGGGCCAGGTCATTGGACACTAGCTGTCCCCAACGTCAGAGTGAGTGTTACCTACCTGAGTACAGGCAGGTTTCCAGGATGCGTGGGGTTATCCAAGGCAGATACGTACTTAGGTACAGACTACCTCCTCCCTTTCTGAGCTTGTAACTCATGTTCTCAAACGAACTGCAGATAATCACGAAGATCGTGATAATAATAACTGATGGAATTCTTGCTCTGTGCCAGATGCGTGCAAAGACATTACAAGTACATTATCTCACTGTATGTTCACATCTGTCCAGCGAGGCTCCACCCATCCACAGAGGGGAAATGAGAAGACTAAGCGAGGGGAGGTTAACTAAGTTGCCCTGTGTTAAATAAGATATAACTGCGCCCCAAACCTCTGTAATCGGAATAATAATAGAGTCTGGAGTCAGAACCCTGTGTCTGGTTGACCACAGAGCCTGTGCGCTTGACCTCTTAGGCTCAAACTTCTATCCATGGTTTTCCCCTAAGTGAAAGGAGTATTAGGTTTGTTGAAAACAGAAATATGTGGAATTGCAAATACAGACATATACCTTCTCACATTGGAGGATCTCAACTGTCTTCACTGTGGTGGCAAGGGGCAGGGAGAAGGAGGATGGCAAATGGTTCTTTTCAGGCTCACCAAAGGTCCCTGCTGGGTACTGGGGGAGGGATGGGATGGAGGGAGAGGGGTGGTCAGATCTCTGAGCAGGTGAAAGGACGCTGCGGTCTTCTCGAAGCCATTTGACAGATATCCAGGGGATGCCTTGAACTTGCAGGGTATATGGCCTGACTGTCAGGGTAGCCCACGGAAGTTATGCAGAAGCTCTTCTCTCAGGTGTCAGAAATATGGCACAGAATGCGACAAAAACCCATAGTTCATTTCTGGAGGAATCAGAAACTTACGGGGTGGCCTTATAATTTGGGATAGATTCCTGCTGTAGACATACCCATAGGAACTTCAAAGGTTAACCTGGTTTCCCTCATCAGGCTTTTCTCAGGGACACAGGTTAGTTTAGTATCAGTTTCTTTGTTTTATGGTTTTTTTTTTTTTTTTTTTTTTTTTTTTTTTGAGACAGGGTCTTCTCGCTCTGTCCCCCTGGCTGGAGTGCAGTGGTGCAATCATAGCTCACTGAAGCTTCAAACTCCTGGGCTCAAGTCATTCTCTGGCCTTAGCCTCCCAAGTAGCTGGGTCTACAAGTGTGCATCACCATGCCCTTCTAATTTTTTAATTTTTTGTAGACACAGGGTCTTGCTAGGTTGTCCAGGCTGGTCTCGAATTCCTGGCTTCAAGCAATCCTCCTGCCTGGGCCTCCCAAAGTGTTGGGATGACAGGCGTGAGCCACCATGCCTGGCCCCAGTATTAGTTTCAATTAGGAGCATTAAATATTATATAGCTGTACCCTAACTTCCCTCATAGGAATAATAAAATTCTATAATAATAACTGATGGAATTCTTGCTGTGTGCCAGATGTGTGCAGAGACATTACAAGTGCATTATCTCACTGTATGTTCACATCTGTCCAGAGAGGCTCCACCCATCCCCAGTTGAGAAATGAGAAAACTAGGTGAAGGGAGGTTAGGAGGCTACTTTCTACTTGCCACAGACATACATGAACCCACTGAATCTTTACAATGACTTGCGAGATGGGTGCTCTGACACCCGCCTGAACAACTTGCTCACAGTCACCCAGCTAGTGAGTGTCAGAGCTGGGAATCGAACCTGGAATGTCAGGCTCCAGAATGGAGGTTCTTAGCTCCTGCACCAGTGTCTTGATCTTCAGCATGTGCATCAGAATCACTGAAGAGCCCTTTAAGACAGATTTCTGGGCCTCCCGCCCAGGTCTCAGGTGAAGCCTGAGAATTTGCCTCTCTAACAAACTTGGGACAGGGCCCTCGACCCACTGCCCAACAGTCTGCTGCCTACATCAAGCAGAGTAAAGGTAGAAAACCCATCCAACCTCCAAAGCCAGCTCATTTTGGGGACTTAAGCTGAGAGCTTGCTTCAGATCAACTGGCGTCTGGCTTCCTTCTCTGTGGCCTTCTGCCCTGTAAACAGTTCCCGGACTGGTGGAGTCAGGTGCTGTGGGGTGGGAAGGCTGAGTTTTCCTGACTTGCAAGTTGGCAGCAAGGCCAAGTTGAGAGCTTTTCCTGGGCAAGCTAAGAATGCAAGCTGCGACTAGGCAGATGTTACCATCCTGACTGCCTAGTGTCATTTGCAGTGACATGAAGCCTGCAGAAAAAGAGCAGGGAAAAATTGTGAAATATAGGGGGCTCTTCCTCTCTCTCCACCTGGCCCCTCAAGCACCTTCATCCTCTGCCGGTGCTTGTTTTGGGTAATGCGTGTCCCATCTGTTGATGCCCTCCGCCTGCTGCAGTGGGAGGCTGCTCCGAGAAGGCAAAGGGCTCCTAGTGCCTGGGGAGACACGTGCTCTCTTGCTCTGCAGCCGGTCTTCATTCATTGCTCCCGAGGGTGGAGAAGGAAACCTTGACCTTAATGTTCTTTATTCCCTTGGAATTAATGGAGAGGCTGCTAGAGCCAGTGCACTGTGCATGTAAGAGGGCCAAAGCCACTTGGTACAGAGTGGGAGCCAGGCATTTTAAAGGTTGCTCAAGTTTCTTAAATCTTTCCCGTGGACTCCTGTGAAGTCCAAGCAGGTGGGATTTATGGAGGGCTCTACCTCCTCCTGGCTTCCTCTTCTTTTTTTTTGAGATGGAGTCTCGCTGTGTCGCCAGGCTGGAGTGCAGTGGTGCGATCTCCGCTCGCTGCAGTCTCCGCTTCCTGGGTTCAAGTGACTTTCCTGCCTCAGCTCCCGAGTAGCTGGGACTACAGGCACCCGCCACCATGCCCGGCTAATTTTTGTGTTTTTAGTAGAGACGGGTTTTCGCCATGTTGGTCAGGCTGGTGTTGAGTTCCTGACCTCAAGTGATCCTCCTGTTTCGGCCTCCCAAAGTGCTGGGATTACAGGTGTAAGCCACTGTGCCCTGCCTGTAGGCTTCTTTTTTTTTTGAGTCAGAGTCTCACTCTGTCACTCAGGCTGGAGTGCAGTGATGCAATTATAGCTCATTGCAACCTCTACTTCCCCGGCTCAAGTGATCCTCCCACCTCAGCCTCCCTAGTAGCAGGGACTACAAGTACATGCTACCATGCCCAGCTAGTTTTTGTATTTTTTGTAGAGATGGGGTTCTGCCATGTTGCCAGGGCTGGTTTCAAGTGATCCCCACCCCCACCCCCTTTTCACCCCACACCCCACCTCAGGCCTTGGCCTCCCAAAGTGCTGGGATTAGAGGTGTGAGCCACAGCGCCTTGATAGGCCTTTTAAGGGCTGGAATCATATTTTTGACTTTTTTTTTTTTTTTTTTGAGACAGAGTCTTGCTCTGTCACCCAGGCTGGAGCGCAGTGGCGCGATCTCGGCTCACTGCAAGCTCCGCCTCCCGGGTTCACGCCATTCTCCTGCCTCAGCCTCCCGAGTAGCTGGGACTACAGGCGTCCGCCACCACGCCCGGCTAATTTTTTGTATTTTTAGTAGAGACGGGGTTTCACCGTGTTCGCCAGGATGGTCTCGATCTCCTGACCTCGTGATCCACCCGCCTCGGCCTCCCAAGGTGCTGGGATTACAGGCGTGAGCCACCGCGCCCGGCCATTTTGGACTTTTAATACCACCCCCATCCCTCAGCACACCACAGCCCCTTGCACTTAATGGGGCACTTAAGGTTTATTGGTTGATCAAGTTGTTGGGAGCTAGTTTGAGGAGGTAAATGATGGCCAGATAGGAAATAACCTCAAGGCTGTAAAGTCTGGGTTGTGTTGGATGGATGTGGAGAGGGGTGGGGGCTGGGAGGACTCAGCTAGAGAGACAGTGTGAGGAAGCCATCTTGCCTCCGCCATCTTGAGGCTCGTCTAGTCTTCACCTTCCTGACTGAAGGGAACGAGATCCTTCGAGGCCCTCGGAAGTGAGCCAGGTTAGGAATAGGCAAGTTTCAGCGTGTTTTCGTTAAATGTATGATTTCATAACATGAATATGGCTTTATAGTTAAGCCTTGAAACAATGCAGAGATTAGGGATGCCAACACTTGCACAGTCAAAAATCCAAGTATAATTTTTGACTCCCCCAAAACTTAACTGTTAATAGCCTGCTCTTGACCAGAAGGCTTACTGGTAACATAAGCAGTTGATTAACACTTATTTTCTATCTTGTGTGTATTATACACTATATTCTTATAAAAAGTAAGCTAAAGAAAAGGAAATGTTATTAAGAAAATTGTATGGGCTGGGCACATTGGCTCATGCCTGTAATCCCTGTACTATGGGAAGCTGAGGTGAGAAGATCAGTTGAGGCCAGGAATTTTAGACCAACCTGGGCAACACAGCAAGACCTCATCTTTACAAAAATCAGCTGGGCATGGTGGTGCACACCTGTGGTCCCAGCTCTTCAGGAGGCTGAGGTGGGAGGATGTTTTGAGCCTAGGAGTTCGAGGCTACAGTGAGCTATGGTTGTGCCACTGCTCCCCAGCCTTCTGGCTCAAAAGAAAAAAAAATCATGTGGAAGAGAAAATATATTTACTATTAATTGAGTAGAAGTGGATTGTTGTAAAGGTCTTCATCCTGGTCATCTTCACATTGAGTAGGTGAGGAGGAGGAGGAAGGGTTGGTCTTGCTGTCTCAGGGGTGGCAGAGGAAGAAAAAAATCTATGTACAGGTGGACCCACGCAGTTCAGACCCTTGTTGTTCAAGGGGTCAACAGCATATTCTTTTTTTGTATATAAAATTAATTCATCTTTATTGTAGAAAATATGGAAAATCTAAAACAATTATACAGGATACAATACCATGTTAAAAAAATTTAACATGATTGCGTGTAGGCTTTGTACAAGCATTAGGAAAGTGGACCTAGTGGTCGGGCACAGTGGCTCACGCCTGTAATCCCAGCATTTTGGGAGGCCGAGGTGGGTGGATCACTTGGGCCCAGGAGTTCCAGACCAGTCTGGCCAACATGGCGAAACCCTGTCTCTACAAAAAAATACAAAAAGTAGCAGGGCGTGGTGGCTGGTGCCTGTAATCCCAGCTACTCTGGAGGCTGAGTCAGGAGAATCACTTGAACCTGGGAGGCGGAGGTTGCAGTGAGCTGAGATTGCACCACTGCACTCCAGTCTGGGCGACGGAACAAGATTTGGTCTCAAATAAATAAATAAAATAAAAAAGAAAGTGGACCTAGAGACAGACGGATTTCTTGTTAGAATTCTTCTTTATGTGATTTTTGGCTTTCTATCATGTTTCTGTCACTTTCTGAGGAAGTTACTTATTTCTCTCATTTTAGAGGTGAGAAAGGTGAGAAACAGAGATACTATGTGACTTTTCCAGGGTGACACAGCTAGGGAAGGGCAGAGCCAGGTTCAGGAATACCAGGGTACTTCCTCCCAGGAGTCCAGCACTTTCCTAATAAGTAAGGGGAAAGAGATGGAGGGGTCTGGAGCTTCACTTGCCCCTCGCAGGCTCAAAGCCTTAGAGACACCCTCTCCTCTCCTCAGAGTCCACACGCAGGACGCACAGCAGAGCTGTATCCCTGTGAGCCCAGGGCAGCTCTGTCATAAGAAGAAATGCAATCGATTCAACTTAGTTACCAAATTTAGATTTCAGAAGGATAGTGAATAGAAGTGGAGTTGCTTAAAGAAATTGAAAATCTTTGTAGAAATGGAGAGAAGTCAAAATTACCTCTTCCAGTCCTGCCCCCAAGCCACTCAGGCACTTGAAGTTGGAGTCTGAGTGATAGGAAACCAAGACGCTCCTATATAGCCCCAGCACACCACAACCCACCCAACAGAACTCCCTAGGCAAGGAGAGTGATTTGGCACAGAGAGAGGAAGAGATTTGCTCTCACAGGTCTCCAAGGTGGAGTCAGAAAGAGAGGAATGGTGGCCGGGCACGGTGGCTCAAGCCTGTAATCCCAGCACTTTGGGAGGCCGTGGTGGGCAGATCACTTGAGGTCAGGAGTTCCAGACCAGCCTGGCCAACATGGTGAAACCCCGTCTCTACTAAAAATACAAAAATAAGCCAGGCGTGGTGACGGGCATCTGTAATCCCAGCTACTCAAGAGGTTGAGGCAAGATAATTTGCTTGAACCTGGAAGGCAGAGGCTGCAGTGAGCAGAGATCGCGCCCCTGCACTCCAGCCAGGGAGACAGAGCGAGACTCTGTCTTAAAAATAAACAAACAAACACACACCAAAACCAAAAACAAAAAGAGAGGGATGGCATTTGGAAAGCATCTCCGTTCATTAATGCCAGAGGTGGTCTGGTGTTATATTTCTTCTTTCTTGCAGCCCACAGATGCTGGACGGTACCACCATTTCCTGCAGGAAGGAGCGAAGGGAGAGGGCACATGTGCATATTAAAATCAGTTGCTGCAGGGAACATCAGAAGGAAACCAGGGCAGTTCAAGCCTTCATTTGCTGCACGCAGACATTCCACAGGGATTGAGGACAGGCGCGGGCCCTGGGTTATGGAAGGCTTGGTCCTAGGACCAGGGCCAGGGTGCTGGAGGACACCCACTCCCTTTACCTCCAAGGACTCATGGTGTCTGGTTGCAGTTGGCCCCTCCTGAAGAAATAGGGAGTCCTGTTCTTGGACAGCCCTCAGATGCAGGCACATCTGTGTTGGCAGGTGAGTGTGGTGGGCACCCTGCCAGTGGGGGCAGCTGCCACCTGCCCAGCCCAGAGGTAGCAGGAGAGGCAGCCAGTGTCATTCTTGCTGAAGAAACCCAACCCCCCTGACCTTTGCTAGTTGCCAAATCTGGAGCGTCCTTTGTGGAAAGGAAGAAAGCTCGGTAATTACTTAGAGCTAAGAGTGACCACAGGAAGTTGGAACATGAGCACACCCAAGCCCAAGGCCAGCGAAGAAACAACCTACGATTAGATGACCTGCGAGTCTTTAAGAATATATAAGAAGAACCAGGCACAGTGGCTCACGCCTGTAATCCCAGCACTTTGGGAGGCTGAGGTGGAAGGATGGCTTGAGACCAGGAGTTTGAGACTAGCTTGGGCAACATAGCAAGACCTTCTCTCTACAAAAAATAAAAAATTAGCCAGACATTGTGGTGCATGCCCATGGTCCCAGCTACTCGAGAGGCTGAGGTGGGAGGAACGCTTGAGCCTAAGAGTTCGAGGCTTCAGTGAGCCATGATTGCATCACTGCACTCCATCCATCCTGGGTGACAGAGCAAGACCCAAACTCTAAAAAAAAACCCCCAAACCAGTGTATTAAAAGGACACTCAGGGCCAGGCATGGTGACTCAGGGCCAGGCGTGGTGACTCACGCCTGTAATCCCAGCACTTTGGGAGGCCGGGGCAGGTGGATCATGAGATCAGGAGTTCAAGACCAGCCTGGCCAACATGGCGAAACCCCATCTCTACTAAAAATACAAAAAATAGCCAGGCATGGTGGCAAGCGCCTGTAATCCCAGCTACTCGGGGGGCTGAGGCAGGAGAATCACTTGAACCTGAGAGGCGGAGGTTGCAGTGAACCGAGATTGTGCCATTGCACCGTAGCCTGGGAGTCTGGGCGACAGAGCAAGACTGTCTCAAAAAAAAAAAGAAAAGAAAAAAAAAAGACAGACTGGGTTTGATTTCCACTGTCACTTATTACCTCTGTGACCTTGGGCAAGTCCCTTCACTTTTTAAGTGTAAAATGGGACTGTCATATGTCAGGATGACTTGAAATTCAAAATGTATAGCATAAGCATGAAACCCAACACACGGCAGTTGTAAGAATACAAACTACTTATGGGAAGGGCCATGAGTGCTGTTTCCCATCATATTCCCGAGACACTTAGAGCAGCCCTGGGCCATGGTAGGTACTCAGGAGATGTTTCTTTTTCTTTCTTTCTTTCTTTTTTTTTTTTTTTGAAACAGAGTCTCGCTCTGTTACCCAGGCTGGAGTACAGTGGCATGATCTCGGCTCACTGCAAACTCTGCCTCATGGGTTCAAGTGATCCTCCTGCCTCAGCCTGCTTGGTAGCTGGGATTACAGGTATGCGCCACCACGTCTGGCTGTGTGTGTGTGTGTGTGTGTGTGTGTGTGTGTGTGTGTATGTGTGTATTTTTAGTAGAGACAGGGTTTCACCATATTGACCAGCCTGGTCTTGAACTCCTGACCTCAAGTGATCCTCCTGCCTCAGTCTCCCAAAGTGCTGGGATTTCAGGCATGAGCCACCACATTTGGCTGTGTGTGTGTGTGTGTGTGTGTGTGTGTGTGTGTTTAGTAGAGATGGGGTTTCACCATGTTGGCCAGCCCTGTCTTGAACTCCTGACCTCAAGTGATCCTCTTGCCTCAGCCTCCCAGAGTGCTGGGATTATAGGAATGAGCCACTATGCGGGGCCCTCAGGAGATATTTCTTGAATGGATGCATGGACAGCTAGCAATGCTTCATAGTAGAGTATGGTCATTGTTATTTGCTTTGTGAATGTCAGACGAGGTGAGAGGGGGTCCTTTTCCTTATAACTTTCTTGGACTCTTCAGACTACTTTTGGATCCTTCTCTCTTCCATGTGTTTATCTGAGCCAGACTCCATTTCCTTCTTCCTTCTCCTGCCATCCCCTGCTCCTCCTCTTACTTATAATGATGGTGCCTTTGGCTGATGGCTTTTAATGCCTAGGAGAAGAAATGGCAGCCTGTCTGACAAACCCAATTACAGAACACAATGGTCATTCATATCCGTTAGTGAGCACTTCCTTGCCGCGAGGCGTAGACTAGATGCTAAGAGTACAATGAGGTGCAGAGATCATGCTTACTTAGGCATTGTGGAATAGTGGGAAGATATCTTTGTGGCTTTACCAGGGATGTGCCAGGTCCCTAAAGAATATTAGACTGGCTGGGTGCGGTGGCTCACGCCTGTAATCCCAGCACTTTGGGAGGCCTAAGCGGGTGGATCACTTGAGGTCAGGAGTTCAAGACTAGCCTGGCCAACATGGTGAAATTTTTTCTCTACTAAAAATACAAAAATTAGCTGGGCTTGGTGGCACATACCTGTAATCCCAGCTACTTGGGAGGCTGAGGCAGGAGAATCACTTGAACTTGGGAGACGGAGGTTGCCATGGGCCGAGATTGTGCCACTGCATTGTAGCCTGGGCGACAGGGCGAGACTCTTGTCTCAAAAAAAAAAAAAAAAAGGAATGTTACACTGAGCCTGGAAGTAGGGAGGCTTGAACTGGTGCACGGTAGGTGCTTAGCCGGTGAGTGCTGAATTTAAACAAGAACACTTAGAAATTTTCATGCATGCACGATAGGTGCGAGGTAGTGAGATCACCTTGTGGAAGGTGTGAAAGCAAGTCAGAAGAAATGGATGCTCTTGGCCGAGTGCAGTGGCTCACGCCTGTAATCCCAGCACTTTGGGAGGCCGAGGTGGGTGGATCCTTTGAGGTCAGGAGTTCAAGACCAGCCTGGCCAACACAGCGAAACCCTGTCTCTACTAAAAGTACAAAAATTAGCCGGGTGTGGTGGCGGGCACCCGTCATCCCAGTTACTTGGGAGGCTGAGGCAGGAGAATCACTTGAACTCAGGAGGTGGAGGTTGCAGTGAGATGAGATCCCACCACTGCACTCCAGAGCGAGACTGTCTCAAAAAAAAAAAAAAAAAAGAAAGAAAAGAAATGGATGCCCTTGAGAGGTGGTCAGAGCCAGAACTACGAATCTGCGGGATTCCTGGCAAGGGAATGGCATGAGCAGAAGAGTGTGTGGGGACATGTAAGTGAGGAGGTGTGGGAGCTCCTTGGTGAAGGGGAGTTTGTTAGGAGGACTGGGTGGAGGCTGGACTGGGCCAGGTTTTGGATCCTAGGTTGGTTTGGACTTAATTGCATAGGCTTGGGGAGCCATTATGTGACCAGGTCACTATGTTGACTTAATGTGATGTCATGTTGCGGCTTATTGCATCTGGGGATGATTGGGAGAGTGGGTTGGAATGCAGCAGTAGGGCAGGGCACGGTGGCTCACGCCTGTAATCCCAACACTTCGTGAGGCTAAGGTGGGAGGATCACTTGAGCCTGGGAGTTCGAGACCAGCCTGGGCAACATAGTGAGACCCCATCTCTATTTAAAAAAAAAAAAAGAGTGCAGCAGTGGGTATAGAGAGCTGGTGTTGCTGGCGTGGCTGGCCCTGCCATTCCTCTGAGTTCAGGACTCAGCCCACCCTCTGAACCTCAGAGTGATTTTAGTTGCATGTCATTTGCTCCCTCTGTGACTCCACGATCACATCCAGAACTAAGAGTCAACATCTGGAATTGCTGCATTTGGAAAATCTGGTACAGCTTTGGGGATCTCTGACCTGAGCCCTCTCTCAGGCTCCCACTTCTCTTACACCTTGTTGAGGTCCAGCCCCCAACCCTACCACTGTTTCTAGCTCCCTGTGCTCCTGTCCTTCCATATCTGGCCTGGGGAGTCCGTCAGAAATCCCCTTGTCAGCTCCTCGAGTATCCTTACCTCCTCGTCATCTGTGGCATCCACCAGCAACCCCCGAGGGTGGATGAGCTTATTCCTGGGGAACGTCCCACCTTGGCAGGCGTTGGTGCCATAGGATGCAAGCTCAGGTCTTAGCTGGGCCCTCAGCATGTCCAGAACCTGATAATCATCATTATTATTGGCTGTTCACATCCATTAGTGAGCTCTTCCTTGCTGCAAGAGGCAGCTTAGATGCTAAGAGTACAAGAGGTCACACCTATCTAGACATTGTCATCTAATTGGAAGGATACATTTGTAATGTTACCAGGTATACATCAAGTCCCAAAAGTGTTACAGGACCAATAGGTTCATATGCCCACTGCTCAGTAACTGACCAGTTACACCGAGACAGTAGGTTTTGTGGCAGAGAAAGAGTTTAATGATTGCAGGGCACAGAGTGAGGAGATGGGAGGAGACCCTCAAATCCGTCTCCTGAAGGAGTTCTGGGCTGGGGTTTTGTTTTGTTTTTGATGGAGTCTCTCTCTCTTTCACAGGCTGGAGTGCAGTGGCACATTTCATTTCACTGCAACCTCTGCCTCCTGGACTCAAGCAATTCTCCTGCCTCAGCCTCCCAAGTAGCTGGGACTACAGGTGCATGCCACCATGCCAGGCTAATTTTTTGTATTTTTAGTAGAGATGGGGTTTCACCATGTTAGCCAGGATGGTCTTGATCTCCTGACTTCGTGATTTGCCCACCTTGGCCTCCCAAAATGCTGGGAATACAGGTGTGAGCCACTGTGCCCATCTTGGGCTGGGGTTTTTAAGGGGATCATGGAGGACAAGGGGCTGGAGAATTGGGGTCATGGATTGGTCAGCATAAGAGGGATGAAATTGTCAGGATGTGGAAACTGCATTCTTTGGTGAGTCAGCTTCTTGGGTTCTTCAGGCCAGCCGATGTCAGCAGTTTCGCTGGTGTGCAGGACCTGAAAGAGTGTCTCAAAGGGAAAACTGAACGCTTCATGTTTACCTTGTTATCCATGGAGCAGTTAAGGGGAATTATAATCTTGTAATAGGATCGCAGCCTGGCAACAAAGCGAGACTCCATTGCTACAACATAACTAAAAACCTAGCTGGGCATGGTGGTGCACACCTGGAGTCCCAGCTACTCAGGAGGCTGAGGTGGGAGGATCTCTTTTGAGCCCGGGAGTTTGAGACTACAGTGAGCTATGATTGTGCCACTGCTTTCCAGCCTGGGTGACAGAGTGAGACCCTGTTTCTAAAATTTATAATCATCACAATAAATAGATAAAAAATAGGGTCTACATGATTCTAGGACAATTGGTAGCAAACAACCATGAGCAAGCAGGTCAGAGAACAAGCTGACCTAGTGATGAACGCAGAATGTGCTGCAAGCTTGGTTTATTTTCATTTCTCCCCTCTCTTCTTCCCTGATTAATTTTATAAAGTTCATACGGGTTTCTTAATTTTTTTATTTTTATTTTTTGAGAAGGAGTCTCACTCGTTGCCCAGGCCGGAGTGCAGTGGCACAATCTCGGCTCACTATAACCTTCACCTCCTGGGTTCAAATGATTCTCCTGCCTCAGCCTGCTGAGTAGCTGGGATTACAGGCGGCCGCCACCACACCCCGCTAATTTTTGTATTTTTAGTAGACACTGGTTTTCACCATCTTGGCCAGGGTGGTCTCAAACTCCTGACCTCAAGTGCTCCGTCAGTCTTGGCCTCCCAAAGTGCTGGGATTACAGGCGCGAGCCACCGTACGGGGCCCGTATGGGTTTTTTTTTAAAGGAATATTTCTATCCCTTTCCATTTTCTATACCTCCCTGAGCCAAAGAGGAGGTGGGCTGTGCTGGGCTGGAGGGATCCTTCGGGAGGCGGTGGAGACGGGTGGATGGAGTGGCCTGACTCCAGATTCAGTCTCCTCTCAGCTCCCCACGCCCTGAGTGACTGCTGATCTCAAATGACACAGAGATTTGTTCCTCCCCGGGTGCCACCACCGCAGCCCACTTCTTACTGGGATTGTCACAGCTGTGACTGCTGCAACAACTGAGTCCGCTGGGATATGCTGAGGCCAGTGCCAGTCTCGGGTCCTCTCACTCCTTCTGGATTCAGAGATCATGTTGCAGGGGCAAGACCTGACTTCCTAGCAGCTCCTTAAGGGACAAGAGATGGAATCCAGAATTACAGGGAAGCCAACTCTCCATGGGTGGCTTTTGGCCTGAAGGATGAAGGGGGAGGGGACCACAAAGAAGCAGATAAATTATCTCCCGCTTAGCAGTGCAGTCTGGAGATATGGTGCCCATGTGGCCCCTGGGAAGAAGTCCAGGGAGAGGGAGTGCTCACTGCCTTCCCTCCCTTCTCCCTCCCTCCCTCGCCGCCATCCTCCCTTCCACAGCACTTAGAATAAATGCAGGACTCACAGGGGCTGAAAGATCTTCCTCTCCCCTAGTGATTGCTGCTCACCGGTCTTTAGACTGCTCTGACATGTGGATGACAATCGGCTGAGCCACTGATAGAGAAGTTTTCCCTTTTAATCATGTCCCTGTCATTGCTAACTGCAGAGTCTCAGCTTTGCCATGCATGAGTAATAAACTGCTGCCGTAATCACAGGCGACCACGTTCAGACACCAACACACGAGCGTGCTGACAGTTAATGGGGAACAGGGTTCCAGAAGGACTTCTTCCATCCTAGCCTCGGACACAAGGGAGGCTAATTGTGTGATTAGTGTTTACTGAGGAATGTCCTGTAGTTACATACAGCTTGTTAGGTGCTGTACTTCCCTGGTGAAAGAGCATGAATTTGGGTTCAGGAGACCAGGGTTCTAGGTTTACTTTATTTCTAGGGACCAAAGTTTATGCATGTGTAAAATGAGACCGGTATGATTGTAGGGTCCTTTAACTCTCAGATTATGAATAACATCTCTTTCCCTCATTGTATTTAGTCAGGGTTCTTTAGAGGGACAGATATATATGAGTTTGTTAAGTATTAACTTACACAATCACAAGGTCCCACAGTAGGCTTTTCTGCAAGTTTCAGGAGCAAGGAGAGCCTGTCCAAGTCCCCAAACTGAAGAACTTGGAGTCCGATGTTTGAGGGCAGGAAGCATCCAGCACGGGAGAAAGAAGTAGGCTGGGAAGCTAGGCCAGTCTAACTTTTCATGTTTTTCTGCCTGCTTTATATTCAGCTGGCAGCTGATTAGATGGTGCCCATCCAAATTAAGGGTGGATCTGCCTTCCCCAGCCCACTGACTCGAATGTTAATCTCTTTTGACAACACCCTCACAGACACACCCAGGATTAATATTTTGCATCCTTCAATCCAATCAGATTGACACTCAGTATTAACCATCACATTCATCCTATTAAAATCTCATGCATTCTCCAAGGACCATTTCTTTTTTCTTTTTTTTTTAGACGGAGTCTCACTCTGTCGTCCAGGCTGGAGTGCAGTGGCATGATCTCAGCTCACCACAACCTCCACCTCCCAGGTTCCATCGATTCTCCTGCCTCAGCCTCCCGGGTAGCTGGGACTACAAGAGTGCACCACCACACCCGGCTAATTTTTTGTATTTTTAGTAGAGATGAGGTTTCACTATGTTGGCCAGGCTGGTCTCAAACTCCTGACTTCATGATCCACTGCCTTGGCCTCCCAAAGTGCTGAGATTACATGCATGAGCCACTGCACCAGGCCTCTCCAAGGACCATTTCAAAAGCCCTTCATTCTCTGTAACCTCCCCTGACCACCTTGTCAGAATTAAATGTCCTTTCTTCTCACCTCTTATGGTACTTTCAGTGGATCTTCTTTTAGCCCTTGTTCATCTCTGTCTTTCCTCAAAATGATTTGTTGTCATGGCCAGCCCAGTAGTTTCCAAGAGAATGGGTTTCATTCATTTTTTAAAAACCCCTCTCTGTGTCATTTAGGAATTAATTTGTCAGCAAGTAATTTGTTCTCACTTCACAAGTCCAGAAGTAGTGGTAGCTAGCACTGTTTTGGCATCATAGTGTCATAGCTCATGTCACTATATTTCTTTTGGTCTTTTCCTCATGATTACAAGATGGCTGCCACAGTTCCAGCCATTGCATCTTTGTACCAGGTAGGGATTCCTGTAGCAGTGGCCACATCTGCTCTTATTGTTTACTCAGGAAAGAAAATGTTTTCCAGAAGTCTACCTGGTAGGCTCCTACATGTGAGCCAGGACATAGTCTGATGACCAACTTTGCTTCAAGAGAATAGTTGCTTTCCAGAGAAAATAAGTACAGTGGTAGCAAAAGAGAAGGAGAACGGGAACAGCATTTGCATTGTGAATCCGCAGTGTCTACCATGCCCTCTCTACCCCTAATACATTCCATTGAATATTAAAATTTAGCAAGATTCTTGGCCAACTAGAAATTCAATTAACTAGAATACTGAAGGCTGTGGGCATTCAAACATACATACATAATTGTATTTTGTCTGTTAAGACATTTTTACATCTCTGAAATTGGGAGTTATCTTATGATCAGTGACATGTCATCATTTAATTGGTAGCGTACTTTTTCCCCCTCAGGGTACATAAAAATGGAGTATCTTATAGTTGAAGGCATCTTAGATTTGATGAAATACAGTAGTATTATGGTATTTTTATATATATATATATATATATATATATATATATGTATACCATAGTTAACCATACACAACTATTTGATTTTGTTGTTTTGTTGTTGTTTTGAGACACAGTCTTGCTCTGTCGCCTAGGCTGGAGTGCAGTGGCACCATCATAGCTCACTGCAGCCTCGAACTCCTGGGCTCAAGCCTCCCAAGTGGCTGGAACTCCAGGTACGTGCCAACATGCCCTGCTAATTTTATAAACTATCTTTTTCTGGAGACGGAGTCTTGCTGTGTTGCCCGGGACGCTCTCAAACTCAGAGCTCAAGCAGTCCTCCTGCCTCAGCCTCCTGAGTAGCTGGGACAACAAGCATGCACCACCACGCCTGGCTAATACACAGCTATTTCTATTGAACATCAACCACATATCAAGTATTTTGTGTTAACTTAATTCGACATCACACCTATTTATACTATTATATCTGTTTTACATGTGAGGAAGATGAAACTAAGGGAAATAAACAAATTGTCCAGAGGCACCTACCAGCTGCTCCATTCTGAGTCTCCTTTGCGAAGTTGGTACTCACTGCCTCCTGGGTGTGGGATTGAGTCTTGCTCGGTTGGTGGCTGGGTCCAGGACTGTAGGGGGGGCGAAACGTGTGCTGGGGTGAGCACAAGGATGCTGTCAACTAGGATCAGGATGGTTGCAGGGAACCCTCCTTCACCCAGGTTAGTAGTCACTCGTGTGAAAAGTTGTAAAGCTGTTAATTCCAGGACTCTAAATTATGCTGTGCGAGCTGTAAATCCAGCCCATAATTAGAACAAAATGTGAGAAAAGTGAAATTGATATTAAGTTAATTAAAAGGCTTTGCTTATATTTGCAAGGAAATTAGCACAACAAAACAGGAATGCTGACAAGTGCACGTTGTCAATTTCTTCTTCATTTGGGCGACTGTCAGCAAGCCTCAGGCAAGTTTTGTTCCTTGACTTCTGCCCCGTGTCCTTCCTATGATTGCACATCCATTGTGTTTGTATCATGGTGGCTTTAATTGGGCAAGATCTAGTGTAATCTTGGGACAGTCATTTTTGAATGGATGCTAAGCCTTGCATGGGAGCTTCACCTTCCAGCTGAGGTCCCAGGCCCTGAAAGTGTGTCGGGGGCTGGAGGAGGGGCCCTCAGAGGTTGTGTGTCATTGCTTAGGCACACGCTTCTCGGAAGCTGATACAAATGGCTGATGCAGTTCTCTTGCGTCGAGAAGGTAACTCCTTTGATTCCAGGGCACCCTTCTCATTCCTGTTCACCATCCTGATCTGTGCCACAGACCTAGGTTTGAGTGTGCAGTGTAGAATTTTAGTTTGGAGTTCCTGGAAGGGAAAGAACATGTTTTTTTCTTATGGTACCTATTATACTAGGGTCTGGATGAGACAGGTCAATATCAAGCGGCATAGAACTACCGTGGTCTCTAGTTAGGGTGGCAGAGGCAATGCTGTGTTCACCAGGGAATTTTTTTTTTCCTCTTGGGCACAGAGCTAATCTTCAGGCTCCCCTGCAGTTAGATAGGGCCATGTGATTGAGTTCAGGGCAATGAGAGGTAGACGGAAGTGATGTTTGCTATGACCAGGCTTGGCCCACCAAAACTCCTACGGGGTCCTTCATGCCTTCTCTCTCTTTTTTTTCGTTTTCTTTTTCTTTTTTTTTTTTTTGAGATGGAGTCTTGCTGTGTCCCAGGCTGGAGTGCAGTGGTGCGACCTCGGCTCACTGCAAGCTCCGCCTCCCAGGTGCATGCCATTCTCCTGCCTCAGCCTCCCGAGCAGCTGGGACTACAGGTGCCTGCCACCATGCCCGGCTAATTTTTTGTATTTTTAGTAGAGACGGGGTTTCACCATGTTAGCCAGGATGGTCTCGATCTCCTGACCTCGTGATCCGCCCACCTCGGCCTCCCAAAGTGCTGGGATTACAGCCTTCTCTCTTTACCTTTCAATGATGGCCTTGGAGTTCACCTCTTGGTGGCATATAAGATGGTAGGATCCTAGCCAGGCCCGGTAGTGTGTGCCTGTAGTCCCAGCTACGTGGGAGGTTGAAGTGGGAGCAGTGTGCCATGATCACACCACTGCACTCCAGCCTGGGGAACACAGTGAGACCCTGACTTCAAAAAAAAAAAAAAAAAAAAGAAGCATCCTGGTCCCTGAGTGACTAAGTGGAGCAGAGTACTGTGCTGTCCAGCCATCTCCTGCTATCTCCTGTGTGGGACCATTGTGTTCAGCCATTGAGATTTTGGAGCTTATCTGTTATAGCAGCTAGTGTTATTTATGGACTAATTCAGTTAGGTAACTACCTAAGTGACAGGCCAGGCTGTCTACTCTCCTTTTCTGCCCTTGATTCATGTGATCAGCAAATATTGATTGATCTTAAACAATAAGTGGGGGGATGGTGAGATGGTTGGATTGGATGCCACCTATTTCTAGGTCAGCTTCTGTGCTTGACCTGCTATTGGATTTAAGAAAATAGCCTTGGCTGGGCGTGGTGGCTCACGCCTGTAGTCCCAGCACTTTGGGAGGCCGAGGCGGGCAGATCACGAGGTCAGGAGATCGAGACCATCCTGGCTAACATGGTGAAACCCTGTCTCTACTAAAAATACAAAAAATTAGTCAGGCGTGGTGGCAGGTGCCTGTAGTCCCAGCTACTCGGGAGGCTGAGGCAGGAGAATGGCGTGAACCCAGGAGGCAGAGCTTGCAGTGAGCCGAGATCGCGCCACTCACTCCAGCCTGGGCGACACAGCAAGACTCCATCTCAAAAAAAAGAAAAGAAAAAAAAAAAAAAGAAAATAGCCTTGTTTCTCAGTGTTACTAGTACTCTATTTACAGGATGATGGAATGATTATAATCATCCCCTACTTAACGCTGCTTCTTGGAGCTGAGGGATAAGTATTGAAATATGGCTAAGTTGTTTGTAATTATAAACAACTAAATAATATATGCATTGTCTTTGTTACAGTTTCTGCTGAAAGGAACTGGCATTTTTCAAGATGAGACAAACTGAAAAGGTTAGTTTAAGCATTAGCAATTAAAAAAATCATGATTTTTGCTGCCACCGAATTTTAAATCATGCAAACATTTATATTTGTGCCAAAGTTCCACAATTTCCTTTAGAGCAATTACTGAAATGCATTCACAAGATAAAAATGGAGTTCGGGGAAGAATATTTAAGAGCTCTTTAATGATGTTAAAAACTTTGCTAATTTGCCGTGTCGTTCTAAAATCCACTTTAATTTTTTTTTTCTGCGTGCCTACCCGTCTTCCTGCAATTGAACTGATTCCAGGAGACTTGAATAAAGGGGATAAAATGACTAATAAAATACACAAATCTCACGAAATATCTTTTCAAGAGCTTTTTCTTTTTTTTCATTAGCTGTAGGTGAACACTCGGGAAGATAAAAGCATCCTTGGGCTGCGTTTACTTGCAGAAAGCAGTTTGGAAGGAAAACAAAAGCCAAAAAGTAGTTACAAATGGGTGGCTTGAATTAAACGCTTTTTCTTTTACAGTAAAAGAAAGGGTCTTGTATATGCAGACCCAAGGGGCGGAGTAGACTGGTCTAATGTCTTCATCCTCATCCTCTTTACAAGATCTCAGCTTAGCAAAACTGCAGTTAGTCACTGATCTGTAGTCCCTCTCCCCTAGTTAGCATCATTGCTTGGTGCTCCAGCCCTTTCTTCAGGGCCTTCTGAAAATCCGCAGCCCCGGGGGATCCTGATCCACTTTTCTTCTTCCCCATGAGATAGGCTCTAATGTTAATGGTTCACATTTTCTTTCTTTTTTTTTTCTGAGATAGAGTTTCGCTCTTGTTGCCCAGGCTGGGGTGCAGTGGTGCAATCTCTGCTCAGGGCAACCTCTGCCTCCCAGGTTCAAGTGATTCTCCTGCCTCAGCCTCCTGAGTAGCTAGGATTACAGGTGCCTGCCACCATGCCCAGCTAATTTTTGTATTTTTAGTAGAGACGGGGTCTCACCATGTTGGTCAGGCTGGTCTCGAACTCCTGACCTCAGGTGATCCACCTGCCTCAGCCTCCCAAAGTGCTAGGATTACAGGTGTGAGCCACGCCCCAGTTCACGTTTTCATTAGAGAGTAAGTTCACAGGTATTTCTCAGGGATAATTCTGTTGGAAAGCTAACCTTCCATAGAGAAAGTTTGACAGCATTGACTTCCAGACGAGCCAGAGATACAGCCCTGGCCCTGCCAGCAACCTTCCTAGTCAGCTGATCTCCAGGGGTTTCAGACAATGGACGAAGCAAGGGCTTTGGAGTTAGACAGAAGGAATCTCAAACTTCCTTTGGCTACTTTACAAAGCCAAGCCAAAGCTGGGGCTTTGGAAAAAATCACCTAACATCAATGAGCCTCAGTTTACTCATCTGGAAAACAGTAGCTACTCCTATAAATATGATAAGGACGGTGTAAGGTGATATTTGTAGCATACCTGGAAGAACGCCTGTAATAGGAGAATGTTGATGAATGATGTTATTGACATCGCCGTGGTGGCAGTTACTACCAATACTGCTCTTTGGAACAAGACATTTGGCCTTTCCGGGCCTCAGTTTTCTGCCCTGTAAAATCTAGACAAGATAGGAAGGGTGTTCAGGTTCTGTAATTTTATGGATCAGAAAGGTAGAGTCGATGATGGAAAGTCTGTTTTCATGTAAACAGTGGCTGGTGAGGACTGGTCAGAGTTGCATTTTGGGAAGCCATGAAAAATTCAATCTAGAGGAATAGGAAACAATTGTCCTAGGTGTGGTGGTTTAAAAATGTATCTACAGGCCAGGAGTCGTAATCCCTGGCACGGTAATTCCAGCACTGTGGGAGGCCGAGGCCGGTGGATCATTTGAGGTCAGGAGTTTGAGACCAGCCTGGCCAACATGGTGAAACCCAGTCTCTACTAAAAATACAAAAATTAGCCAGTCGTGGTGGCGGGCGCCTGTAGTCCCAGCTACTCAGGAGGCTGAGGCAGGAGAACCCAGGAGGCGGAACTTGCAGTAAACCAAGATGGTGCCACTGCATTCCAGCCTGGGTGACAAAGGGAGACTCTGTCTCAAAAAATAATAGTAATAAAATAAAATAAAAATAAAAAATAAAAAAATAAAAATGTATCTGCAAATTTGACACTTTCCCCATCAAACGGTAGAGTTTAATTCCCCTCTTGTTGATGATGCGCTGGCCTCCGTGACTTGCTTCTAGTGATCGAATTCAGTGGAAATAATGTTCCATGACTTCAGAGGCTGGATCAAAAAGGGTGAGGGAGCCTCTGCCTGAGGGTGCTCTTCAGGGACATGGATCTTTGAAGCCGTGTGCCACCATACCGGCTTCGCTGAAGCCCCCATACTGGAGGGACCATGTGGAGAGAGAGAGAGAAAGAGAGAGAGATGCCCAGGGACCCCTGGCTGTTCCGGCTTCCAGCTGTTTGTGTCTGTTCAGCGCAGGAGCCAGACACATGAGTGAGCAAGCCTCACTCCATCTTTCCAGCCTCCCCAGCTGATACCAAGTTGGGCAGAGACGGGCTGTTCCCACCCCAAGCCTCGCTCAAATCGCAGATCCATGAGGAAAATAAGTACAGTCATTGTTTTAAGCCACTTTTTGGGTGGTTTGTTGTACAGCAATAACCAGTTGGAACATGAGGTCAGTATCCTTGTGCTTGATAAGCTGTTTTTGATGATGATAGTCATGCTAACCGTAATAAATGTAACAATAGCCAACATTTATTTATTTATTTATGTATTTTTGGAGACGGAGTCTCACTCTGTCGCCCAGGCTGGAGTGCGGTGGCACGATCTCGGCTCACTGCAAGCTCCGCCTCCCTGGTTCACGCCATTCTCCTGCCTCAGCCTCCTGAGTAGCTGGGACTACAGGCGCCCGCCACCATGCCCGGCTAATTTTTTGTATTTTTAGTAGAGATGGGGTTTCACTGTCTTAGCCAGGATGGTCTCAATCTCCTGACCTCATGATCCACCCGCCTTGGCCTCCCAAAGTGCTGGGATTACAGGCGTGAGCCACCGCGCCCGGCCACAATAGCTAACATTTATTAAGCTCTTTCTTAAAGTATCCAGCACCGTAATGAAGATTTTATATATAAAAGTGGGTAATGAATTTTTTCGGGAAAGTCTTGGATTTATATGCCATGGGTAGACTGTGATAACAGCCTGACTATTGCAGTGGGGGTTAGGTTGGCTAAGAATTTCAGTTGTCTTTCATTCAAGTTTCTGACAGTTGTCCTAAACCACCGAGCGTTGAGTTTATTTGGAAATGCAAGAGTGGCTGTTGTGTAATGGCTCCCTCCCCGTGGACGACGGTTATCTGACATTGCTCATCATACCCAGTCTCTGAACCCTAGCACCACAGTTCCTTATATTGTGCTGTTCCAGGTCTTTTAGCAGCAGAGACAAGAACACATTTAATAGAGCCTGTTCTTATTTTTCTTTTGGAGACAGGGTCTCACTCCGTTGCCCAGGCTGGAGTGCAGTGGCATGATCTCGGCTCACTGCACCCCCAACCTCCCGGGCTCAAGCAATTCTTGTGCCTTAGCCGCCACAGTAGCTGGGACCACGGATGTGCACCACCATGCCTGGCTAATTTTTGTATTTTTATTAGAGAGAGGGTTTCGCCATGTTGCCCGGGCTGGTCTCCAACTCCTGGGCTCAAGCAGTTAGCCCGCCTCAGCCTCCCAAAGTGCTGGATTACAGGTGTGAGCCACTGCGCCCAGCTTCTTCTTTTTTTAAAATTCTTTTTTCTTCTATTTATTTATTTTTTTCCTTTTTTGTTGCCTACTATTGCTACCTCTGAAGACAGCCTGTTTCCATAAGAGACTACTGATTTTCTACTTTTTGTAGAACCTGGAGAATTTGGTGTTTCTATAAATAACACATCCTGGAAACCTATAGAGTACATCATTCTCTGGAGATTTAAATAAGTACTGCAGACTTCTTTTATTCTAATTAAGTAGAGTAGGAAGTAGGTGGCTTGTCTGAATTATGGCCTTATAACAGAGGACACAATTCAATATTCCTCACTTTTCCTGGAGTGAGAACTTTTAAAAATTTCATTCTTGGCTGGGCTCAGTGGCTCATGCCTGTAATCCCAGCACTTTGGGAGGCTGAGGCAGGCAGATCACCTGAAGTTGGGAGTTCAAGACCAGCTTGTCCAACATGGAGAAACCCTGTGTCTACTAAAAATACAAAATTAGCCAGGCGTGGTGGTGTATGCCTGTAATCCCAGCTACTGGGGAGGCTGAGGCAGCAGAATCCCTTGAACCTGGGAGGCAGAGGTTGCGGTGAGCTGAGATCGTGCCATTGCACTCCAGCCTGGGCACCGAGAGTGAAACTCCGTCTCAAAAAAAAAAAAAAATTCATTCTTAACTTGGACACACATCGTGCCTGTAGCTTGAACACCTACCAAAGATAAGGGCATAGAGCAGGCTAGGGCTTCCCATGCCTGATGGAGCTACATATTTACTTGGGGAACTTTGGAAAAAGTACTAATTTCCAGATTCCTCAAGCTGGAGGTTCACATTTTGTAGATATGAGGTGGGATGTGACTTGGGAATATACACATTTTTCTTTTCAAAAGCTGAATGGGTGAGTCTAATGAGCCATTGAGATGGTTGATGCCCTGCCCTGCCTTTCCTTTCCCTTCCTTCAAGCAATACATCTGTAAAAATGTTGAGTTGTCATAAGGCTGTTGTGACAATTAAATTCATTTATTCACATGAGATGTCCTTCCTTCCTTCCTTCCTTCCTTCCTTCCTTCCTTCCTCCATTCTTTGCCTTCCTTCCCTTCCCCTCCCTGCCTCCCTTCCTTCTTCCCTCCCTCCCTCCCTTCCTTCCTCTCTGTCTCTCTGTCTCTCTCTCTCTCTTTTCCTTCTTTTCTTTCCTCTTGCTCTGTTGCCCAGGCTCACTGCCCAGGAGTGCAGTGGTGCAATCATAGCTCACTGCAGACTCCAATCCCTGGGCTCAAGTGATCCTCCTGCCTCAGCCTCCCAAAGCGCTGGGATTACAGGTGTAAACCACTGTTCCCAGACTCCTTTTCATTTTCTTAATGATATATTTTCATTTTAATTTTCTTAATATATTTTATTTATGTATTTATTTTGTTTATTTATTTATTTATAGAGATGAGGTCTTGTTCTGTTGCCCAGGCTGGAGTGCCCTGGCACAGTCATAGCTCAGTGTAGCTTTGGACTCTTAGGCTCAAGTGATCCTCCCACCTCAGCCTCCCAAATAGCTGGGACTACAGGTGTGAGCCACTGTGCATGGTTCAACACCCTTGTTTTGAAGTACTTTTCTAGTCATTTTCTCATGACAAAAGCTTTAAAGTCTTCATATCTGTGAACCATTTCTTGGAGATCTTGGCAGATATCACCCCTAGTTCCCATATCTGCATCTGTAAAAATGTTGAGTTGTCATAAGGCTGTTGTGACGATTAAATTAGTTTATTCAATGAGATGTCTGATAAATTCCTGGCCTCTAGTAGATTTCTTTAAAAACTTTAAAAAAATTGAGGTAATGCATTGGCTGGGCGCGGTGGCTCATGCCTGTAATCCCAGCACTTCGGGAGGCTGAGGCGGGTGGATCACCTGAGGTCGGGAGTTCGAGACCAGCCTGGCCAACATGGTGAAACCCTGTCTCTTCAGAGAATACAAAAATTAGCAGGGCATGGTGGCACGTCCCTATAATCCCAGCTACTCAAGAGACTGAGGCAAGAGAATTGCTTGAACTGGGGAGGCAGAGGTTGCAGCGAGCCGAGATTGCGCCACTGCTTTCCGGCCTGGGTGACGGAGTGAGACTCCATCTCAGAAAGAAAAAAATATTGAGGTAATGAATACATATATAATTTACTGTCTTTACCATTTTAAGTGTACAGCTCGGTAGTAACAAATACATTTATATTCTTTTTTTCTCCACCATTCCTCCCTCCCTTTTTCCCTTCCTGGCACCTGGTAATCACTAGTCTACTCTCTGTCTTCATGAGGTTCACGTTTTTAACTCCCAAATATGAGTGAGACCAGGCAGTATTTGCCTTTTTGTGCTTGGTTGATTTCACTTAAAATAATGTATGTCAGTTCCATCCGTGTTGCTGCAAATGACACGATTTCATCATTTTTCAGGGCTGAATAATATTCCACTGTATGTATATGACATATTTTCATTATCCATTCATCCATTAATGAGTACTTAGGTTGATTCCATACCTTGGCAATTGTGAATAGTGCTGCAATAAACAAGGGAGTGCAAATATCTCTTTGATATATTGATTCCCCCTTTTTTTTTTTGGATCCATACTCAGTGGAATTGCTATATCCTATGGTAGTTAGTTCTATTTTTATTTTTCCGAGGGACCTCCATATGGTTCTCCATAGTGGCTGGGCTCATTTCTCAATCAATGGGTGCTGCTGTGTTCTGTGGTTTCGTGGCCAAGGTAGTTGGCACTCCCTTTGGGGGTTGACTGCCTTCTTTGAGATTGTAGTGTCACTGGCTGTGCCGCCTGCCCCAAGCCTTCATCTTTCTCCATCTGAGATGTTTCTTTTCTTTCTTTTTTTTTTGTTTTTTGAGATAGTGTCTCAATTTGTTGCCCAGGCTGGAGTGCAGTGGCGTGATCTTGGCTCACTGCATCCTCCTCCTCCTGGATTCAAGTGATTCTCCTGTCTCAGCTTCCCGAGTAGCTGGGATTACAGGTGCCTGCCACCACGCCTGGCTAATTTTTCTGTTTTTATTTATTTATTTTTTTGTTTGAGATGGAATCTCGCTCTGTTGCCCAGGCTGGAGTGCAGTGGCACAATCTTGGCTAACTGCAAGCTCCACCTCCCGGGTTCACACCATTCTCCTACCTCAGACTCCCGAGTAGCTCCGACTACAGGCGCCTGCCACCACACCTGGCTAATTTTTGTATTTTTAGTAGAGATGGGGTTTCACCGTGTTAGCCAGGATGGTCTCAATCTCCTGACCTCGTGGTCCACCCACCTCGGCCTCCCAAAGTGCTGGGATTACAGGCGTGAGCCACCACGCCCGGCAATTTTTGTATTTTTAGTAGAGACGTGAAATGTTTCTTTGGTAAACTGGATTCTAGATGAATATGTTTCATTCTGTTTGCTGGTAGTACAATTTTTATATTTCTTAAAGTGTAAAATCTGCTCCTCGTCTGGTGTTTCCTATATCAGCTTATTATAATATTGATCTCATGCTTTTACAAGCTAATACCCTCTGTCTTTTTTCTCACATCCAATAGCTGTCCGTAGCTGACTCCCATAAACCCCCATCTCCTACAGAAGTTTCTTCTGTCCCTTCTAAGCATAGCCCCTCATGTCTGGCCTAGCACTTTGGAATAGACTCTGAAATTATTTCCATCTCATCTCTTACAATACTTGTCATTTTTTAACTCAAATGTGCCTTTTCTTAGGAAAGTGATGTGTCGTTTCGCAGTTCCTAAAAACGTTGAGAGGTTCCTTGGACATTGTATCCTAGACTTGGAGAAGGCAAAGTTGTGGTATGATAAGCCGAAGCTTTCTATATTTTATGAATTTTGCCAGATCTTTTCTTTTCCCAAATCTTGCCCACATCTGTCTACCTTCCTTTTTTTCTAGCATTTTAAGTCTTTACAAAACATTCAACTTGGTTTTTACTGAAACATTAGTAACTGGCTTTCTTTTCTCACTCACAATGTCATCAATTTATGTAATTTAATATAATTATGCAATTATATAACAAGCACAGCTGGCATGAAGAGGTTTGGGAACAAAACAATAACTGTTGACAGGTATACAATTCAACTGGCGGGAGCAGAAACGGGCAGACCTACTAGATAAAGGGTGCTTACCACTTGTGAGCCCCCAACATGCCTGGGGCATCTGCTGTCACTGTGTGTTACAGAGATGGAGACTGTCAGTCGCTGGTGTCAGTTAAGAGAGCCTCTGTTTTATTATTATTTTGGGTTTTTTTTGAGATGGAGTCTCACTCTGTCACCCAGTCTGGGGTGCAGTGGTGCGATCTTGGCTCACTGCAACCTCCACTTTCTGGGTTCAAGCAATTCTTCTGCCTCAGCCTCCTGAGTAGCTGGGATTACAGGTGTGCACCACCACTCAGATCTAATTTTTAAAATATTTTTAGTAGAGATGGGTCTTCATCATGTTGGCCAGGCTGATCTCGAACTCCTGACCTCAGGTGATCTGCCCACCTTGGCCTCCCAAAGTGTTGTGATTACAGGTGTGAGCCACCGTACCCAACCACCTCTGTTGTATGTAATTAGCATGTTAATTGTGATAAATTGGGGAAACAGGGAAAAATGGAAATGAGAAAATAAATTTATCGTAATTCTAAAGCATGAGGATAACATTTTGCTTCTTTTTATCCTGTCAACATTTTTATATCTTTAAGATCATACTCATGTATAAACACTTGTGTCCTATATGTTCCCTTAACATTTTAATAGGAACATTTTCCCATATTATTAAACACCTTATAAACAATTTTAGTTGTTGTATATTCATTCAGTGATTCGTTGAGTTCCTTCAATGATTTTGCCATAAGTCACATTCTCATGTTGCTATAGGCAGATACATAGTAGGCTGCTTTCAAATTTTTATTATAAACAATGGTGTGATGAACATTTTTTTTTTGAGACTGAGTTTCGCTCTTGTTGCCTAGGCTGGAGTGCAATGGCACGATCTCAGCTCACAGCAAACTCTGCCTCCTGGGTTCAAGAGATTGTCCTGCCTCAGCCTCCCAAGTAGCTGGGATTACAGGTGCCTGCTACCATGCCTGGCTAATTTTTGTATTTTTAGTAGTGACGGGGTTTTTCCATGTTGGTCAGGCTGGTCTCAAACTCCCAACCTCAGGTGATCTGCCTGCCTCGGCCCCCCAAAGTGTTGGGATTACAGGCGTGAGCCACCGCGCACGGCCACGAACATCTTTATATATCAGACAAAAATAGTCCTATGTGGAACTTTTAGGCCAAAAGGTACGGCCTTTTCAAGGACTTTTTATTTTGTTGTTTTTTACAGATAAGTCTCACTCCGTTGCCCAGGCTGTGATGCAGTGGTGTGATGACTCGTAGCTCATTGTAACCTTGAACTCAAGCGGCCCTTCTGCCTCAGCTTCCTGAGTAGCTGGGACTACAGGTGCATGCCACTATGCCTGGCTAATTAAAACAATTTTTTTTTTCCGTAGAGATAGGGTCTTGCTATGTTGCCCAGGTTGTTCTCGAACTCCTGGGCTCAAGTGCTCCCCAAGCATTGGGATTACAGGTGTGAGCCACTACACTTGGCCTTAAAGGACTTTTGATATATTTTGTCAAACTGCTTTCCATTAAGTTTATACTTTCACCAGCAATGTATAAAATCTTTGTGTCACCTTATCCTCTCCCACAGTGAATAGATATTATAATTTAAAAACCTTGTTAATTTGATAGATTACAATCACACCCTGTTTTAGTTTTTATTTTCTTGATTGGTAATGAGATCGAATATTTTTCCAAATATCATTTATTTGCATTTGCATTTTTGTAAAATTTGAGGTCCTGTTTATCTGTTAAAAACCATTTATCAGTTGATTAATTCAATTGTTGATTTGCATACATTTTTAATGTCGCGAAGGAATTATCTTTGTCTTTAATATTTATTACGAATATGCTTTCCACAGACTCATTTCTTACCTTTCAGTGTTGATCAATTTTTTGGATGGGATGGGCAGGGCAGGTTTTACATTTTTTTATGGAGTATTTAAACTTACAAAGTTTTCTGTCATTCAGTGTCTGAAAAAATATTCAGATTTTTTTCTGGTTTTATTTAAAAATTAATTTCAATTTTTTTGCATGTAACTTTTTTTATACTTGGGAATTGAGTTTCTAACTTGATCATTTCCACTTGCTTTAGATAGTTCACCACCATTGGTTGGATAATGCTGCCTTTCCACCTGATTTGTAATCGTCTTTTATTGGGCCCTCAACTGTTACATGCACAAAGAAGGATAATTCTTCTGAGGTGTCTATTCTGTTTCAACGTTGTATCTGTACCGAATCATTGCCGCTTTATGTTAATTATAAGATGATATTGGTCCCCCCATTTATCGTCTTCCCTTCTCTTCCCCTCCCCTCCCCTTTTCTTTTTCTGTCTTCCCTTCTGCCCTTCCTCTTCTTTCCTTCTTCCCTTCTTCCTCCTTCCTTCCTTCTTTCTCTTTCCCTCCCTCCCTCCCTTCCTCCCTTTCCTTCCTTCCTTCCTTCCTTCTTTCCTTCCTCCCTCCCTCCCTTCCTTCCTCCCTCCCTCCCTCCCTTCCTTCCTTCCTTCCTTCCTTCCTTCCTTCCTTCCTTCCTTCCTGTTGCTATGCCTCTTTTTGGTCACACCTTCCATTTATTGGAATTCTTACTTTCGTTATTCTTTCAAAGATCAGTAACATTCCTAAAGGAAAGGTAAATAAATAATGTATTTTCAGAGATCTTGTTTTATATTTTTCCTTTGCCTTTATATATTTGGCTAACTATGGAAGGCCTTTGTTAGAATCTTTCCCCTGAATGCTATGGGCATTTGATATTGCTGTGTATGAATTGAGTTCATCCATCCATCCATCCATCCATCCATCCATTCATCCATCCATCCAGAATGAGCTACACAATATGTCGGGTCCAAAGAAAAATGAGAATGTGAGCTCCTTGCTCAACAATTATTAATAATTTCAATATGATAAACGAGGTTCATTAAACTAAAGGCAGGACTCTTCTGAATATAGGGCTCCATGTGACTGCATGAAGTCACCCGTGAAGTCAGCCTTGCATCCATCCATCCATTCATCCATGGATACCCATCCTGTGGATGCTTACTGAACACCCAGTATGTGTTGTGTGCTTTGAGGGAAAGAAACCTCAGTCTAGTGGAGGACACAGTTAGTGATGATGCAAGTGTGCACAGGATGCACAGAGGAGAGAGAACTCCACCAGACCCAGCTGCCAGAGACAGCTTTCTGGAGGAGGTGATATTTACACTGATGTGTCCAAAGCTTTTGCTCTGATTGATGTGGAGAGGCTTAGGAGGGTTTTGAACTCAAAAGGAGTGACATGCTCCAATTCAAGTGCTTTGTAAGGATGACTCTACTGCATGGAAGACGCACTGTGGAGGACAAGTGTAGAAGCAGTTAGGAAGCTATTGCAATGATCCAGGCAAGGGAAGATGGAAATGGCAACTTGGATATGTTTGGAGGTAGTGAGAAGTGGTCAGATCCTGAATATATTTTGAAGAAAGCACTGTTAAGATGTGTTGATGAAATGGATATGAGGTATAAGAGAAAGAGAGTAGTTAAGAATGACTTCCAGATTTTCCAATCTGATCAATTAGAAAAATGATGCCATTCACTGAGACAGGGAAGACTTGCAGGGGAACAGTTTGGGAGAGATGAAACATTCAATTTTGGATGCACTGTTTCTGATGCTTATTAAACAACCAAGTGGAGATGTTGTCCAGAGAGTTGGATGTACTATTCTAGATCTAGGTTTGGTTTACATGGGGGAAGAGTAGGGAGGGAAGAGGCTTTGCCTATGAGGTTGCTACAGAAGAGTAGAGAGGAAAGACCTTTTTGATAAAATGTTCTTGGTGACTGATTGGATGTGAAGAATAAGGAAGCAGATTCAGAAAATGAAACTGACCAGTCTTTAAGGCCCCTTTTCCCTAATCACGAGCCAAACAGGGGGATTGGATTTTGGAGTCATAGTTACTTCTTTTGGAAAGAGCTTGTCTTGGAACCGTTTCTTCTAGTTTAGATTCCTGTGGCAGATGGTGAAAGTAATTTCTTGATATTTGTTTGCGATGAAGAGAGAATGTGCTGTCACCGAAATGTTGAATTATTAATGATTGAGGAGGAAATGACTTCTTTCAGAAACACCAATTCTGAAGGCCTCTTAGATAGAGGCCAGATAGTAAATTACCTCTTTCAGTGACAGAACTAAAGAGTTGATGCAGATCGAAAAGGGATGTAGTGATTGCCATCTGTGGGTCCGGAATCAATGTAATATTTATGGGATTCAGCACATTTTAGAATCTCATCTTTGCTCATAGTATCCATTACTGCTATTACCTTTTAGTAGCTGTTTTACAAGAATCAGAAAGTACTGTAGAGACTGTCTGCCATTTATGGAAGAAGGCTGGGTACTCTAGAACCAATGGATTTAGAGTGGAAACAGAGCATTTCTGTTATCGAGGAAAGAGCTAAACGGGTCCCAGGTCACTCTGATCCAACCTTGGGAGACAGTGCTGCCTGTGTCTGGCTATCTTGTCCTAGGAGTGTTGGTGAATTATGCATGGAAAAAGTCATGTAGTTGTCTGGATTAGTCAATTTTCACACTGCTATAAAGATACTACCCGAGACTGCATTATTTATAAAGAAAGGAGGTTTAATTGACTCACAGTTCTGCATGGCTGGGAGGCCTCAGGAAACTTACATTCATGGTGGAAGCTGAAGGGGAAGCAAGGCACGTCTTACATGGAAGCAGGAGACAGAGAGAAGCAGGGAAGTGCCTGACATTTATCAGACAACCAGATCTTGTGAGAACTCACTCACTATCATGAGAACAGCAAGGGAGAAGTCCACCCCCATGATCGAATCACCTCCCACTAGGATCCTCCCTCGACTCGTGGGGATCACAATTTGAGATGAGATTTGGGTGGGGACACAGAGCCAAACTATATCATTGTCCCCTTTCAAAATTAAGAGAAATTTTTGCAGAGAAGGGAAATAGTGAGGAAGTGCACTTAAGTGGGACTTGCAACATGTGGTTCTGTCTTCAACACGAAATTCAATAAGGGGGAAGCGACCACAGAACCAACACATTTTCAAACAGTGTGGTAACCTGGTGAGTGTGTGTGTGTGCATGTGACAAGGTACTTATTTTATCCTGCTGTCAGTCATTCATTCACTTTTAAAGATGAGGTTATCTAAAGACGATTGCTGAGCTCTGAAATGAATTAAAACCCGTCTTATTTCCAGCCAGTGATTTAAATATTGTATAGCTCATTTATAATTGAATAAAATTGTGGTGGCTCTTTGTGGATTTTTGAAGTCATCTTCTCTAAGAAGCCTGTTTTGTTTTCTCTTTTTGAAATAAACATGAATTTGCATAAGAAGCAAGGAGTCTCTGAAAGAAATCAATAAAATTAACTGGAATTTGATTTCACATTTTGAATGCATTACATCTTTCTATTAGGGGAGATATAAGAGAAGCTGAGGCTCATAAAAAAGTGACCTACTTGAAGAAGATGAATATTTAAAATAAGAGCTTTAAAAATAATTTGCTTCGCATTGGTGGACCATAGCTCAAAATAACAGAAAGCCTAACAGAAAGACAGGTTTTTCAGGGATTGGGAAGGGCAGCTGGCACTGTCTTGAGGGCAATACTTGAAGTACCCAGGGTGGTTTGGAGTCTGAAAATCCGAGTTCAAGTTCTGGCACTGCTACTTAGTTTATTTGAGATATGTATTAGTCTGTTTTCACACTGCCGATAAAGTCATACCTGGGACTGGGTAATTTACAAAAGAAAGAAGTTTAATGGACTCATAGTTCCACGTGGCTAGGGAGGCCTCACAAACATGGCAGAAGGTGAAAGGCACGTTTCACATGGCGACAGACAAGAGAAGAGAGAGAAGAGAGTTTGTGCAGGGAGACTCCCCTTTATAAAATCACCAGATCTTGTGAGATTTACTCACTGTCACGACAATAGCACCGGAAAGATCTGCCCCCATGATTCAGTTATCTCCCACCGGGTCCCTCATGGGACACATGGGAATTATGGAAGCTACAATTCAAGATGAGTTTTGGGTGGGGACACAGCCAAACCATGTCAAGATACATGTTTTCGTTTTGACCCTTAAAACGATTTTCCTTTGTATTGCAAATGAAATTTGCTTTACTTGACGTTAATGTTGAAATTAAACCTGTTTAATTTCTATAGGTGCAGAATTGAACCGAGACTTTAGGAGTTCAGGTCAAGCTAGTTCCTTAGGTTTGAAGGGCTGAGTAGGTGGAGTATGTGACTATGTAAATAAACCTCCCTGACTGGGTGAGGCAGCGCCCTCTCTGGAGTCAGTGTGCAAGGATGTTAGTGAAAGCTGCTCTTTTTTTTTTCCTCCTTAAACTCTCTTCACCTCTTGTTTGCAAGGGCCCTCTGTAAATGGGTCATGTACCACGCAATGCATAAGTATTCAGAAAGGTGCTTCCTGCATGTCCTTCTGAAGAGCTGTGCTTTGCAGAGTTTTTGTGACTTCATCGTTCAAATGCAATGTGCACATCTGTTGATTTTTCTTTGCAAATGGACGTTGGCGCTCAATGTAGAGCAGCCTTGTAGCGCTAAAGGAAAGTTCTCTGTTCAGCTAAATACTGCGTGTGCTTGGGCAAGTAGTTCTGAATTTCCTCATGAATAACATGGAGAAAATGCCTATCAGATTTGTTCAGAAATCCACCTCTCTTTATTATTTACTTGGGCTTTAAGTTTTATTTTAAAAGAGTTTTATTGAGGTATAATTGACATACTAAAAACTGCACGTTTAAAGGGTACAATTTGATAAGCTTTGACATATGCATGCACCAGTGAAATCATCCGCATGATCAAGATAGTGACGCATCCATCACCCCCAAAAGACTGTGCCTCGACTCATCCGTCGTGTCTTCCTGTCCCTGCCATCCCTCTTTACTGAGGCAACCACTGATCTGCCTCCTGCCTCTACAGATAAGTTTGCCTCTTTCTAGAGTTTAACATACATGGAATAATATAGCACATATTCTTTTTTGTCTGACTTCTTTCACTCTGCATAATTGCAGTGTATCCATCGTTTATTTACTTTTATTACTAACTATATTCCATTATATGGCTATACCACAGTTTGTTTACCCATTCTCTTGTTGAGGGCCATGTGTATTGTCTCCAGATTGTAGCTATTTCCAGTGAAACTGTCATGTACTAAATAATCTTTGCATAGATATATGCTTTTTTTTTCCCCTAGGTAAACACCTAGATACCTAGGAGTGGAATGGCTAGATCTTTTAGTAAGTGTGTATTTAACTGTTTTTTTTAAAAGACAAAGTTTTGTTATGTCACTCAGGCTGGAGTACAGTGGCGTGACCATAGCTCACTGCAGCTCAAGTGATCCTTCCACCTCAGCCTCCCCAGTAGCTGGGACTACAGTTACACACAACCATGCCTGGCTAAGTACTTTTTTTTTTTTTTTTTTTTTTGGAGAGACAGGGTCTCTCTGTGTTGCCCAGGCTGTTCTCAAACTCCTGGCCTCAAGTGATTACCTCTCCTTGGCTTCCCAAAGTGCTGGGATTACAGACATGAACCACTGTGCCTGGCCTTTTCTTACTTTTGAAGAACTGTTTTTTCCGTTTTATATTCCCACCAGCCATATAGGCAAGTTCCAGTTCCTCCGAATCCTTGTCTAGACTTTTACATTTTAGCATTTTAATGTGTGTAGTGATAGCACTTTGTTCAAATTTCATGTCCCAGGTGACTAATGATGTTGATCGTATTTTTATGTGTTTATTTGTCATTTGTATAGCTTCTTCAGGAAATTTCCGTTCAAATCATTGCCCATTTTCTTTTTCTAGTTTTTCTTTTTTTGTTACTGAGTTTTGAGAGTTCTTTATGTATTCTAGGAGGAAGTACCTTATCAGATAGATGACTCACAAATATTTTCTCCTAATGTGTGCCTTGTCTTCTTATTCTCTTAATAGTGCCCTTCAGAGAGCTCAAGTGTTAAATTTTTCTATTCATTCTTTTATGGATCATACTTTTGGTATCATATCTAAAAATCTGTCTAAAACGCCTTGTCATGGAGGTGTTATTTTATGTTTTGTTTTATTATTTTTTTTGAGATGGAGTCTCACTCACTGTGTCGCTCAGGCTGGAGTGCCGTGGCGTGATCTTGGCTCACTGCAACCTCCACCTCCTGGGTTCAAGCGATTCTTGTGCCTCAGCCTCCAAGGAAGTTGGGATTACAGGCGTGCGCCACGATGCTCAGCTAATTTTTGTTTTTCCGTGTTGGCCAGGCTGGTCTTGAGCTACTGACCTCAGGGGATTCACCCTTTCCGGCCTCCTAAAGTGATGGGATTTCAGGCGTGAGTCACCTCACCCGGCTTCCTTTTATAAGTGTTATAGTTTTAGGTTTTACATTTATAACTGTGATCTATTTTCGTATATGATGCAAGCTATGGCTCGAAATGTATTTTTAAGTTTTTACATATAGATATCCAGTTGTTCCAGCACAAATTTCTTGTGCCTTTGTCAAAAATTTATTGTCCATGTATGTCTAGGTAGGGTTTTGGACTCTGTATTCTGTCCATTGCTGTGTTTGTCTGTATTTGCAGTGATACCACACTGCCTTGATTAGTTTTATAAGAAGTCTTGTAATCAGGTAATGCTGGTCCTCCAACTTTGTATTTTAACATTTTCTATATTTGGGCCGGGCGCGGTGGCTCATGCCTGTAATCCCACCACTTTGGGAGGCCGAGATGGGTGGATCACGAGGTCAGGATTTCAAGACCAGGCTGGCCAACATGGTGAAGCCCCGTCTCTACTAAAAATACAAAAATTAGCTGGGTGTGGTGGCGGGCGGCTGTAACCCCAGCTACTCAGGAGGCTGAGGCAGGAGAATCTTTTGAACCCCGGAGGCGGATGTTGCAGTGAACCGAGATCGCACCATTGCACTCCAGCCTGGGCAACAGGGTGAGACTCTATATCAAAAAAAAAAGAAAATTCTATATTTAAGGTGTACCGTAACATGACGTTTTTATATACTCATATATAGTGAATTAAATATTTAATACTATAGTCAAGCAAATTAACACATCCATCAGCTCACATAGTTACGTGTATGTGTGTGTGTGTGTGTGTGTGTGTGTGTGGTAAGAGCACCTAAAATCTACTCTCTTAGCAAGTTTCAAATATACAGTATTAATAACTTTTTTAAAAAGTTGTTTTGATTGCTTTAGGTCCTTTGCATTTCTGTGTGAATTTTGGGACCAGTTAATTTCTGCAGGTGGGGATAAACTCTACCTGTCCATCTTTTAAATGTATTGTTGAATTTGATTGCTGACATTTTGTTTAGAATGACTGTGTCTGTGTGTCCTCTGGCTGGTAGCGACAGAGGCTGTCCCTGGCCCTGTGAGAGTCCAGGCACTGTCACCTCTAATCCTTTGGGGTGGGTCCTTTCTCCCAGCCTGGGGTCTTGTTTTTCGTTCTGATGATGTGATCAGTATCCAGCTCACTGACTGAATGGGAACCACTACAGATCTCTGGAGTTCTCCCTCTGTGCAGCTTTCTCCTCCAAACTCCTTAGTCCTACAGATTCTATTAGGTTGTTGCAAAAGTAATTACGATTTTTGCACCCACCTAATAGCTGCCTCGATCTCCTTGCAATCCTCATCTCTATCTGCTCAGCTCAGGGAGTCCGCCAGCATCCCCCCTAGGCTCTCTTTTCCTACCGTGCATCCTGGGAACCCTCTCAAGGTAGTGGCCTCACATCATTTCTTTCTGTCTCTTGGGGATAACTGTGCTTTGTGGCCTAATAGCCAGTGTCTTCAGAAGTGTTCTTTTGAGTATTTTGTCTGTTACTTCAGTGGTTTCAGCGGGAAAAGCCAGTGTGGTCTCTGTTTCTCCGTCTTGGTTCGATGTGGAAGTCACTGAATTGAATTTTTACATAATGGGTTTTTATATAGTTTGCTGCACTATATTTATTTATTTGAGACAGGGTCTCACACTGTTGCTCAGGCTAGAGTACAGTGGCGTGATCATGGCTCACTGCAGCCTTGACATCTTGGGCTCAAGTGATCCTCCCACCTCAGCCTCCAGAGTAGCTGGAACTACAGGTGCATGCCATCACGCCTGGCTAATTTTGCTATTATTTGTAGAGACGGGGTTTCACCATGTTGTCCAGGCTGGTCTCAAACTCCTGGGCTCAAGTGATAAGCCCACCTTGGCCTTCTGAAGTGCTGAGATTACAGGCATGAGCCATTGCCCCCAGCCTTGGTGTACTTTTAGATTGGATTGTTGCCCTACACTTTTTGTATGTGAGTGCAAGTTGTGTCCTACCAGAGTCCCTTTCTTAGTATTAAATTGATAACACTTTATCTTACCTTCATCATTTTTTTTTTTTTAGATGGGGTCTTGCTATGCTGTCAAGGCTGGTCTCAAACTCCTGGGATCAAGTGATCCTTTCACCTCATCCTCCACATAGCTGGGACTACAGATGCCAGCCACTGTGTCTGGATCTATTGTTTGTCTCTGTCATTTGACTGTCTTGTCCTTGAGGATTGTGGCTGAGTCTTATTTACATCTTGCCTTGATAGTGAATGTTGTGTAATGAATGAATGAATGAAAGTGAATGAATATTTTCACTTCCATAAGAATATCCAGGATGCTGTTTTTTTCCTCCCCCTTCAAAGATGTAGATCGAGAAGGGATATGTTCAGTTTAAAAGTTGAAGCTTTATTTTTTATTATTTATTTATTTATTTATTTATTTGAGACAGAGTCTCACTCTGTCACCCAGGCTGTAGAGCAGTGGTGCCATCTCGGCTCACCGCAACCTCTGCCTCCCGGGTTCGAGCGATTCTCCTGCTTCAGCTTCCTGAGTAGCTGTGATTACAGGCACATGCGATCACCCCTGGCTAATTTTTGTATTTTTAGTAGAGACGGGGTTTCACTATGTTGGCTAGGCTGGTTTTGAACTCCTGACCTCAGGAGATCCTCCCACCTCGGCCTCCCAAAGTGCTGGGATTACAGGCATGAGTCACTGCACCTGGCCTGAAGCTTTATTTAAAAAGTAGCTTATTTTGAATTTTGAGTGTGTGTGTACATGTGTGTTTGTCCTGATAAGGGATGCTTGATATTTTAACACTGGCAAAGGGATGGCTGATTGGGAGTTAAATTGCCCCCCAAATAATTCAAGGTGTATTATACATTTCTCCCAAGGAGATACAGATCTGGGGTCATATGATTTCGAACTTTGCTTTTTAATGAAAGTTGATTAAACAAATGCCATTTTACTTTATAGCTATTTTAAATAACCTGTGCTGTTTAGTTCTTTTTTTTCCCTGTTTTTCATCTTTATTGCTAGGTAGGTCAGAGGCAGAATTTCCCAAACATGTGATTAGTAGGACACCTCTCTGGGAATTTTTTTTTCCCTTAAGGTGACTTAAAATGAGTTTGAGGAAGAAACAGGACAAGGGTAAAAATTTAAAAGAAGCCGTATATCTCTGAATAATTCTTTTAGAAAGATAATTTAAGTCTCGTTAGAAATCTTTGATTTCCAATTACTCAAAAGTGGATGTGCTCAATATCAGTGTTGTTCAGTTTTCTGTGCTTTGTGAAGTTAGCTATTATAGAATGTAAAACGTAAAATGCTTGGGCATGTTGGCCCACACCTGTAATCCCAGTGCTCTGGGAGGCCAAGGCGAGGGAATTGCTTGAGGCCAGGAGTTCAAGACCAGCCTGAGCAACATAGTGAGACACTCCCCCATAAAAAAATTAAAAATAAAAATTAGCCAGGAGTAGCTGTTACTGGGGACGATGAGGCGGGAAGATGGCTTGAGCCTGGCAGTTCAGTGTTGCAGTCAGCTATGATTGCACCACTGCACTCTAGCCTGGGCAACAGAGCAAGACCCTGTCTCCAAAAACCAAAACAAAACAAAAGAAGAATATGAAACGTAAAACAAATGTAGACAAATGTGTATCCCACCGTAATGGAATTTGTTGTGTAGTGCCAAAGGATTTTTATATTCTGAAGTTTCTGTGCTATTTACTTTTGCTTTATTTACAGAAGATTCTGGGATGTTGCCAAGGATAACTAGGAATTGCTTGTAACTATATTGGAAATACACACGATGAGGTTGAATGTGGAAATGCAGCTGCATGTGTTGTAAATCAGTCCTAGAGCTGCTGCTGGGCTTGGTGATAGCTTTTCTTTAACTAACTTCGGTGATCACATTTGTAAAGAGATGGGCAATATCATGAAGAATGGAGGGTTACAAATTTCTGAACAACTTGAGTGAAAGTTTCTAGAGTGTTTTCCTTGACTATTTTTGACTTTCCGTCGTTTGAGATTTACTTTCCAGAAAGGATGCACCCTCCCACCCCCAGCCCACCTATCCAATCTTCAGGATTAATTCTTTTCAGCTCTTGGGTTACCTGGGGGTGGTAATGTGAGAGGGATTTTATGGAAGGGAATTAAGGAATAGGTGGAAGAAAACCACATAGGACAGATGGGAAACAGAATATATGAAGAATATGAGAGGAGGGCGAAGAAGTGAGAAGGAGAAGTTAAGGTGTGTGTGTTCATCATAACTATGGATGAGGCTGGGTGCAGTGGCTCACGCTTGTAATCCCAGCACTTTGAGAGGCCAAGGTGGGAGGATTGCTTGAGCTCAGGAGTTGGAGACTAGCTGGGGCAACATAGTGAGACCCCATCTCTACAAAAAATGAACCAGGCATGGTATGTGCACCTGCGGACCCAGCTACTCAGGAGACTGAGACAGGAGGATTGCTTGAGCCCAGAAGTTCAAGGCTGCAGTGAGTTATGATCTCACCACCACTGTATTGCAGCCCGGGTGACAGACACTCTGTCTTAAAAAAAAAAAGAAAAAAAAAAAAGAACTATGGATGAAGCTAGCTAGACTTAGGAACAGACTCTAAGAACCCTGAAATAAACCTTTTCTGTCTCTAATGTGATCTGTGATGTTTGGTTATCCCCAGAGCAATGGATAGAGGCCATCACAACTGCTCAGTCCAGAAGACACCGTAAGGACCACTCCTGTGGAGTGGGAGCTACCAGGGCAAGAGTTTATCACCAACAGTGCCTTGGACCTAATAGTAACTTCATAAATGTTTACTGGATAGATATAAGTCCCCTAGCCTTGGAATTGCTCTGAAACCCAGGATTTCTTAATAAATGAAGTAATCTGATAACTGAGATAAGCAGTTTTGGGTGGCTTTGAAATGTCCTCATACTCCTGTTTGCTTTGAAATGGGACTTTTGAAATGAGGTGTTGTTCTGTCCCAAAGGAGAGAAGAGAGACTGTGGAAGAACTGATGACAGGAACAGCAAAACTGAGAGAAGGAAAATGGGGCCAGGAGAGGAGCAGATGCTAGAATGGGGTTTGGGTTTTCTTGGCACTCCAAAGCTCCTGTATATTTATTGCTATCCTGATTATGATTGCTCGGTTTTAAGAAGGTAGAAGTCTTTTCTGGCTGTAAGCCTACCTGTCTCAACACAATGTAGCTGCTGGACGCTGGCCCTGGACACTGACATGCCTGTTCCAGGAGAACCTGGAGGGGTGTTATATATTGATTTGGTTGTTTCTTTGAGTCTCAGATGCGGAAGTGCACTGGGGACCCTCAGGGACCGTCAGGGTTTGGCAGAATGGTTCTACATGTGCACCCTGGTATCTCCAGCCATGTCAGTGTGAATGAAGACAGAGATTTTGTACTCTTGGGGTCATAGCGTGACTGGAGGCTGCATCTCTTGGGCTGTGCATATTGTGATAAGGTGATGGGTATTGTTGCTTACTGGGAGGAGAAAGTATTAGTTTACTTATGACTTTTAATATTAGTTTAGTGGTGATTTCTAATATTACTGTCTTTCTTATTAAAAGCAAGCCACTCAATGGTCGGGTGTGGTTCATGTCTGTATTCCCAGCACTTTGGGAGGCTGAGGCAGGCAGATCATTTGAAGTCAGGAATTCGAGACCAGCCTGGCCAACATGGCAAAAACCCATCTCTACTAAAAATACAAAAATTAGCTGGGCATGGCGGTGCACACTTGTAATCCCAGCTACTCAGGAGGCTGAGGCAGGAGGATCGCTTGAACCTGGGAGGCGGAGGTTGCAGTGAGCTGAGATTGTGCCACTGCACTCCAGCTTGTGCGATAGGGCGAGACTCTGTCTCAAAAATAAATAAATAAATAAATAATAAATAGAAGTAAGCCACTCAAGCTCAGGGTATTTTTTTTCCCTATTTTGTTCACATTATGTCCTTAATATCAGAGCAGTACTTGGCACAGAGTAAGCATTCAATAAATGCAGTTGAATGCATGAGTCTGTTGAATATATGAGTGCACTGAATGGGAGGTCAGGAGAGAAAACTGGGAAGAGGAGGACTAAATACACTTGTGTCTGAACCAACTTCTTCTGTTTCCACTGTTTTCTTGGAGGCGACTCAAGAGATTCTTCAGTTCCCTGGCACAGTGCCAGGCATGGAGTTGACAAGGACGGGTAAAGCCCTTGAGGGGCTCATAGACAGGAGAGGGTTTGGGATACGTAACCCATAGCCTCTCAGAGTGCTACTGTGGGCTCTGCTCCAGGTGCCCGGGGAGTCCTGGCAGATCTCCAGGGTCAGGGAGGCCTCAGAGGAAGGGACATCTGAGCTGAGTGTTGATACCTTCATAGGTTAGCGGAGAAAGAAGCCGGGGGGAGTTCCTCTAAGCAGAGGCCATGACCGCACATTGGCACTGGGGTGTGAGATGTCAGGGGTCTGCACATGGTTAGGCCGGCCTGGGGCTCTGGGGACCTGTGGGGAAGGTGGTTCTGACAGCAGAAGCCAAATGAAGAAGAGGCTGGTGTGTGTCTCACGTGTCCGTGTGAAGAGACCACTAAACAGGCTTTGTGTGAGCAACATGGCTGTTTATTTCATCTGGGTGCAGGCCGGCTGAGTCCCAAAAGAGAGTCAGCAAAGCGTGGTGGGTTATCATTAATTCTTATAGGTTTCGGGATGGGCGGTGGAGTTAGGAGCAATGTTTTGCGGGCAGGGGATGGATCTCACAAAGTACATTCTCAAGGGTGGGGAGAATTACAAAGAACCTTCTTAAGGGTGGGGGAGATTACAAAGTGCATTGATCAGTTAGGGTGGGGCAGAAACAAATCACAATGGTGGAATGTCATCAGTTAAGGCTATTTTCACTTTTGTGGATCTTCAGTTGCTTCAGGCGATCTGGATGTAGACGTGTAGGTCACAGGGGATATGATGGCTTAGCGTGGGCTCAGAGGCCTGACATTGTGTCTTGCTTAGGAATTTGGGTTTCTGTCTTTGGGGAGCGATGGAAGGTTTATTTCCACTTTTGAAAACTTTTTAAATGAAAAATTTCAAACATGCATACAAGTAGGAAGGACCATATTGATATCAATGAGCTCAACCCCTAGATTCTACAATTAATGTTTTGCCATGTTTGCTTATCCTTCTTTCTATTCTATCTATATCTATCTATCTATCCATCAGTCTGTCTGTCCGTCCATTCATCCATCCATCAGTCTATCTGTCCATCCATTCTTCTTTCTTTCTTCCTTTCTTCCTTTCCATCTATCCATCCGTCTATCTATCCCTCCATCCATCCATCCCTCCATCACTGTCTGTCCACACTTCCATCCATCTGTCCATCCATCAGTCTATCTGTCTATCCATTCATCTATCTATTATCTATCTGTCTCAATTATCTATCATCTGTCCCTATCATTTATCTATTTGTCTGTCTTTGTCATCTACCTATATCTATTTATTTCTATCATCTGTCAATCTGTTATCTATTCTCTATCTGTATCATCTATCTATCTTATCTATCTATCATCTATCTGTCTGTCTATCAAATATCTTATCTACTATCTGTAAGAGTTTATGCAGGGGAGTGACTTGTGTCTTAGAGGGTCCCTCTGGGAGGAACATGGAGGATGAAATAAAGAAGGAAGGGAATGGAGTTTGGGAAGACTCACTGAGAGTCTCTTGAAATTGTTGGGATGAGAGGCGGTGGTGGCCTGAACTAAAATTTGGCAACTGGGCTGGAGAATGGAGGGCTCAGAGATATTTGTGGGGGTATTCTAGTGATTATGTCTCTGTAACAGATTGTCCAAAAACTTAATAACTTAAAATAATGACAACAGGCTAGGCATGGTGGTGCACGCCTGTAGTCCCAGCTACTCAGAAGGCTAAGGCAGGAGGAATGCTTGAGTCCAGGGGTTCAAGGCTGCAATGAGCCATGTTTGTGCCACTACCCTCCAGCCTGGACAACAGAGTGAGACACTATCTCAAAAAAAGAGACAATGTTTATTTTTCTTACAAATCTTCAATTTGGACAGAGCTTGGCAAGATGACTCTGTTTCTGGTCTACTGGATATCACTTGTAATGGCTCAAATGTGGAGGTCTGTAGTCATTTGAAGCCTGTCACTCCCATCTGGCTGGTTAATGCTGGCTTTCAGCAAGGATCTTATTTGGAGCACCTACGTGTGGCCTCGACATGTGGCCTGGGATCCTTCACAACATGGTGTCTGGATTATGAGGGCGAGTGGGGAGGAGGAGAGAGAGAATGAGAACACCAAGCAGAACAATACTGAATTTTAGGATGTAGCCTCTGAAGTCCCCATATACCGCCGCTGTCGCCCCGTTCTGTTCATCAAGCCAGGCACAAGTTCAGGAGGAGGAAAGATTATCTCCTCCTCTTGACGGGGTGTGGCAAGATCTCAAAATATTGCTGTGGCCATTTTTGGAAAACCCTGCCCGTCCAGGGGCTAAAGTGGCAGGATTTAATTGTTGGATGTGAGCAATGAGAAAGAGCAAAAAATCTGACCTGACACTCAGTTTGGATTCGTGTCTCCATGGCGGGGAGGCATTCACAGAGAGGGCAGTGTGAGTGGCAGGACAGGAAAAGGGAATGAGGAGGATGGAGTTAGATTTGGGGTCCCATTGATTTGTTGGGAAATACTGCATCAGGATGGGTTCATGAACTACAAACCCACAGAGGTAGCTTCTTCTTGGAACAGACAACCATGTTTCCTAGTTTTTGGACAACTTTGAGCCGAATAGGGTTTGCTAGCCTCCCTGGGTCCCTATAGGAGGCTGTTGTGTACTCTGAACCTGAGTGGAGGTGGCAGGTGTTTGATGTGTCCCCAAGCCTGCTGGGGATAATGTGGCCTTCAGTATTTGCTTCCCTCCGTGGAGCTGGAGCAGCTAGGGAGGATGCAACATTCGTTGATTTCATCTAGCAGGCATTTATTTGAGCACTTACGGTATGCTGGAACCTAAAAGAATTTGAATGTGCATTAAATGCCATGCCTGCCCTAAAGAGCTTTGTCTCTAGAAGCGGAGAGGATGCTTGAGGTTGCATGCTCATGCTAAGCTGTGAATGTAGTTACTAAAAGGACAGAGCTTCGAGCAGGGGCAGATGTAATATGCACTTGCTGGGCTTTTTCCTTGCCTCTGGGTTCTCCATGGAGTGCGCTGTTGCTGGTGTCTCTTCTGGAGCATGTAGGGGCCTGTCGGAGAGCGGGGCCAAGCTACTGTCCTCATATGTTCGAGGACATTTACAGACACTGATCTCTCTTGGTATCCAAATCAAACTCAGCATTAACAGGCTAGTTTCCCTCCCTAACCTCCCCTTCCACCTTGGGGAATAGGACAGAGCCATATGTCCTTGATCAATATCTCTGTCTCCAGTCACTCAGGGTCTTAGAAAGCCTGCTCCCCGGGAACCCCATCCCACTCTATCCCTCACTCTTCGCTTCCCATGTCTGGACTCTGATTTAGTACCATTTTCCCTGGGTGGTCCTGATACTCAGTTTATTTGAAAACCATGGCTGAAAATCTGATTCCTTGTAGCTTGTACTCAAACAACAATTCAAGTTAGAAAGCATTGAAATACCGAGACAGTTTCAGAGAGGCTCAAGGAAGCCCTTCTGCCTGGGGAGAAGGGGGAAAGTATCAGGGCATTAGAGCTGCACTCTGAATGTTAGGTAGAGTTGGACATACAGAGATGATGGAGATGATGGAAAAGACGTTCCAGTTAGAGGGCCAGCATGGAAAAAAAGCAAGGGACATGACAGAGTTGTTTTTTTAAAATTAATTTTACCAACGAGTTGCTCATATGAGCATGCATATAGCTTGTGTCACGTTATTTACTTTTATGTCTTAAAATTATTTTGTTATTTCAGCCTGCATATATGAAGACATTTACTTTTATCAAGAAACTGGAGTATAGCTATCCAAAATCAATCTAGAGACTATAATCTATATATATTTATGTTAAAAGGAAGGTAGGGGTTGCTTGCCTGATGATTTAGGTAACCTTCTAAATGTGTATATTTTTCCTGTGGCCCTGTCTTTAATTCAGAGACCACTGTATACATTTTATGTCCATTGGTATTCACTCCCTCCTGTATACCTGAGATACCATCTAGAGTCATTTCCTTTCTGGCTGAAGAAATTCCTTTAGAATTCCTTGTAGTGTGGGTCTGCTTATAATAAATTCTCTAATTTTCTTTATTTGAAAATGTTTATGTTTCATTTTCATTTTTGAAGAAAGTTTTGCTATATACAGAATTCTGGGTTGACAGTTTTTAAAAATTCTCCACTTTAAAGATATCATTCTGTAGTCTTTTGGTCTCCATGGCTTCTGATAAGTTCATTATCATTTGTATTATTGTTCCCCTGCATGTGATTTGTCATTTTTTTCTGGCTGTTTTCAAGATTTTAACTTTGTATTTTAGCAGTTTTCCTAGAGGTAGTTTTCTTTCTATTTATCCCTGCTTGGGTTTTGGTGATTTTCTTGAATCTATATTTTTGTCTTTCACTAAATCTGTAAGTTGTAGGCCTATTTCTTCACGTCTTTTCTGCCTTATTCTCTCTCTCCTTTCCTCTGAGACTCTAAATATAAGTGTATTGAATGGACTGATATTGTCCCACAGGTCTGGGAGGCTCTGTTCTATTTTTTAAGTCTTTTTTTCTTCACTGCTTTTCAGATTGGATGGTTTCTGTTGATCTGTCTTGAAGTTCCCAGATGCTTCTGCTATCTTTGATATGCTGTTAATCTCATTCCAGTTAGTGTATATTTTACTTCTAGATGATTCTGTTTTCACAGTTTCTGATTTGGGGGTTAGATTCCCCATCTGTTCATTCATTGTGTATATATTTTTCATTTAAAATTCTTGGACGTATGTATAATAGCTGCCTTATAGTTCTTATCTACTCATTTCAACATCTGGATCATCCTTGGGTTGATTTTTTTTAAATGAATTTTTTCCTTGAGTTCAGATTATATTTTTTCATTTCATCACCTGTCTAGTGATTTTTGATCAATTCCTGGACACTATTAAGTATATGTTGTGGAGACTCTGGATCCTGCTATATTCCTTTCAATGGATTTTTATCTAACAGAGAGTTAACTTGGCTGGGCTCAGACTTCAAACTTGATCCTTTGGGCTAGCTAATGTGAAAGGAAAATACCCTGGGTCCCCAAAATCCCTAAGGGAAAGGGAAACGTCAAGCTGGGAACTGCTTAGAGCAAGCCTGCCTCCCATTTATTCAAAGTCACCCCTCTGCTCATTGAGATAAATGCATATCTGATCGCCTCCTTTGGAAAGGTGAATCAGAAACTCAAAAGAATGCAACCATTTGTGTCTTATCTACCTATGACCTGGTAGCCTCCTCCATGCTTTGAGTTGTCCTGCCTTTCCGGACTGAACCAATGTTCATCTTACATATGTTGATTGATGTCTCATGTCTCCCTAAAATGTATAAAACCAAACTGTGCTCTGACCACCTTGGGCACATGTCATCAGGACCTCCTGAGGCTGTGTCACAGGCATGCATCCTCAACTTTGGCAGAATAAACTTTCTAAATAAACTGAGACCTGTCTCAAATTTTTGAGGTTCACACCAGGCAGCAGCTGACATCTCCACTCTTTCTTTCAGCTTCCAGCTGCTGCTTTTTCACCATACTCCTGTGGTTTCTCACATCCTAGGCTCTTGGTGAGCCAAGGATTTGCATGGATTTCATACACAGATTTTGTGGGCTTGCACCATCTGCAGAGGCCTGCCTACCAGGGTTCCACCTCTGACTTTCTGGCTGTTCTTCTAGCCCCCAAGTTTTTTTCTGATACATCAAGCCAGTTACAGTTCTGGATCTCAGGCAAAAGACTGCTACACACTCAGAAATCTTAACTTCCTCAGTTGTCTTTCAAGGATACTCCTGTCTACTTTCTGCCTGCTTTTCATCACTCTCTGGACCCTTAAATAAGTTCATTAAAGAAAATATTTTGTTCAAATTTGATAATTGTTACTTGCAGGAGGTTTGGTATATACAAGCTACTCTGACAATACTGGACACCAGAGCCAAATATGAGATTTTGTTGTTTAAATAGCTTTATTGAGGTATAATTGATATAAAAAACTGTACTTATTTAAAGCATACAATTTGTTGTTTTAATGTATGTTTACACCTTGAAGCCTTTGCTATAATCAAGACAACAATGAGTATTTTTTTTCTTACTTTTTTTTTGAGATGGAGTGTCGCTCTGTCGCCCAGGCTGGAGTGTAATGGTGTGATCTCAGCTCAGTGCAACCTCTGCCTCCCGGGTTCAGTCGATTCTCCTGCCTCAGCCTCCGTAGTAGCTGGGACTACTGGTGCATGCCGCCACACCTGGCTAATTTTTTGTATTTTAGTAGAGACGGGGTTTCACTCCCACCCAGGCTGTTCTCAAACTCCTGAGCTCAGGAAATCCAAGGCCTGACTCAGCCTCCCAAAGTGCTAGGATTACAGGCGTGAACCACCGCACCCAGCTAATGAGTTTTTGAGTTTTATTAAGAAGTCACGTGCAGATGAATGGTGGGAAAGAAGGCTCCTTCACGTTGACCTCCTGCTTTCTATTTCACAGATTGCTCTCAAATGCAGTCTCTCATTTTGATCTTCAAGATGCCCTTGGGAATGTGGTCATTCTTAATATCACCCTTCTGCAGATGAAAAACTGAGGTGGACGTATTAAATGGCTTGCCCTTTTCATGTTACCTTACACCACTAGACACCTGGGGAGATGGATACGCTGTCATCCACAGCTTTAGGAGTTGTATTTCAGCTGGGAGACAAAAGTTCTCAGAGCTGGGGCAAATCAGTTTGGGGTGGAGAAGTTCAAGCTCATGAAAGCTGAGTGATGGCATTTGGATGGTGTGCATGAGAAGGGAAGGGCTTGGGGAAGAACAGAGGCCAAGAACTCAGTTTGGGAAGCAGGTGTGACAAGCTAGGTATTATATAATGTGATGAACACGGTCATTGTGGAAATATTAGGTTGGTGCACAAGTAATTGCAGTTTTGACAATAAAAGTCATGGCCAGGCCAGGTGCGGTGGCTCACTCCTGTAATCCCGGCACTTTGGGAGGCCGAGGCAGGCGGATCACTTGAGGCCAGGAGTTCGAGACCAGCCTGGCCAATATGGCAAAACCTGTCTCTACTAAAAACACAAAAAATTAACCGAGTGTGGTGGTGGACACCTATAGTCCCAGCTACTTGGGAGGTTGAGGCAGGAGAATAGCTTGAACCCAGGAGGCATAGGTTACAGTGAGCCGAGATCACACCACTACACTCCAGCCTGGGCGACAGAGCAAGACTCGTCTTAAAAAAAAAAAAAAAGTAATGGCTTAAAACCGCAATTATTTGTGCACCAACCTAATATTAATAGACAGGAAAACAGATACTGGAGCCCTTTCAAAAGAGGAACTGAGAGGAAATAGGAGTCTGGATATAGGACAGAAAAGAAAAGGGAGGGTCAAGGGTAACCTTTCTTTTCATTCTTGACCCCAGGGCCTTTCACTGATCCTGATACATAGTAGTTTGTAAATGTTAGCTGAAACAAATTAGCTGGTGATGAGAAGGATGAAGGGGTGATATTTGCTTATGGACCATTAAGTTGACACTACTTGAGTATGCATCAGAATCACCTTGATGGGGGCTGGGCACGGTGGCTCATGCCTGTAATTCTAGCACTTTGGGAGGCCAAGGAAGGAGGATGACTGGAGGCCAGGAGTTCAAAACCAGCCCTAGGTAACTTAGCAAGATCCCATCCCTATAAAAAAGTAAAAATAAAAAAAATTAGCCAGACATGGTGGCACACACCTATAGTCCCAGCTACTCAGGAGGCTGAGGCAGGAGGATCGCTTGAACCCAGGAGTTGAAGGCTACAGTGATCTGTGATGGCACCATTGCACTCCAGCCTGGGTGACAGAATGAGACCCTGACTCTTAAAAGGAAAAAAAAAAGGCTGGCGCGGTGGCTCATGCCTGTAGTCCCAGCACTTTGGGAGGCCAAGGCGGGCGGATCACCGGAGGTTGGGCGTTCAAGACCAGCCTGACCAATATGGAGAAACTCCGTCTCTACTAAAAATACAAAATTAGCTGGGCGTGGTGGCGCATGCCTGTAGTCTCAGCTACTCGGGAGGCTGAGGCAGAAGAATCACTTGAACCCCAGAGGAGGAGGTTGCAGTGAGCCAAGATAGCACTATTGCACTCCAGCCTGGGCATCAAGAGCGAAACTCCATCTAAAAAAAATAAATAAATAAGAGAGAGAATCACTAGTTGGCACTTTGTGGGTGCTATCTGAGTTTCTGGTTCAGTAAGAGGTGGAGACGTGAGACATCAATCAGTCATCTCAGACTTCCAGTTTCCAGGACTGTGAGAAGAAGATACATTTATACATTTCTGTTGTTGCATCTTGATTAAGAGCAAACACTGACATGTCCTGTGGACGCTGCTGGCCCAGGGCTGGACTTGGAGATCCAGTTGCACAAAGTCATGAGAACCTTTTTGAATTCTGCTGCTTCACCTTTATGCTCCAGGCCGTGTAGGAGTATTTTTCTCCTAGTCTTGTCTACTGGAGCTGACAGTTAGAGAGGTGTCCTTGGGATCATTAATCAGCATTTAACATTTGTAGGCAATCTAGTTTATTACTTTGCTTAAACTCTGGAGCTCAGAGTCTTGTTTCTGAAGTCTCTCAGGTAACATTTTGAGAACACTGCATGTTCTGCCACAAATTCTTCACAAGCAGACGAGGAGGCTTTCCAAATGTTACAGCAGATCTTGTGTCCTGGGGAGGGCAGAGCTGGCCGGCTCCAGCAGCTGACAGACTGGGGAGGACTTCTGGGATTACGTTATGCTCATTTGCTAACCTGCAAAATTATGACTGCATGTATGATGGGGTAGGGCACTCTGGTCATCTTGCCCATTTGTCAGAGTCTTCCCAGGCTGCTGTTTGGACTCAAAAGAAAAGAATCTTTCTCTGTTCATGAACCACTTAAAGTTTTCAGGCTTTGCAAGCTGGCCCTTTGGATGCAGAGGGCAATTGTTTCTTAGAACAGACCGTGTACATTTCATGCCAGAGCACTGCAGGGCTGCTGGGGCATTGTGGACCTTGCGGAGTTTTGTGATTCTTTGATGATTTCATGACCCAGATGTGCAGAGTGAAAGGGGCTTTTTCAATGGAGCATCAGTACAAGGCGGAAACTGTGCCAGAGATGAGAGTGACCCGGTTGCCTTTTTTTTTCTTAAGTAATCGAGCCTAGTGCTTGGGGGCACATTCACTGTCTAGCTGGGCATTTCACGATTTCACCCACCTGGTACTAGGCAGCTGATGGCTTTGCTGTCTTCATACATTTCTTCCCAGTGTAGCTCTTGAAGACAGAAGGAATCACTCCTGAGCAGAGCCCACTGATCTTGGCCTGGTGTGCTATTTGGACACACAATTGCTGTCTTCCCCCAGTTCCTTCCACTCCATTCAAAGGCTCCCACTCTCGCATTTTTGAGGTCAAGGGACTTCCTGGGGGTATTGAATTCCTCCCACGTCAAAGAGTGTTCCTGTTAAGATGGTTCCCCCAGGTAAGAGTTGATTCCAGATATTGCTCGCCAAGACCCTGAGGTCAGACGCCTTGGAGAATTCCCCATGGAGATCCCCCGAGCCAGAAATCCAGTGTCTGTTCCCTTTCTGTAAAAACCAACACACATTGCGCCTGTAATCCCAGCACTTTGGTAGGCCAAGATGGGTGGATCACCTGAGGTCAGGAGTTCAAGACCAGCCTGGGCAACATGGTGAAACCCCCACTGTACGAAAAATAACAAAAATTAGCTGGGCGTGATGGCGGGTGCCTGTAATCCCAGCTACTTGAGGCAGGAGAATCGCGTGAACCCGGTAGGCAGAGGTTGGAGTGAGCCAAGATTGTGCCATTGCACTCCAGCCTGGGCAACAAGAGCAAGACTCCATCTCAAAAAAAAAAAATCAACACACAAAGCAGCAGCAGGGACAACCACATCTTCACTAAGAGCTACTGTGAGTTACAGACCGAATTGTCTCCCCACAAATTCATATGAAGTCCTAACCTCCAGCACCTCCCTCAAAATACAACCCTATTGGGAGATACGGTCGTTAACGAGGTAATTAAATGAAAATGAAGGTGTCCTTATAAAAAGAGGAGATTAGGACACAGACACACACAGAAGATTATGAAAGGCAATGGAAGAAGGCGGCCATCTACAAACCAAGAGAGACTGACCTCAAAAGAAATCAACCCCGCTGACACCTTCATCTCGGACTTCCAGTTTCCAGGACTGTGAGAAGATACATTTCTGTTGTTCAAGCCACACAGCTTTGTGGCATTACTCCACGGCAGCCCTAGTGGAGTAATGCACAGTGTCATGGTGATGGAGTAACCTAAATACTCCAACCACTCGATGATTTGATCTCTGCTAGCTTGAGTGCTGGGGCCAAATTACACTGGCCTCTCCAGCTCTGCTCTCCTGACCTTTCTAGAAAGCTTATCATCAGAGCCCATCTGCTGGCTGATGTCTTCACCAACACACACTTTACTGCAGGTAAATCCTCCCCATCTTGAGCTCAGGCATCTAAGAGCCTTATCCTCTTAAGATAGGCTCTGTTGAGTTAGAAACTGCCCCGCTGACTGAAATCGCCAGCTCCCTGGCCCAGCTCTTAGACTTCCCTTCCTCTCTCCCAAGGTGGGAAATAGCTTGTTACTTGGAATGGGCCGTGCACTTTTTGCCCTTCTTGGGTTTACTGTATGACAGGTATTATTAAAGACCCATGTTACATTAGCCCCTGTGTAACCATACCTGCAAGTGCTGTGTCAGTTGCATTAGCTGGAATTCTAAATTGACTGTTAGAACAGCACTAAAAATAATGTGGTAAATGATGGAGTTTTAGGGCAGTGTATAAGACTTCTGGATGTGGAGGCAGCCTGCTGCACAAGCCCTGTGAGCTGGGGGCATTCTCTAACCCACCCTCCCTCCCTCCCTTCCTCACTTCCTTCCTTCCTTCCTTCCTTCCTTCCTTCCTTCCTTCCTTCCTTCCTTCCTTCCTTCTTCCTTCCCTCCCTCCCTCCTTCCTTCCTTCCTCTTCTCTTCCTCCCCCTCCTCCTCCTCCTTCTGCTTCTTTTTCTCCTCCTCCTTCCTTCTTCTCCCTTCTTCCTCCCCTGCCCTCGCCTCCCTTCCCCTCTCCTCCCCTCCCGTCCCCTCCCCTTCCTTCCTCTCTGTCCCCTCCTTCCTCTCTCTGTCTCTCTCTGTCTGTCTGTCTCTCTCTCTTTCTTCAGACAGGGTCTCTCTCTGCCTCCCAGGCTGGAGTACAATGGTCTCATCACGGCTCACTGCAGCCTTGACTTCTCGGGCTCAGGTGATCCCCCCACCTCAGCCTCCCAAGTAGCTGGGACTACAGGCACATGCCACCATGCCTTGCTAATTTTTTTTTTATAGAGACAAGGCCTCTGTTGGTCAGGCAGGTCTTGAACTCCTGGGTCCAAGAAATCCTCCTGCCTTGGCCTCCCAAAGTGCTGCGATTACAGGCATGAGCCCCCATACCTGCCCCATTCTCTAATTTTCGTTTCTTTTCTTTTTTTTTTTTTTTTTTGAGACGGAGTCTGGCTCTGTCGCCCAGGCTGGAGTTGGCTCACTGCAAGCTCCGCCTCCTGGGTTCACGCCATTCTCCTGCCTCAGCCTCCCGAGTAGCTGGGACTACAGGTGCCCACCACCACGCCTAGCTAATTTTTTGTATTTTTAGTGGAGACGGGGTTTCACCGTGTTAGCCAGGATGGTCTCAATCTCCTGACCTCGTGATCCGCCCACCTCGGCCTACCAAAGTGCTGGGATTACAGGCGTGAGCCACTGCGCCCGGCCCCCATTCTGTAATTTTCTACAACTCCATTTCCCTATCTGCAAAATGCAGCTAATAATCATAGTCAGTCGTAGAGTCATTGTGAAGTTTAGAGAGAAAATATATGAAGCACAAGCTGTGTCTCACACAACACTCAGGAAATGTTGGTAAGCTGTTAGTAAAGGTCACAGTAAAGACCTCCCAGATCATTCAAGATTCCTTTATGCCCTCTGAATCAACAGAGATGCATTAAATCTTGGTGGTTAAGATTTGTATAACAGTTGTAAATTACTCCATTTAGGTTTTCCAAAAATGGTAATCCATGTAAAGAAACTGTGTATGCAACCCACATTTTTGAACAAGGAGGATTCTGCTCTTTATGGGTCTTTTAGCCCTTAAATTAATATTTTCTGGCTAATTTCCTTATATTATTTCAAGCCAGAAGCTAAAATTGCATCCCTCTCTACTCCCCTTTCCCCTTTATCCTCTCCAAGAGGAGGGGGAACTCTTATCTACTTGGTTCAGAAGCTAGGAATCAGATGAGGCCAGTTTATGGGGGTTTGGACTGCTGCTACTGAAAACTTAGTGTACAAGAGAGTGTGGTCTCTGCTTCCTCTCACCCCTGCCGCAGGCCTAAGCTGAGCGGGGCCTCTGCCTCCTGGGGCAGGCCCAACTGTCTTACTATCTTTGCTCTTCTTTGGACACTTCATGGCCTTCAAGTCCTAGCTGGAGAGTGTAAGAGCTTACATTTCAGGCTTGGACTTAGCAGGTGGGAGAGGCTCCTAGAAGCTGATCCTGAGTCCCTCCTCCCAGATTTCACTTCCAGTTTGCCATTGCCCTTCATAAGCTGATCAACTCTGGAGGTGACAGAAAGGAGGGCCAACTGGCTCACTATTATGAAAACTGTAAACTCACTTCCCTAACAAAGGAGTTTATAGCTGTTATTTCTGCAGCCAGTACCAAAACGAAAGCGAGACTTTGGCCTGTACAAACCAACTCAGCTATCTGGTCATGTACATCCAGACTGGTGCTCTACTGGGAAAATGAATATTTTCCCTAAGGCGAGAAAGGCTGGGCCTGCTGTAGCCTGGCAACTCCTTCTCTGCAGACAGAGCTTGCGTTTCTCTTTATTTTTCCTTTTACTTCCCCAAGGTAAACATTCAAGTAGATGGCTTCCCTTACTTTCATCTCCCAGGTCCCTTTTCCTGTTTTCTCTGGATTTTGTATTTAAAAGCAAAGCTTAAGTCTCTGACAGATGCACCCAGCTGCAGTGTGAGAAGGCACTCAAACTGCAACAAAGAGAAGACGACTACAACTTTTAGTAGATACTTAATTTTTTGTTGTTTTGTTTTTAGAGACAAGGTGTTGCTCTGTCACCCAGGCTAGAGTGCCGTGGCAGGATCATAAGTCACTGCAGCCTCGAACTCCTGATCCTTCTGCTTCAGCCTCCTGAGTAGCTGGGACTACAGGCACATGCCACCATGCTTGGCTAATTTTTCTTTCTTTTTTTTTTTTTTTGTAGAGGTGGGCGTATTGCTGTGTTGCCCAGGCTGGTCTCAAATTCCTGGCCTCAAGCGATCCTCCCTCTTTAAAAGTCCAGCCTCTTTAAAACTGTGAATGCAATAAGATCTGGCATAAAGACTGAGAAACTTGAGAGGAACCGGTGGAAATTTCTTCTGAGTTACGCTCACTTCTCTCTGCTTCGTTTGTTCGTATCATTGTTACTTTTGCTCACCAGTCATGTTTTTGAAGTAGCCACAAAAATAAATGGTTTCCTAATATTATTTCCACCTCCCCCCTCATCCACTTTTCATCGTGGAATTCTTTTCAGAGTACACTTTGTGCTTCAAAATTCAGAGGTACTGACGTGCACATAGGTTGCAGTTGTCCTGGTCTGTGTGGGGGAATGGCTGAGGAGGGTGTTTCCTGTTGAAGACCCAATTACTTTTTTTAGAAAAAAATTTTTTATTTCCATAGACTTTTGGGGAACAGGTGGTATTTGGTTCCATGAGTAAATTCCTTAGTGGTGATTTGTGAAATTTTGGCGCACCTATCACCCGAGCAGTATACACTGCACTCAATTTGTAGTCTTCCCACCCTTTCCACCTGAGTCTCCAAAGTCCATTGTATCATTCTTATGCCTTTGCAGCTGTAGAGCTTAGCTCCCACATATGCGTGAGAACATACAATGTTTGGTTTTTCCATTCCTGAGTTACTTCACTTAGAATAATATTATAGTCTCCAATCCCTTTCAAGTTGCTGCGAATGCCATTAATTCATTCATTTTTATGACTGAGTAGTATTCCATAGTATATATATACCACAGTCTCTTTATCCATTACCCATGTGATGGGCATTTGGGCTGATTCTGTGTTTTTGCAGTTGCGAAATGTGCTGCCATAAACGTGTGTGCAAGTATCTTTTTCGTATAATGACTTCTTTTCCTCTGGGTAGATGCCCAGTAGTGGGATTGCTGGATCAAATGGCAGTTCTACTTTTAGTTCTTTAAGGAATCTCCACACCGTTTTCCATGGTGGTTGTATGATTTTACATTTTCACCAGCAGTGTAGAAGTGTTACCTTTTCACTGTAACCACGCCAGCATCTATTATTTTGTTACTTTTTTTGATTATGGCGATTCTTGCGGGAGTCAGGTGGTATCACATTGTGGTTTTGATTTGCATTTTCCTGATCATTAGTGATGCTGAGCATTTTTTCATATGTCTGTTGGCCATTTGTATATCTTCTTTTGAGAATTGCCTATTCATGTCCTTAGCCCACTTTTTGATGGGATTGTTTGCTTTTTTCTTGATAATTTGTTTGAGTTCATTGTAGATTCTGGATATTAATCCTTTGTCGGTTGTGTAGATTGTGAAGATTTTCTCCCAGTCTGAGTTGTCTGTTTACTCTGCTGACTGTTACTTTTGCTGTGCAAAAGCTCTTTAGTTTAATTAAGTCCCACCTATTTATCTTTGTTCTTATTGCATTTGCTTTTGGGTTCCCAAGTCACTTTTTGAAATATCCCCAGCACAGCTTTGGATGTGTCACTGGGCCACTGGACACAGGCATATCTCACAAAAAATAGAGTCGGGGAGAGTGAGAGAATAGGAGAGAGCTTTTCTGGAGAGGCAGCCCAGTTTAAATGTGAAATACACCTTGGTATATTGATTGCTGCTCTACAGTTCTTGAAGAAGAAAAAATGAGGTTTCAAAACAAGAAGGAGGGGAAGACTAGACAAAAGAGCTTGTTGCTTTTTATGGTTAGGCTGTGTTCCCACCCAAGTCTCATCTTGAATTGTAGCTCCCATAATTCCCATGTATTGTGGGATGGACTCAGAGATAATTGAATCATGGGGCAGTGTCCCCCATACTATCCTCGTGGTAGTGAATAAATCTCATGAGATCTGATGGTTTTATAAGGAGTTTCCTTTTTTCTTGGTTCTCATTCTTTCTTGCCTGCCGCCATGTAAGATGTGCCTTTCACCTTCTGCCATGATTGTGAAGCCTCCCCAGCCACATGGAATTGTGAGTCCATTAAACCTCTTTTTCTTTATAAATTACCCTGTCTCGGGTATGTGAAAATGGAATAATACATTGCTTCTTGGAAGACAGCTTTTCCGGGGGTCCTTCAGTCAGAACTTGTTCTGCCAACAGAGGTGGTGGGGGTGGCATGTTTGATGTGTAGGCGTCAGAGGGATTGATAAGACCTGGTGACTAGCTGGTGTGCAGGTCTCAGTCTCTGGAGAGAAGGGGCAGTTGGAGGGAGGAAGGCAGGAATGATCTTGGCTGGGAGGATGTGTTGCAGTGGTTGGTGCAGGGAACAATCAAGGCTTTGTGATCATGGATGCTGTGGGTGTGGTTGGAGGAGGTCCTTTAAGGGCTGTCTTCGGTGGAGGTTTGGGAGAAGAGTTGGCCTGGCTACAACTCTGCTTCAACCAAAGCATCTTTAGTTTGAGCTTTTAATATCTTGGGCCTGTCCTGCAGGCTTGTTTGAACAAAGACTATACATAAAATAAGCAAGAACCATTTCTTTTTTTTTTTTTTTTGAGACAGAGTTTCATTCTTGTTGCCCAGGCTGGAGTGCAATGGCGTGATCTCAGCTCACTGCAACCTCTGCCTCCCGGGTTCAATTGATTATCCTGCATCAGCCTCCCGAGTAGCTGGGACTACAGGTGCCTGCCACCACGCCTGGCTAATTTTTTTGTACTTTTAGTAGAAGCAGGGTTTCACTGTGTTAGCCAGGATGGTCTCGATCACCTGACCTTGTGATCTGCCCACCTTGGCCTCCCAAAGTGCTGGGATTACAGGCATGAGCCATAGCACCTGGCTGCAAGAACCATTTCTTCTGAGGAATCCCTAGAGACCCGGGGCTTGGTCTTTAGGAACAGCTGATCTTTAAGAAAAAAGTTGCACAAGATGGGCTTTGATATAGTTTGAATATCTATTCTTGCCAAAGTCTGATTTTGAAATGTAATACCAATGCTGGAGTTGGGGCCTGGAGGGAGCTGTTTGGATCATGGTAGCGGATCCCTCATGGCTTGGTGCTGTCTTCCTGATAGCAAGTGAGTTCTTGCAAGATCTGGTCATTTAAAAGTATATGGCACCTCCCCCACTGTCTCTCTTGCTCTTGCTTTTGCCATGTGAAGTGCCTGCTCCTGCTTCACCTTCATCCATGATTGAAAGCTTCCTGAGGCTTTACCAGAAGTCAGGCAGATGACAGCACTGTGCTTCCTGTATGGCCTCCAGAAATGTGAGCCAATTCAATCTCTTTTCTTCATAAATTACCCAGTCTCGGGTATTTGTTTATAGCAGTGCAAGAATGGTCTAATACAGATTTGAACTTGAATTTTAAAATTAAAAAATTTTTTGAGACGGGGTCTTGCTTTGTCACCCAGGCTGGAGTGCAGTGGTGTGATCATGGTTCTCTGCAGCCTTAAACTCCTGGGCTCAAGTGATCCTCCCACCTCAGCCTACCGAGTATCAGGGACTACAGGTGTGCACCACCATGCCCACCTGTATTTTGTATTTTTTGTAGAGACAGGGTTCACCGTGTTGCCCAGGCTGGTCTCAAACTCCTGGGCTCAAATGATCTGCCTGCCCCAGCCTCCCAAAGTGCTGGGATTTTACAGGCATGAGCCACTGTGCCTGGCTTGAACCTGAATTTTAAATGCTAAGAATGCACAGATTCCAAAGACACAAGATAGGGGGCCCGGTTCAGAGGTAAGATCCTGCCCTTGTGTTTCTTGGAATTTTTTTCATTTTTTGGGGGTTTTAAAATTGAGATGTAATTTACATACAGAGTGAAATCCACAGACCTTAAGTGTAGTTTGATTCGTTTTGAGAAACACATACATTTATGTAACCCACAGTCTACCAATACATAATACAATTTCATCATCTCAGAAATTCTCTTGTATCGCTTCCTAGTCAGTCTTCCACATTCACCAGAAACAAGCACTATTTTGATATTTTTAGCCCTAGATTAGTTTTGCCTGCTCTAGAACTTTATGGAAATGAAATCATGCATATATATTCTTTTGTCTCTGTGTTTTGTTTTGTTTTTCACTCAGCATTTTTTTTTTTTGCATTTTTCTCAAGAGGTCTGCAGTCTTTTAAAAAAAGAAGCGGAAAATAAATATGGTAGACTTGCCAGGCACCAGATCTCTGTAGCAACTACTCAACTCTGCTGTTGCAGCAGGAAAGCAGTGTAGACAATATGTAAATAACTGCATGTGGCTATGTTTCAATAAAACTTTATTTACAGAAAACAGATGGCTGGTTTGCAGGGATAATTAGCTGACCCCAATACATGTTGTTTATCAGGAGTTTCGTTGCTTTTTATTGCTGCGTCGTCTTCTATGTGTGGATCTGTCACAGTTTATTTATCTGTTTTCCTGTTGATGGACACCCAGACCATTTCAGTTTTTGGCTATTATGAAAAGAGCAACTGTGTCTGCTTTTATATAGGACTTTTGTGTGCCTGCATTTTCATTTCTTTTATATAAGTACCTACGAGTGGAATTACTATGTCATAGGATATGTATTACTCAGGGTTCTCTAGAGGGACAGAACTAATAGGATAGATGTATATATGAAAGGGGGCTTATAAGGAGAATTGACTCACAGGATCGCAAGGTGAAGTCCCATGATAGGCCATCTGCTAGTTGAGGAGCAAGGAAGCCAGTATTGGCTCATTCCCAAAAACCTCAAAAGTAGAGAAGCAGCTGACAGTGTATCCTTCAGTCTGTGGCCAAAGGCCCAAGAGCCCCTGGCAAATCACTGGGGTAAGTCCAAGAGTCCAAAAGCCGAAGAACTTGGAATCTGATGTTCGAGGTCAGGAAGCATCCAGCACGAGAGAAAGATGAAGGCCGGAAGACTCAGCAAGTCAGCCTCTCCCACCTTCTTCTGCCTGTTTCATTCTAGCCACACTGGCAGCTGATTTGTTGGTGCCCACCCCCATTGAGGGTGGGTCTGTCTCTCCCAGTCCACTGACTCAAATGTTAATCTCCTTTGGCAACACCCTCACAGACACACCCAGGGACAATACTTTGCATCCTTCAATCCAATTAAGTTGACACTCAATACTAACCATCACAGGGCAAGTGTATATTTAATTCTTTTTTTTTTTTTTGGAGGTGGAGTCTTACTCTGTAACCCAGGCTAGAATGCAGTGATGCAATCTCAGCTCACTGCAGCCTCTGCCTCCCAGGTTCAAGTGATCCTCCCGCCTCAGCCTCCCAAGTAGCCGGGATTACAAGTATGTGCCACTATGCCTGGCTAATTTTTGTATTTTTAATAGAGTTGGGGTTTTGCCATGTTGGCCAGGCTGGTCTTGAACTCCTGACCTCATGTGAGCCACCCACCTTGGCCTCCCAAAGTGCTGGTATTACAGGCATGAACCACTGCACCCAGCCCTATATTTAACTCTTAACTGCCAAATAAATTTAGAAAATCATTGTAACATTTTTCACTTTTGCCTGCAACATATGAGAGTTCCGGTGGTGCCTCATCCTTGCCAACATTTGGTGTTGTCAGTCTTTTTCCTGTTAGCCATGGTAGTGGCTGTGGAGTGGTAGCCCACATGCTTCCTTGAATACTTCTTGACTGATGTGGTTCCGTCACATGTGTTGCCTTTATTTCTGCGGTACCTGGAGAGGTGATCCTCTGCGATCAACCTCTCAGGCACTTAATAGCCTCTCTTTACACAGGCTCTGCATGAGTAAGTGGCATGTGTGCACCCAGAGTCTTTGAGAGAATGCATCTTGGTCTTTAACCATCATCTACCATTTATTTATTTATTTATTTATTTATTTATTTATTTATTTATTTATTTTTGAGACAGGGTCTTGCTCTGTTGCCCAGGCTGGAGTGCAGTGGTGCCATCATTGCTCACTGCAGCCTTGACCTCCCGGGCTCAAGCTATCCTCCTACCTGAGCCTCCTGAGCATCTGGGACTACAGGTGCACACCACTATGCCCAGCTAATTTTTAAATTGTTTTGTAGAGGTGGGGTCTTGCTGTATTGCCCTGTCTGATCTCAGGCTCCTGGCCTCAAGCCATCTTCCTGCCTTGGCCTCCCAAAGTGCTGGGATTACAGGTGTAAGCCACCACACTTGCCCCTCATCTATTGCAATTGTCCACATGCATCAGATTTTACACTGATACGCTTTTGTCTTTTTTTTTTTTTTTTTTTTGGTGTAAACATCTCCTTTCCCGGCTTTGACTCGGTGGAGGAGAGCTGGGAGAAGGTGTCAGCAGTGACATCATTTCTGGTTTTACAAATGCCAGGGTCCTTCCTCCTTCAGAGCCTGGAGACAAAGCTGGGCCCCATTTATCACAACACCCGGCCAACTCCTTCCTGCCATATGGCTGATTCTCTCCTGGGGGGAAGATTGAGAAAATAGACCCATATGCTACTGTGATTCTGTTTGTGTTTGGATGTGGAGTTTAATTTGTGTCAGAAAATAGCAGTATTCTTATTTCATTGATTTCCTTTTTGCTTCTTTTATAAAAGGAAAGAATGAAAGCTGGGGAATTAGCTACAGAAATAGCAAGTGAATAATAAAATAATGTGTTGTGGTCCACGTGCAGTTAAAAACGGGAATGATGTTTTACTCTCTTTCGGGGCGTATTGACAAAGAGCTATACTGGTTTCTTGTATCGATGTGATATTTTAGAGGTATCAAGCATTCTTGTATTCACTGTCTTATCCAGTTATAAAAGTAACCTTGTGAAGTAGGTGGTCTCTAACCAATCATCTGCTTTATTTATTTATTTATTTTTGAGACAGGGTCTTGTTCTGTCACCCAGGCTGGAGTGCAATGATGCAATCAGAGGTCACTGCAGCCTTGACCTCCTGGGCTCAAACGATCCTCCCACCTCAGCCTCCTGAGTAGCTGGGACTACAGGTACACACCATCATGCACCACCATATCAAGCAGATATGATGTCCATGTCATAAATGAGGAATTTGACACTCACAGAGGTTTAGGAACTTGCCCCAGGCCACTGAGCTTAGACTGTGGTCCTCATCGAATAGTTATTTGAAATTCTTAATGTCTTGGTTTGTCACCAGGCATTTCACTGCACACATTTTTTTCCCTACCTGGGAAAAGGGTATATGGGATCTTAAGAAAAGGGTAGGGGAGTTAGAGCATCATGGTCAAATAATGCTGTTCCCTGGCAGATACAGTATTGGAACTGGAGGAGGGAGAAGGAATAGGTAGGTTTTTGGGAAGATAACTTTATATAGAGATTCACCCATGCAACGAGACAGAGCCTGACACTTGTGTTGGTGCTGATGAGTGAGGACATGGGGTCAGCAGGGTGACAGCCTGGGCCCTGAGCACCTGTGTGTCCCTGGCTAAGCCACTCAATCCCTCTGTACCTCAGTTTCTCATCTGCAAAATTGGGTTCTTGGATATGATCTTCTTTCTCCCTTCCAGCTCCAAACTTTATTTATTACCAAAAGCAACTTCAGTTTTTCCCCTTTGGTTACTCCCTTTAATTAAAGCATGCTACCTTGGTGGAGTTACATCAGAGCCCTTCAGCATCACGGTGCTGTCTCAGATTTGTACAGCCCTGTTGGAGCAAAGTCTTTAAGGAAATGGGGGGACTGCCCCGGTGTCTGGAGGCACCATCTGACCACAGCTTCTCATCATTGCACTCATCTTTAGGTTCTTGGATGTAAGTTGATGTAGAAATACGTCTGCCTAGCACCTAGCTTTGGCCAGGGGTTGATGGCATAAATGGGGAGGCAATAGTAGCTAATATGTATATGCATGTATATTCTGTGTCTGCCACCTGCTGATAACTTTACAGACATTACCTTCTTATATCCTCAAAACAACTCTAAAGAGTGAGTAGAATGATTAACCCCATTTTATGGATGAAGCTTCCTACTGAAGCTGTTGTCTAATTCTGGAGACTGTGATTTTATTTATTTATTTTTTTCAGATGAAGCCTCTCTCTGTTGCCCACGCTGGAGTGCATTGGCATGATCATAACTTAGTGCCACCTCGACCTCCTGGCCTCAGGAGATCTTTCCGCCTCAGTCTCCTATAGCTGGGACCACAGGCACGTGCCACCATGCTTGGCTAATATTTTCAATTTTTTTGTAGAGATGGGGTCTCACTTGTTCACCTAGGTTGGAGTGCAGTGGCATGATCATAACTTACTGCTGCCTCAGCCTCCTGGGCTCAGGAGATCCTCCTACCTGAGTCTCCTATAGCTGGGACCACAGGCATCTGCCACCATGCTTGGCTAATATTTTAATTTTTTTTGTAGAGTTGGGATCTCACTCTGTCACCCAGACTGGAGTTCAGTGTTGCAATCATGGCTTACTGCACCCTCGGACTCCTGGGCTCCAGTGACCCTCTCTCCTCAGCCTCCTAAGTAGCTGGGACTACAGGCACATGCCACCATGCTTGGCTAATTTTTAAATTTTTTTGTAGAGATAGAGTCTTGCTGTGTTGCCCAGGCTCATCTGGAACTCCTAAGCTCAAGCAATCCTCCCACCTCATCCTCTCAAAGCGCTGGGGTTACAGGCACCCAGCCGAGCCTATCATCTTAACCATTATTTCATGAGTAGCCATAGATTAATACAAATCTATAAGCCAATGTTTCTTGACACTTATGACCAGCCCCCAATAAAAATCTTGCATACTAACTCCCTAATGAGCTTCTCTAATGGGAAACTCTTCTCATGTGTTGTCAGAACTCCTTACTGGAGGGATTAGCAGCATCCCCTGTGACTTCACTGGGGTAGAACTCTTGGAAGCTTGCACGCAGTCTCCTCCAGACCTCCTCCCATGTGCCTGTTCCCTCTCTTGCTGCTTTTTATTTTTATTTATTTTATTATTTATTTATTTATTTTTGAGACAGGGTCTTGCTCTGTCGCCTAGGCTGGAGTGCAGTGGCAGGATCTTGGCTCCCTGCAAACTCCGCCTCCAGGTTCAAGCAATTCCCCTGCCTCAGCCTCTCAAGTAGCTGGGGTTACAGGCACCTGCCACCATGCCTGGGTAATTTTTTTGTATTTTTAGTAGAGATGGGACTTCATCATGTTGACCATGGTGGTCTTGAACTCCTGACCTCAGGTGATCCACCCGCCTCAGCCTCCCAAAGTGTTGGGATTATAAGCGTGAGCCACCGCGCCTGGCCCCTTCTTCTGCTTCTGTTTTGAATCCTCCACTGTAATAAATCAGAGCCACGAGTACAATGTGCTGAGTCCTATGTCTCCTCCTACTGAATTATTGACCTGGGGGTGGTCTTGGGGACTCCCAGAATACCTGAGTTGAAAGCTTGGTTATGCTACTTGATAGTGTGTGGCTTTGAGACTGTTGCTTAATTAAAAAAAAAATTATTATTATTTATTTTTGAGACGGAGTCTTGCTCTGTCGCCCAGGTTGGAGTGCAGTGGCGTGATCTTGGTTCAAGTGATCTTGGTTCACTGCAACCTCTGCTTCCCAGGCTCAAGCGATTCTCCTGCCTCAGCCTCCTGAGTAGCTGGGACTACAGGTGCGCGCAATGATGCCTGGCTAATTTTTATATTTTTAGTAGAGACGGGGTTTCACCATGTTGGCCAGGCTGGTCTCAAACTCCTGACCTCAAGTGATCTGCCTTCCTTGGCCTCCCAAAGTGCTGGGATTACAGGTGTGAGCCACTATGCCCCGCCAATTTTTTTTTAAAAAATTTATTTTTAATTTTTGTGGATACGTAGTAGGTGTATATGTTTATAGAGTACATGAGATACTTTGATTCAGACATGCAGTGTGTAACAATCACATCATGGAAAATGGGGTATCCATCCTCTCGAGCATTTATCCTTTGTGCTACAAATAATCCAGTCATACTCTTTTAGTTATTTTAAAATGTGCAACAATTACATTATTGATTATAGTCACCCTGTTGTGCTTTTTTTTTTTTTTTTTTTTTTTTTGAGACAGAGTGTCGCTCTTTCGCCCAAGCTGGAGTGCAGTGGCGCGATCTCCGCTCACTGCAAACTCCGCCTCCTGGTTTCACGCCATTCGCCTGCCACAGCCTCCTGAGTAGCTGGGACTACAGGCACCTGCCACCACGGCCGGCTAATTTTTTTTTTTTTTTGCATTTTTAGTGGAGACGGGGTTTCACCGTGTTAGCCAGGGAGGTCTCGATCTCCTGACCTTGTGATCCGCCCATCTCGGCCTCCCAAAGTGCTGGGATTACAGGCATGAGACACCGCGCCTGGCCCTGTTGTACATTTAAGTAGTAGGTCTTATTCATTTTATCTAATTATATTTTTGTACCCATTAACAGTCCCCACTTTCCTCCACTCCCCCACTCCCCTTCCCAGCCTCTGGTAACCATCCTTTTGCTCTCTATCTCCATGAGTTCAACTGTTTCAATTTTTAGCCTCCACAAATAAGGGAGAGTCAGCAATGATTATCTTTCTGTGCCTGGCTTATTTCACTTAACATAATATCCTCCAGTTTTATCCATGTTGTTGCAAATGACAGGGTCTTATTTCTTTTTAGGGCTGAATAGTACTCTACTGTGTATATGTATCAAGATTTTCTTTATTCATTCATCTGTTGATGGATGATTATGTTGCTTTCAAATTTCTTTATTTATTGTAATCTTCTGTAAAAAGGGGATGCAGGCCAGGCACGGTGACTCATGCCTGTAATCCCAGCACTTTGGGAGGCCGAGGTGGGCGGATCACCAGAGGTTGGGAGTTCGAGACCAGCCTGGCCAACATGGTGAAACTGTCTCTACTCAAATTACAAAAAAATTAGCTGGATGTGGTGGCGGGCTCCTGTAATCCCAGCTACTCGGGAGGCTGAGGCAGGAGAATCGCTTGAACCCAGGAGGCGGAGGTTGCAGTGAGTTGAGATTGTGACATTGCACTCCAGCCTGGGTGACCGAGCGAGACTCTGTCTCAAAAAAAAAAAAAAAAAAAGGATGCAAATACCAACTTCAAGTGGGTATGGTGTGGGTTAAATTAGAAATATGCACATAGTGGCCCCCAACAAATGTTGGTTCTTTTCTGCTCTCCCATCCAAAAGCAATAACTAACCGAAATGGGTGTAGTGAGTATTTGGGCATTGCTGCAGTAACAGAAAGACCTTCAGTTTCTTGGCATCATTTCCTTCATTTATTGAGTTATGTTCCATGCTCTTTGCTGACCTGGACTCTACTTACTAAACATGGTCCTTCGCTAGAGAGATCGAGAAGAAGCCAAAAAGTCTTTGAGCTTCCAGGATTTTCTCTGGAGACAGCTAACCTGGACTACCAGTAAGTGGCCAACACCAGCTGACACTAGCTGACGCTAGTTGGACTGACACCAACACAGACCTGTAAGAATGAAGAACCTCCTAATTAACGACGCTATAGCTTGGGAAGATAGGTACTTAAGATTGACAAGCCATTTTAGTCTTGGTTTCTGCAGGTGGTGTGGCCGAACATTCAGAATCAAAGCAATTTTCACTTCATTTCATCCAGAAGGTCTCTATGTTTTCTTATAAAGAGACTGTATTTTGCTCCTCTCTCTCCCCACAAAAAGAAATCTGGTCAAAACTAAGCACATTCCCTTCGTTTATGTGTTGGCTGCCGTGGTTCATAAACTTTAGTAGGTTTCAGAATCACATGGAGAGCTTGTTGAAACATGAAATGCTGGCACGATCCTCAGAATTTCTGATTCCTTAGGTCTTGGCGGGGCTTGAGATTTTGCCTTTCTAAACTGTTCCCAGTTCATGTTGATACTGTTAGTCCTGGATAATACTTTGAGAACCTCTATGTGGCCGCGGCCTCTATCAGAGCATAACCGGGCCGTGGCTGAGATACATCTGTCTTATCTGTCAAGAATGACTCATTTAAGCACTTCACTGCGCTGCATGTCCTTTGATTAGGTGGCCAAGGGGGTGGCTAAAGCTGAATTTACAAGGCAAGGAGCCCTGAAATTCTTCTTTGAAAGATCTCGCAAATGATCTATTTATTTTTCATGGGATGATTTTCCAGATCTTTGGTTTGCTTTCCTGTTTGGCTTGTGTTAGAACACTACTGTTCCTAAAGTTGTAATTTTTGTAACCCATTGGCATATGTAAGTGGTTTACACAGGTTCTTGTGGATTAGGATTTCTAACCGTCCATCATCTGTCTGTCCACTGGCCCACTCACCTACTCATCCATTCATCCATCTGTTTACCCTTACCCTCTCTGTCCCACTCATCCATCCACACACACATCCATCCACTAACCCCATCCATTCATCCATCCATCCATCCATCCATCCATCCATCCATCCATCCATCCTGCCTACCCTTCTGCTCATTAATCCATTCATCTGCTCACCTGATCCACCCGCCCACCCACTCACCCCATCCACCGACCCACCCATCCATCTGTCCATCCTTCCACCCATCCATCCATCCATCCATCCATCCATCCATCCATCCATGTATGTGTCCACCCACCCACCCATGCACTTATCCATTAGCTCACTCCATCCATCCATCCACCCACTCATCTATCCATATGTATATTCATCCATCATCCATCCATCCATCCAACATAACACACTTGTAGACTATAGAGATATAAAGAAAAATAAGACCATGTCGCCATCCTCAAGGGGTTTATGGTACTGTAATAGAACCTCCTCTTTTTTGTCTTCCTTACAGAAAAGTGTGCATTTCTTGCTTTCTAGTGAGTTGAGATAATAGTTAAATCCATTAGATTAATATTGACCTTTCTTGTAAACACACATCTCCTCAGAAAATGTTTTGAGAAATCTGCTGACTTCTTGAAGTAAAGGCACAAATGTCTTTAACCCAGTAAGTACCTTTTGTTGAAAATCAATTCCTTCCAAGGAAGCTTTTCATAGCCTCTTGGTGGTGATGACAAGAAGGTTTCCTCTGAATAAGTATGGTATGTTTTAGAAAGTTCTGCCACGTTATCATGTTGGCTTGAAAGCCCCATGTCTTTATCAGTAAGTCTGGCCCGTGGCTTCGTGCAAGATGTTTGTAGATGGTGTGTTTGTATTGATGGAGCATCTGCTCTGGGTCAGCCTGCACTGCATGCTCAACCATTAGAGAGCACCCATGTAAATAATTCTAGACCACCTTCCTTGGGATCCTTTGACCAGACACATTTTGGCATTTACTACTAGGTGCAGTAATAATCCAGGTGACTGCATGTCCACTGGTGTAAATGGTTTTAATGGTTCCTAGAGGCTGGATTTTAAGTGTTAAAATCACTCTCTGTGTCCCTTCATCCTGCAAAAGTGTTCAAAAACTTGAGTTATAAACTTTTCTTAAAATACCTGAATTATTTTCATCTCTCCTTATCCTAGTTCCATCTTTATTTAAACACATGGAGCTTTTTGCGTGGTTATAGTCATTATGGATATTCAGTTTTTTTCTGCTTTTCTCACATTACATTATTTAGTAAATATTCTTTCCTGCTCCTACATAGCTATGATAACTCTATAATAGTGCACAGTTTAATGTACCTTTATTGCTTTTCCATTTTCTATCACTTAGTTATTAGGTCGTTTCTATTTTTTTAAAAATAATGAATGTTTCTATACCTAGCATCTAGACTCAGAAAACAAAACAAAACTCAACTCTTTTTTCCTTCTTTAAAATAATTACTTACGTACATTTATATGATGTTATTTATATGTATTATTATTCTGATTATATTTTTAAACACTCTTGATATAGTTAGTCAGACTTTCTTCCCAAAGAATTCAGGCAATTCAGTTATCTCTCTGCCAAAATTGGGCTTAATGGTTTTTCTTTGTTTTTCTAATTTTAATTTTAAAGAGTGTGCCCACTGTTTTGATTTGCATTTCTTTAATTACTGACATCATTAAATCCATTTTCAGTAATTGGCTTATTAAAGGAGTTCTGTTTATGTGTTCGTGTATGTGCAGGAAACTGGTACCATATTTTTTCTTTGTATGGGGGTGTGTGTGTTTATTTTTATATATATATATATAATTTGTGTGTGCATGCGTGTATGGCTTAATACTATACATGTGTGGATTTTCCAGTCATATTGGCTTTCTTTTCATGTGTTTTTTTCTGGCCTCATAATACTGATGCCTGCTGAGAACTCAGATATTTATTGAGTGAATGAATGTTTATCTTTGCTCTGATTCTCTTCTGTTATACACATTCAAAACTCTTACACGGGAGGACAATGTTGTTTGTTTTATTCCAGGTTTTCTTATTTGATTTGTGATATTTAGCTTATTTTTTGGCCACAAAATTTAGATTGGATACGGATCTAAGTTTGTTTTTCTCCATTTTTTTTGGTTTGATTTCTGTCCTAATGCATGAAATTATACTTTATTTTACTTTGCCAGTTTTTTTTTTTTTTTAGTTTTTTGAGATGGAGTCTCGCTCTGTCACCAGGCTGGAGTGCAAATGGCATGCTTTCGGCTCACTGCAACCTCCGCCTCCCGGGTTCAAGCAATTCGCCTCCCTCACCCTTCCGAGTCGCTGGGATTACAGGCACACGCCACCACACCCAGCTAATTTTTGTTATTTTTAGTAGAGACGGGGTTTCACCATGTTGGCCAGGCTGGTCTCAATTTCTTGACCTCAGGTGATCCACCCGCCTCTGCCTCCCAGAGTGCTGGGATTACAGGCGTGAGCCACTGCGCCTGGCCTACTTTGGCAGTTAAATTCTTTAAACATTTGGGATCTATGTCTGGGATGCCTCTTCTTTCTCAGTGATCTGTGACTTGGTTTTAAGGTATTTTTTACTCCTTATGACATGTTTGTTTCAAACATATTATAATGTTCAATGAAGAAAATCCTCTTTTATTCATTCCTTTCCCCCAAATAGTATTTTTTTCTCTCGTTTTTTTCTGTTTTAAATTGCATTTTACATAAAACAATATAAATAAGCAATGAAAAGTTTTCCAGGGCAAAAGGAGCATAAAGTGCAGACCTTTATTCTGTAGCTTCAGTGAAGTATAATTAGATAAATTTTAATTAAATTAAAATAATTCATCACACAGACAATATTATAACAGGAGTAGAGAAAAGAAAGTGAAACTTTCACCCACAGTCATCCATAACAGTTTTTTCAAGTGTACACATTTCTGTTTAAAGGTATGTGAAGTCTGCATTGTTTTAATTCTAGCTTAGCTTTAGTTGCATATTTGCAATTTTTCATTTAACTTTATGTCACAAAGATTTTTTCCATATTAGTATTTTTCTTTTTTAAAATGTAGTTGAATCAAACATTTAATTAAGTAATGATTGTATATCTTTATTAGGTACACTGTAATGTTTTAATATCTATATACATGATGGAACAATTAAATCCATCTAATTAACATGTCCATCATTGCACATACTTATCTATGGTGAGAACATTTAAAACCTACTCTCTTAGCAATTTTCAAATATGTGATACTTTATTAATAACTGTAGTCACCGTGCTGTGATATTTCCAAAACTTATCCCTCCCGTCAAACCGAACCTTTGTAACAAAACCCCACGGCCACTGCCACCAGCCTTTGGTAAACACCATTCTATTCTCTGCTTCTATAAGTTTGACTTTTTTAGATTCCACATATAAGTGAGATTACGCAGTATTTGACTTTCTGTACCTACTGTTTTCACTTAGATTAATGTCCTCCAGGTTCATTCACGTTGTTGCAAATGACAGGATTTCCTTCTTTATAAAGGCTGAATAGTGGGTATATGTATACACACGTGCACACACACACACACATACATACACACACACACCATTTTCTTTATCCATCATCCATTGATGGACACTTAGGTTGATTCTGTGTCTTGGCTATTGTGAGTAGGGCTGCAATGAACATGAGAGTGCTGATATCTTTTCAACATACTAAGTTCAGTTCCAATGGATATGTACCCAGACGTGGGATTGCTGGATCATATGGTGGTTCCATTTTTAATTTTTTGAGGAGCCTCCATACTGTTTTCCATAGTGGCTGTATTAATTTTCCATTTCCACCAACAGCATACCAGGGTTCCTTTTTCTCCACATCCAACACTTATCTTTCGTCTTTTTGAAAACAGCCATTCTAATGGATGTGAGGTAAAATCTCATTGTGTTTTCAATTTGCATTTCCCTGATGATTAATGTTATTGGACATTTTTTAATATACTTGTTGGCCATTTGTATCTCTTCTTTTGAGAAATATCTATTCAGATTCTTTGTCCATTTTTAAAATTAGGTCATTTATTTCTTTGCTCTTGAGCTGTTCAAGTTCCTTATAAATTTTGGATATTAACCCCTTGTCAGGGGCATGGTGTATTAGGCTGTTCACACATGGCTATAAAGAAATACCTGAGACTGGGTAATTTTTAATAAAAGAGATTTAATTGGCTCATGGTTCTGCAGGCTTTGCAGGAAGTATAGTGCTGGCATCTGCTCAGATTCGAGGGAGGCCTCAGGAAGCTTTATAATCATGGCAGAAGGCGAAGGGGGAGCTGGCACGTCACATGGCAGAAGGAGGAGCAAATGAGAGAGTGGGTCAGGAGGTACCACACACTTTTAAGTGACAAATATCCAGACTGTGTCATATTTTTCAAATTATTTTCTCCCCGTCCATGGGTTGTCTCTTCACTCTGTTGATTGTTTACTTTGCTGTACAGAAGCCTTTTAGTTTGATGCAGTCTCATTTGTTGATTTTTGCTTTTGTTGTCTGTGCTTTTGGATTCATATTCAAAAAAGTCATTGTCCAGACCAATGTCATGTTTTGTTCTAGTAGTTTAAAAGTTCCAGGTATTCTGTTCAAGTGTTTAATCCATTTTGAGTTGATTTTAGTATATGATGTGAGAAAAGGATCCGACTTCATTCTGCTTGTGGATATCCAGTTTTCTCAACACCATTTATTAGAGACTGTCCCTTATTCATTGTGTGTTCTTGGCACCTCTGTTGTAAATGCATTGACTGTTAATGTGTGTGTTTATTACTGAGCTCTCTGTTCTGTTCCACTGGTTGATGTCTGTTTTTATGCCAGTACCATGCTGTTTTGATTACTATATCTTTGTACTATATTTTGAAATCAGGTAGTGTGATGCCTCCAGCTTTGTTTTGTTTGCACGAGATTGTTTGGATATTTGAGTCTTTAGTGCTTCTATGCAAGTTTTAGGATCAATTTTTCTTTTATTTTTGTAAAAATGTCATTGGAATTTGATAGGGATTGCATTGAATCTGTAGATTGCTTTGGGTGGTATGGACACTTTAACAATATTAATTCTTTCAATTTTTGAACATGGAGTATCTTTTCTCTTCTCTTCTCTTTTTTCTTTTTCTTTTTTTTTTTTTGAGACAGAGTCTCACCCTGTTGCCCAGACTGGAGTGCAGTGGCACAATATCAGCTCACTGCAACCTCCGCCTCCTGGGTTCAAGTGATTCTCCTGCCTCAGCCACCTGAGTACCTGAAACTACCGGCATGCACCACCATACCTGCCTACTTTGTTTTTTTTGTTTTTGTTTTTGTTTTTTGAAACAGAGTCTCACCCTGTCACCCAGGCTGGAGTACAGTGGCACGATCTTGGCTCACTGTAACCTCTGCCTCCTGGGTTCAAGCAATTCTCGTGCCTCAGCCTCTCAAGTAGCTGGGATTATAGGTGCCTGCCACCATGCCTGGTAAATTTTTGTATTTTTAGTAGAGACGGGGTTTCACCATGTTGGCCAGCCTGGTCTCGAACTCCTGACCTCAAGTAATCCACCTGTCTTGGCCACCCAAAATGCTGGGATTACATCTTTTCATTTACTTGTGTCTTCTTTAATTTATCTTGTCAATGTTTTATTATCAGTGTACAGATCTTTTGTTTTCTTGGTTAAATTTATTCCTAAGAATTTTATTTTATTTTTTATTTTTTACTTTTTACTTTTTTTTTTTTTTTTTTTTGAGACAGAGTCTCGCTCTGTTGCCAGGCTGGAGTGCAGTGGCGTGATCTTTGCTCATTGCAACCCCCACCTCCCAGGTTCAAGCGATTCTCCTGCCTCAGCCTCCTGAGTAGCTGAGACTACAGGTGGGCACCACCATACCCAGCTAATTTTTGTATTTTTGGTAGAGACAGCATTCCACCATGTTGGCCAGGATGATCTCAATCTCTTGACCTCGTGATCCGCCTGCCTCGGCCTCCCAAAGTGCTGGGATTACAGACATGAGCCACCGTGCCCGGCCACTTTTTACTTTTTTCAAGAGACAGGTCTCAGTGCAGTAATGCTCATTGCAGCCTCGAACTCCTGGGCTCAAGCCATCCTTCCATCACAGCCACTCTAGTAGCTGGGAGTACAGGCACGCTCCACCACACGCTTGACTAATTTTTAAATTTTGTGTAGAGATGGGGTCTTGTTATGTTGCCTAGGCTGGTTTTGAATTTTTTTGATGCTACTGTAAATGAGATTGTTTTCTTGATTACTTTTTCAGAGAATTCATTGTTAGTGTATAGAAATGCTGAATTCAGTAGAGTTTCAGGATATTATTGCATCAAAACACAGGATTTCTGCATATTATTATGATTTAAGTGATTATTGTTTTACATGACTCTTTCATTGAGTTAGGATTTAATAATTCTCCTAAGCAGTTCCTTTGATTAAATAAGTAGGTTATTTCTAACAATTTGCTATGATAGATTATACAGTAACAAACTTTGCAGTGCAGATGGCTGCTTTTTGTTGAGAATGATTTCTTTTTGATATGACACTGAGCCACTGCATGTAGTCATATGGGTATTTATACAAATTACCAAATTGCTTTGCCAGCTAGAGAATATATATATATATATATTTGACATGTCTCTTTGTCAAATATATGAGGTGTGTGTGTTCATGTGTGTGTATACATATGAGGTGTGTGTTTGTGTGTGTATATATATATGAATATATATATAAAATATATATATTTATATATAAACACACACACCAAGTGGTTATCTTGTGCTCATGAATTTGTACTCATAAATTCAGCTCTGTGTGTGCAGTCTGCTCAGCAGCACCTGGGCAGGGCACTTAACCCGGTCTAGATCTCCCACCTTCCCCAGTCCATGGACCCTTTCTGACAGCAGTGGTGATGAATTGACCATGTGAGCCACGAGAACAGAATAGTGTCATGATTCATGATCTCCCCTGACTTGGCCAGAGGCAGCGGGAGAAGCAGCAGTGCTCAGAGCTCTCTTGAGAGTGGAGGCCTGTGTTCATCATTTTGTAAATAAGTCACATGCTACCCCGTTGTAATACTACTTTTTAAGATAAAAACCCACTTCCCAAATTGCTTTCCAGAGATTTCCTCAAGGTAGTGATGATCCTAATTATTAATTACTTGATTTGCAGGCTTTTCCCAATATGATTATATTTCTGTAAGGTGTAGGGGAAGTTTTATTGTCAGGGCGACCAAGACGGTGGGTTTCTAGTGCAGTTTTGATGAAGACCTCTACTTGATCAGGGTCTCATATTTCTGCGGCTAAAGGAATGCAGACCATATCTGGATTCTCCTGTTTTCTCTGTCTTGCACTGTCTGCACGAGGTACCCCTTTTCTAGTCAAGACTGATCAGTAGGCCGGGCGTGGTGGCTCAAGCCTGTAATCCCAGCACTTTGGGAGGCCAAGACGGGCGGATCACGAGGTCAGGAGATCGAGACCATCCTGGCTAATGCAGTGAAACCCCGTCTTTACTAAAAATACAAAAAAAATAGCTGGGCGTGGTGGTAAGTGCCTGTAGTCCCAGCTACTTGACAGGCTGAGGCAGGAGAATGGTGTGAACCCGGGAGGTGGAGCTTGCAGTGAGCCAAGATCGTGCCACTGCACTCCAGCCTGGGCGACAGAGCGAGACTCTGTCTCAAAGAAAAAAAAAAAAGACCGATCAGTAGCAGAATCAACCAGCCTCACTTTTTGCTTTTTCTTCTCATCAGAGAGAGAGCCCTTTCCTGAATTTTGCCATTGATCAATTGTGTTGTGTTGTTAAGTAAGCCACGTATGTTTATATTTTAATGTGCTCTCAATGGCCTTCTCATCTTTGACTTGTAAGTTTAAACCATGTCCCTTCGTTGTCCTACCTTATCTTTGGTTTTATTTTATTTTGGATGTTATTTATTATTATTGCATTACCACCCACTTCTCTCCTTTCTGCCCCCATGTCCTTATCTTCTGTTATGTGGAGCTGGATAATTTAGTTTAGCTTTGTCTTTTATAGTGATGTGGGAGGAAGATACCGTATTTCATTCTTCTTCTGCTATGCAGTACCAGCTAAAATGACTTAATCAGCAAAGTGGAGGGTAAGGATGATAGATGCTGGCTCGGGTGGGTTGGGGTAGGGAGGTAGGGTACACGTCATGCCACGTGGACTGCCTGAGCAAGGGCTTCTGGAGGCAAAACACAACATTCCACCATGGGTAAGTGTCACTCGCACCTGGAATTTGGGAGGGCATAGTGAGAAATGAGCTGACACCCACTCACTGGTCCTTGGGAGCCTTGTGTGCCCATTTATGAGTGTAGACTTGATCTTGAAGACACCTGGAGCTCAAACACGAGCATCTGTCTGAAATGGAGTTCGTTGAAGGTGGTTTTGTGGGCATTATATTTGTTTTGGGATTTGTCATGGGTACAACATTTAGAGCCACTGATGTATACAAGCAATGAGGTGGACATGTGCCTGTAATTTTTTTTCTTTTTTCTTTTTTTTTTTTTTGAGACAGGGTCTTGCTCTGTTGCCCAGGCTGGAGTGCAGTGGCACGATCATGGCTCACTGCAACCTCGACCCCCCTGGGCGCAAGTGATCCTCCCACCTCGGCCTCCCAAGTAGCTGGGGCTACAGTCATGCCACAACCATGACTGGCTGATTTTTGTATTTTTTGAAGAGATGGGTTTTCTTCATGTTGCCTAGGCTGGTCTTGAACTTCTGGACTTAAGCGATCTGCCTGGCTTGGCCTTCCAAATTGCTGGGATTACAGTCATGAGCCAGCACGCCTGGCCCATTGCTATAATTTGGAATTAAATGTGGTGTTTCTCAAAACACAACAGATGCCTGCTCCCACAGGGAGATTGATAAAAGGGAGAAGGAGCCTCCCATTCACAGATTACTGTAACCAAAAGTCTCAGCCAGACCTACTCAGTGCAGACAAATACCCTCCCAGAAACATTTATGGCATAGCCTTTATATTGTATTTGTTTTAATTTAATAAATGCTTTTTTTTTTTTTTTTTTTGAGATAGGATCTCTCTCTGTTGCCCAGGCTGGTGTGCAGTGGTGTGATCATAGCTCACTGCAGTCTTGACCTCCTGGGCTCAAATGATCCTCCTGTCTCAGCCTCCAGGGTAGCTGGGACTACAGGTGTGTGCCATCATGCCCAGCCAATTTTTCGTATTTTTGGTAGAGATGAGATCTTACTATGTTGTCGAGGCTGGTCTTGATCTCCTGGACTCAGGCTGTCTTCCCATCTTGACCTCCCAAAGTGCTGGGACTACAGGCGAGAGCCACTACACCTGGCCACGAGTGCTTCTAAAATCATATAATGTATTAATATTTTAATTTTTTTCTTATAAGATGTTTCTGTATTTTTATGATATGATATGGGCTTCCAGGAATGGAATCTCCACTTACAACATTACACTCGGAGGAAACAAAGAATTGATTTATAATTACTTGATTTGCTACCTTTGTCCAGTAATTGATTAGGTTAGGGGTTGGCAGACTTCTCCTGAAACAGGCTGGAGAGTAAGTATTTTCAGCTCTGTGGGCCATATGGTCTCTGTCATAACTACGCAACTGTGCCACTGCAGCGTGAAAGCAGGCATAGACACCTCATAAACAAATGAGTGTGGCTGTGTTCCAACTAAACTTTATTTTTGGAGAGTAACATTTGAATTTTATGTAATTTCCATGTGTTGCAAAATATCATTCTTCTCTGAATGTTTTTCAATCCTTTACAAATGCAAAACCATTCTTCACTTGAGGGCCTTTCAAAAACAAGGCAGTGGGCAAGATTTGGACCACGGTTTAGCAGTCTCTTCCTCAGGTCACAGTTTAGGGTTGTAGAGCTGTGATTTACTTAGCAAATTCTATGTGCTGGGTACTGGGCTTTATCTTTTCATATATAGGCTCACATAATCTTCACAAAAACTCTTAATTATGTATTTATTTGTTTATCTACAAGGGGGAACTGGGGCTTCTTGAAGTTAACTCACTTGCCCAAGGTTATATTTTAGTTATGTAATAGTGGTGGCATGACACTTTATTTTTTATTTTATTTTTTTGAGACAGGGTTTTGCTGTGTCACCCAGGCTAGACTGCATTGTGATCATGGCTCACTGCAGCCTCCAACTCCCAGGCTCAAGCGATTCTCCCACCTCAGCCTCCCAAGTATCTGGGACTGCAGGTGTGCATCACCATGCCTGGTTAATTTTTCTATTTTTTGTAGAGTCAGCGTTTTGCCATATTGCCTATATTAGTCCGTTTTCATGCTGCTGATAAGGACATACCCGAGACTGGGAAGAAAAAGAGGTTTAATCAGACTTAACAGTTCCACATATCTGGAGAGGCCTCAGAATCATGGCAGGAGGCAAAAGGCACTTCTTACATGGCAGCAGCAAGAGAAAATGAGGAAGAAGCTAAAGTGGAAACTCCTGATCAACCCATCAGATGTTGTGATATTTATTTATTTATTTATTTATTTATTTTGGGACAGAGTTTCGCTCTGTCACCGAGGCTGGAGTGCAGTGGCACAAACTGAGCTCACTGCAACCTCTGCCTCCTGGGTTCAAGCAATTCTCCTGCCTCAGCCTCCTGAGTAGCTGGGATTATAGGCACCTGCCACCATGCCTGGCTAATTTTTGTAGTTTTAGTAGAGATGGGGTTTCACCATGTTAGCCAGGCTGGTCTTGAACTCCTGACCTTAGGTGATCCACCTGCTTCAGCCTCCCAAAGTTTGAGACTTATTCACTATCACAAGAATAGCATGGGAAAGACTGGCCCCCATGATTCAATTATCTCCCCCTGGGTCCGTTTCACAACACGTGGGAATTCTGGGAGATGCAATTCAAGTTGAGATTTGGGTGGGGATGCAGCCAAACCGGATCATTGCCCAAGTTGGTTTTGGACTCCTGAGCTCAGGTGATTCTCCTGCCTCGGCCTCCCAAAGTGCCAGGATTACAGGCATGAGTCACCACTCCTGGCCGAGTGACAATTTGAACTGAAGTCTGCCTGAGTTTAATTTTAACTATAAAGGCCCTGTTCTTGTGGAGTTTGCAGAGTTGTGGTGAAGAGAGTGGGTAATAAAGCAGTTTTGCAATTGTTAGTAGAATATTATAATTTAACTAATAAGTAACTCTCTTAGATACACCATATTGGTAAAGCCTAGAATGAGGTTGGCTTTTGGATTGTTCATCACTTTTAGTGACAGTGCAGTGGACAGGAGAGGTTGTTTGGGTTTGAATCTCACTCCACCCCATGGAAGTTCAGTGACCTTCAAGTTATTTGTCCTCCCTATGCCTCACTTTCCTCATGTGTGAAGTAGAAGCAGAAAGAGCGTTTGCTTAGGAGCATTGTTACCAAGATTATATGAGAAGGGAGACTGCAGGTGATGGACATGTAGTACATTGTCAACAGACATGAGCTCTTATTGTCACTATTTTTTAAGAGTCAAATAAACCCCACCGGCTATATTTAAGACTCACAGTGCTGCTAAATTTTTTTCTCCCCTGCTCTGTATTTCCAAAAATATTTTTGGAAAAAAGATTCAGTCTTATCAATTACATTGTTCAGATCAATGTCTTTGCTTTTTACTAAACCATATTACTAAATTCTAGTGACCTGATTTTATGGTATACCACCACAACAGAGATTCTATCAAGTTCTCTTTACCTTGGTGATATGGTTTGGCTGTGTCCCCATCCAAATCTCAACTTGAATTGTAGCTCCCAGAATTTCCACGTGTTGTGGGAGGGACCCAGGGGGAGGTAGTTGAATCATGGGGGCTGGTTTTTCCCATGCTGTTCTCATGATAGTGAATAAGTCTCACGAGATCTGATGGGTTTATCAGGGGTTTCCGCTTTTGCTTCTTCATCGTTTTTCTCTTGCTGCTGCCATGTAAGATGCGGCATGTGCCTTTTACCTCCCCACATGATTCTGAGGCTTCCCCAGCCATGTGGAACTGTAAGTCCAGTTAAACCTCATTTTCTTCCTAGTCTTGGGTATGTCTTTATCAGCAGCATGAAAACAGACGAATACAGTTAATTGGTACTAGCAGAGTGGGGTGTTGCTGAAAAGATACCCAAAAATGTGGAAGCAGCTTTGGAATTGGGTAACAGGGAGAGATTGGAACAGTTTGGAGGGCTCAGAAGAAGATAGGAAAATGTGGGAAAGTTTGGAACTTCCTAGAGACTTGTTGAATGGCCTTGCCCAAAATGCTGATAGCTATATGGACAATAAGGTCCAGGCTGAGGTGGTCTCAGATGGAGATGAGGAACTTGGGAACTGGAGTAAAGGTGATTCTTGTTATGTTTTAGCTAAGAGACTGGCAACATTTTGCCCCTGCCCTCAAGATATGTGGAACTTTGAACTTGAGAAAGATGATTTACAGTATCTGGCGGAAGAAATTTCTAAGCAGCAAAGCATTCAAGACATGACTTGGGTACTGTGAGTTTTATAAGGGAAACAGAGCATAAAAGTTTGGAAAATTTGCAGCCTATGTGATAGAAAAGAAAAAACCCATTTTCTGGGGAGAAATTCAAGGCAGCTGCAGAAATTTGCATAAGAAGCAAGGAGCCTAATGTTAATCCCCAAGACCATGGGGAAAATGTCTCCAGGCCATGTCAGAGACCTTCACAGCAGCCCCTCCCATCACAGGCCCAGAAGCCCAGGAGGAAAAAGTGGTTTTGTGGGCCTGGCCCAGGGTCCCTGTGCTGTGTGCAGCCTGGGGACCTGGTGCCCTGCATCCCAGCCACTCCAGCCTTGGCTGAAAGGGGCCAACATACAGCTCAGGCTGTGGCTTTGGAAGGTGGAAGCCCCAAGCCTTGGCAGCTTCCACATGTTGTTGAACCTGAGGGTGCACAGAAGTCAAGAATTGAGGTTTGGGAACCCCCACCTAGATTTTAAAAGATGTATGGAAAAACCTGGATGCCCAGGCAAAAGTTTGCTGCAGGGGTGGGGCCCTCATGGAGAACCTCTGCTAAGGCAGTGCAGAAGGGAAATGTGGGGTTGGAGCCCCCACACAGAGTCCCTACTGGGGCACTGCCTAGTGGAGCTCTGAGAAGAGGGCCACCGTCCACCAGACTCCAGAATGATAGATCCACTGACAGCTTGCACCGTGCACCTGGAAGAGCCACAGACACTCAACGCTAGCTTGTGAAAGCAGCCAGGAGGGGGGGCTATACCCTACAAAGCCACAGGGTTGGAGCTTCCCAAGACCATGGGAACCCACCTCTTGGCATCAGTGTGACCTGGATGTGAGACCTGGAGTCAAAGGAGAGAGATCATTTGGAGCTTTAAAATTGGACTGCCCTGCTCGATTTCAGACTTGCATGGGCCCTGTGACCCCTTTGTTTTGGCCAATTTCTCCCATTTGGAACAGCTCTATTTACCCAATACCTGTACCCCCATTGTATCTAGGAAGTAACTAGCTTGCTTTTGATTTTATAGGCTCATAGGAGGAAGGGACTTGCCTTGTCTCAGATGAGACTTTGGACTGTGGACTTTTAGGTTAATGCTGAAATGAATTAAGACTTTGGGGGACTGTTGGGAAGGCATGATTGGTTTTGAAATGTGAGGACATGAGATTTGGAGGGACCAGGGGCAGAATGATATGGTTTGGCTGTGTCCCCACCAAAATCTCAACTTGAGTTGTATCTCCCAGAATTCCCACCTGTTGTAGGAGGTACCCAGGAGGAAGTAATTGAATCATGGGGGCCAGTCTTTCCTGTGCTATTCTCATGATAGTGAATATCTCACGAGATCTTACGGTTTTATCAGGGGTTTCTGCTTTTGCTTCTTCCTCATTTTTCTCTTGCTGCCACCATGTAAGAAGTGGCTTTTGCCTTCTGCCATGATTCTGAGGCCTCCCCAGCCATGTGGAACTGTAAGTCCAATTAAACCTCTTTTGCTTCCTAGTCCCAGTGTGTCTTTATCAGCAGCGTGAAAACAGACTAATACACTTGGCAATTGGTATTTATTTATATGTTTCATAGATGTTTATGGTTTTATAAATACATAGTGTTCTCTGGTTTGCAATTTTCGGTGTGCCTTTGACATTTTATGTTAACTATATATCCATTTCTTAAGTGAATTTTGATTCATTTACTCAGTAACCCAGCCGTTTTTACTTTTATTTCTTTTTAGAAATCTGTATACATCCCTGAGAATACTTTTTATCCATGTGTAACAGATTTCACTTAACTAATCCAGTCAGGAACTCCTTTTTCTCCCACATGGGATGATAATTAAATTCTTTTATATTGGGTGTTATATTTGGATCATCTTCTGTCATCCTAATTTTTATTTTCATTTTAATCATTCTTTTGACATCTCTTTCCAATTATAACTGCAAAATCCTGGCCATTCCTCAATGCCTAATGCTTTCTTTTTTGTCCCCCTTATTGATTACATTCTTCTGGTAACCAGCCTGTTCCTACCATAGTATTACTGAACCAAATTGCTCAGCAAACTCTCATCTCTCTATACATCTGTTTAAACTTTTAACTACTTACGTCAGTCCAGCAATTTGGATCCTCTTCGTGGAAAAACAGTTGTTACTCTTTCCTTCTTAATAGTTCTGTCTTTGATACCAAATGTTATATGGCCCTCCTTGATCTGTGGTGGTATTGCTTCTTATTTTTCACAATAAAGTGGCCCTTCCCATGAGTGCCCTTGGTTTATCTCTTGGAATTGGCATTTAAACTCAGTTGCTGTTGGAAGTAATTCCAGAAGTGAAATTTGTCAGTGAGAGGTGTGCACTATGAATAGTTCCTTCAGGTGCTGGACGCACTTAGGTCCTTCTGTTGCAGGTGCTGTTAAATAACAGCTTTTCTGGACGAAGAGTACCTTGAAGTCTCTCTGCTTTTATTTCTGGGGTTTGTTTATGTCACTAAAGTCTCAGATGAGAGTTCTGAGAAAAGGCTTGTTTGTTACGTTTCTTTAAAGGTGACCTAGTATCTCTTTTTCCTTGCATTAAGAAGGCATTTCCCAAGAGAGGGATTGATATCTTCCTCTTTGACAGTTCTGGAAGAATGTCATGAGCCCCTTTCATCTCCAAACTGGATTTTAAAACAATGTGGAAAAACTGCTTCCTCCCAGGGCACATTTTTCTGTTACTTCTTGATTTGGCTTTTTTTTTTTTTTTGACATGGTGTCTCACTCTTGTTGCCCAGGCTGGAGTGCAGTGGTGTGATCTTGGCTCACTGCAACCTCCGCCTCCTGGGTTCAAGCAATTCTCCTGCCTCAGCCTCCTGAGTAGCTTGGATTACAGGCAGCTGCCACCACCCCTGGCTAATTTTTGTATTTTTAGTGGAGATGGGGTTTCACCATGTTGGCTAGGCTGGTCTTGAACTCCTGACCTCAGGCAATCCACCTGCCTGGGCCTCCCAAAGTGCTGGGATTACAGGCGTGAGCCACCGCACCTGGCCTTTTGATTAAGCTTCACAGACACCCTTCAATATGAAGATTAGGTTCCTTGTTGCATACATCATTTGCTCCCCTGCATTCATTGAATTCTACTTGATTCTCTGTAACAAGTTTCATTGATTTGATGTTTTGCAGAACCAATTCTGTTTTGGACTGCATTTCTGGGATGTTCTTAATTGTCTTATCATTTTATCCTAAGCTTCTTTTAAACCCCAGTGTAACCTTGATTGATTTTGAAATGCCACCTTTCATCTTTTCGGGAATGAATGCCAAGTGTTCTCTGCATAACACTGTTTGAATCTTGTAGTTGTTCCATTTTGGTTACCAGAGTCCAGTTCCGGATTCATTCCCCTTGCTGGCTCCTAGGGCTTAGAGCTCCTGCCACATAATGAATTTTCACTGATCCTTTTTTTTGCACCTTGTTGTTGTTTGTTTTCTGTTTATTGATATTCTTAGTGGAGGAGCCTGTTTTGTCATCTTAAGTTTTTAGGCAGTGTTGTCATTATCGTTGTGTTTTGAAACGGTCTTGTATTTTATGTTTTTTCCTGATGTAACTGTTACTCTAAAAAATGAAGATAATTTACTGAATTTCTTTTTATCTTTATTGTATTGTGACAATAAAATTAAAAATTCTGTCTTAAAGTAGAGAGGATTGTAAATGTACCCCCACAGACCCCATCTGTCACCTGGTTTTTACTAATGTTCAGTTTTTCAATCTTTTTCGCTCCCACCCCACAGACACCCTTGTTCGTCCTGGAGTATTTTAAAGCAAATCCCAGATACTATGTCATGTCACCTGTAAATGTCGGATATTATATCCTGGGGCTTTGCTGATGTTTCCTCATGGAATTTAACTTGCTTCTGTAGACCCTTGTATTTGCTATAAACTGCTGGTTAGAACAAGGGCAGCGTTCTCAAACATTTTGGGCTCAGGAACCCTTCACAATCTTACAATTTATTGAAGACCCCCAAAATGCTTGTATTGAGATAGGTCATACGTATTGATATTTTGCATATTAGAAATTTAAACAGAAAAATTTAACACATCAGGAGAGATAAGCACTTCCTCCCTTGGCCATTAGAGAGCTGATGTCAGGCTGAGGCAGGAGGATTGCTTGACCCCAGGAGTTTAACACTAGCCTAGGCAATATCATGAGACCTTGTCTCCATAAATAATAATAATAATAATAAAAAAGCCAAGCGTGGTAGTGCACACCTGTAGCCCCAGCTACTTAGGAGGCTGAGGTGGTAGGATTACTTGAGTCCAGGAACTAGAGATTGCAGTGAGCCAAGATCGCACCATTGCACTTCAGCATGGGCAACAGAGCAAGACCCTGTCACAAACAAACACCAAAACATGAAGAGAGAGAGAGAGAGATGATGTCGTGATATATCATGCAGCTTCTGGAAAACTCTGCTGTACACTTTGTAAAGAATGAGAGTGAAAAGGGCAAATAAGTCTTTGTACTATTAAGAAAGTAGTTTTGATTTTGTGGACTTTGTGAAGTAGCTCTGGGGGAACGCCAGAAGCCTCAGACCACACTTTGAGAACCCCTGATGTGGTGACTCAGATACATTCAACTTCATCTTTGCTTTTGGAGGGGAGAGGGCAAGTATACCTCCTAGGGGGTAATGTGCGCTTCTTACAACACACACACATATACGTATATTATACATATGTAACACACATATACACACACACAAATACACACACATACATATCTACACACATACACACAGACACACACACACACATATACATATATATACAGACATACAAATACACATATATACACACAGACACAAACACACACATATACACATATATACACAGACACAAATACGCACACATATATACACAGACACACAAATGCACATATATACACAGAGACACACAAATACACATATATACATACACATATATGCACACACACATGTATTTTTATTACTATAGTAGTTATATAACTACTTTATGTCTGGGAGTACAACTTTAATACCTTAGTCATTTATTTTCTCCTTTATTGTTATATAATTTCCATGTGTGTATTTGTGTGTTAATTTTCCACTTAAAAATTTTTAAAATTTGTTTTTAGTTTTATTTTGTTTGAGACAGGGTCTTGCCCTGTTGTTTAGCCTGCAGTTCAGTGGTGTGATCTTGGCTCACTGCAGCCTCAACCTTCTCAGCTCCAGTGATCCTCCCACTTCAGCCTCCTGAGTAGCTGGGACTATGGGCGTATGCCACCATGCACAGCTAATTTTTTCGTGTTTTGTTTTTTTTTTTTTTTTTTTTGAGATAGAGTTTTGCCATGTGGCCCAGGCTGGTCTTGAACTCCCATATGATCGCCCACCTTGGCCTCCCAAAGTGCTGGGATTACAGGCATGAGCCATTGTGCCCGGTGCTTTTTTTTCTTTCTTTTTTTTAACTTTGTATTTTTGGCTTCAATTTTCATTTGCGGGTATATTGTTGCACTTGCATTTGATTAACCCACTTTTGTATTTTAGTCCTAGATGTGTTTAGTTTTCATGAGCCTTCAGTAATCAGCATATTGTTGCATTTGATTTACCACAGATGGAGAATTTTCTTCTCTTAATCAGACCAATTAGGTTGCTTTTATCTAGGGATGTGACTGTTAGATTTCAAATACCTTATATCATTCTGGTTTTCTTTTTTTTGTTGTTGTTCTTACCTCTATAAGTCATGCCCTCCTTTTTATTTATTTTTAAAGAAGTACCTAAGTCATGTACATAGTCGTTGTTAAAAAAATTCAGGCTGGGCATGGTGGCTCACGCCTGTAATCCCAGCACTTTGGGAGGCTGAGGTGGGCCGATCACAAGGTCAGGAGATCGAGACCATCCTGGCTAACACGGTGAAACCCTGTCTCCACTAAAATGTACAAAAAAAATTAACTGGGCATGGTAGCAGGTGCCTGTAGTCCCAGCTACTCGGGAGGCTGAGGCAGGAGAATGGTGTGAACTCCGGAGGCGGAGCTTGCAATGAGCCGAGATCGCACCACTGCACTCCAGCCTGGGTGACAGAGCTAGACTCCGTCTCAAAAAAAAAAAAATTCAATAATAGGGAAATAGAGTAAAGCAATAGCCCATCTCCAGGCTTTCCAGCTCCATGCTAATTTGCACTGTGGGTAATGTATCGTGCAACTTTCAAAACATTTTCTACACATATTGGCACACGCAGAAATAAAATAAATGTATAAGTTTTATGGCTTTTAAAAATGGTAGGCCGGGCGTGGTAGCTCACTCCTGTAATCCCAGCAGTTTGGGAGGCCGAGGCGGATGGATCACTTGAGGTCAGGAGTTGGAGGCCAGCCTGGCCAACATGGTGAAACCCCGTCTCTACTAAAAATTACAAAAATTATCCGGCATGGTGGTGGGTGCCTGTAATCCCAGCTACTTGAGAGGTTGAGGACTCTTTTCCCTATGGTGGGGCACATTAGTTTCATCTTCTGTTGTGTTTTTGTTCTTTCCTTGGAGTTGCTTATTCTGGTGCCCAGGGTGCAGCTCTGCTCTGCTCTCTGCTGGCCCCAGGACAGCTGCAAAACCCTCCTAAGAATTGCTTCCACTCTGCTATGTTTCGTGTCCTGTTTCCTTGAGCAGCAGCATGAGTTTTAAATATAACTGTAGGGTTTTACTTGATTCTAAGTTCAAAGTAGTGACACAGGGGTCCCCAACCCCTGGGCCACAAACTGGTCTGTGGCCTGTTAGGAACCTGGCCTCACAGCAGGAGGTGAGTGGTGGCAAGCGATCGAAGCTTCATCTGTATTTACAGCTGCTCCCCATTGCTTGCATTACCACCTGAGCTCCACCTCCTGTCAGGCCAGTAGCAGCATTAGATTCTCATAGGAGTGTGAAACCTTTGTGAACTGTGCATGTGAGGGATCTAGGATGAGTGCTTCTTATGAGAATCTAATGTCTGATCATCTGTCACCGTCTCCCATCACCCCCAGATGGGAGACAGTGACATCTAGTTGCAGGAAAACAAGCTCAGGGGTCCCACTGATTCTGCATAATGTTGAGTAAGTAGTAATAATAGCAGTAAAGTGCAGAATAAATGTAATGCTCTTGAATCATCCTGAAACCACCCCTCCCCTCTAGTCTGTGGACAAATTATCTTCTATGAAACTTGTCCCTGGTGCCAAAAAGGTTGGGGACTGCTGTAGTGACAATAACTCACATTTATTGACCAGGTACTACGTGACAGTCACCTCAGATGTCCCATCTCATATGATATTTGCAGCAACTCTATTAGGTAAACACTATTTTTGCTTTCATTTTACAAATTAGGTAAGTGAAGCATAGAGAGGTTAAATAACTTGAGGGTAATTCTTCCAAGGGGGTGGAGTCAGATTCACACCCAAACAATCTCTCCTGTCTACTGCATTGTCATTAAGAGTGATGAAGAGCCCAAGAACCAGCCTCATTCTAGCCTTTACCAATATGTGTATCTCTTTCTTATTTTTGGTTTACTTTCTCAGAATCTTTGGTTCTAGTAGATTTTTAAAATTAAACCTTTGTTTCCTCTGCCATCTCTGTTATCTCTTTCTGGAATGCTTCTGTGTCAGGTGCTAGATCTCAGTTGATCACTTGCTTTTTATTCTCTCACTTTTTTTGGTCTTTTAATTTAATTTTCTGAAAAATTTCTTCAATTTGATCTTCCAACTCTTCTGGAGTTTTAAATTTTTTGTTATATTTAATTTCCAAGAGCCTTTCTTATTTCCTGACTTTTCCTTTTTCTAAGTATCCTGTTCTTGTTTAATGAATATGGTATCTTTCCCTCGATTCTCTGAGGATGATAAGGGGGTTTCCCTTGTGTTCTGCAAGGGGTCTGTCTACTCCTTGCTCCAAGTGTATTTTACCTATTTGTAGGCTTTTATGTCTGTCCTCATATTTTTATTTTCCTCAAATGTCTGGTGATGCTTTGTTCTTTTGTATTTATGAGGAAGGCACTAATATGTTTGGTAGCTTTCTGTGCATTGTGGTGGTAAGAGGAAGCCAATGGTTCTCACTGGTAGGTGCTCTGGCAGGTGGATGGCTGTTTTGCTGGGTGTATGAAATGAATTATGTCCCTCCAAAATTCATTTGTTGAGTCCTGTGAACCTAAGTTCTCTGAAAAGTAATTTGGAGGAAAGAGACTTCATTCCAGTGAATAGTTTGCAAACAAGGGAGCCACGTCTTTGGTGTAAAACAAAGGTGAGTTCCAGAGAACAAATACGTTCAGGGTTTATAGCAAAACTCCCTGCTGAGGTTCCCAATTAAGTCCATTTATGCAAATGAAGGATTTGGACTTGCTTAGTTCTGGTTGGTCACACAGCCGAATCATGACTGGTTGATGTGGTTGAACCCTGACTGGATGGAGCGGGTGAGCTCTGATTGGTTGGTTTCCAAGCCCCAAACCAGAAGTCTCTGTTAGACCTTTCAAAAGGCCAGTTGGGAGGTGGGGGAATTCTTGCTTCAGTTTATCTTGGCACCAACAACAGAAACTGGTTTGGCTTGATTGTAGAAAGGGAGGTCCTGTGATATTTTCATAACATCTTTCTGAGAACACATTGTACGTGACTTTCATAACATCTTTCTGAGAACACAGTGTATGCGACTGAACCTTCACCCAGCCATGACCACCTGGTTCTGCTCTAACTCACCCTAAATAGCCATGGGGTGTAGTTCATTTTATCTGTCAGCAGAGGCATACTTTTATGGTCCTAACCTCAAGTATCTCGGAATGTGTCTGTACTTGGAGATAGGGCTTTGAAAGAGAAAATGGGAGTTAAACGAGGTCACTGGGGTGGCCCTTAATCCAATATGCCTGGTGTCCTCGTAAGAAAAGGAGATTAGGACACAGACACACAGGGGGAAGACCATGTGAAGACACTTGGAAGATACAGCCATCTACAAGCCAAGGAGAGACGTCTCAGAATGAAACCAACCCTGCTGACAGCTTGGACTTTCAGCCTCCAGAACTGTGAAAAAATAAATTTCTGGTGTTCAATACACCCCCCTCTGTATTAGTTTGTAATGGCAAACTAATATATGAAGTGAAGCCCAAATACCCATATCTATAGATCTTTCCTCTAGGGCTATTCAGTTTTCCTAGAGAGGAAACTTCTAGTATTCTGCTGGGAGTCTAGGCCTGCTGTGTGCATGCTGGGCGCTGAGCCTCATGAAGGAGCTCAGGACTCTCCATCTGGGATCTAGACTTTCATGGAACTTTCCTTTGCTCCCATTACCCCTTGCCCTTTTCTGTGCCTGGGACCCCAGCCCTGGAGCCCCTAGTGGGAGGTACTCAGCTGTCTGGGTGGAATTGGCACAGGGGTGGACTATGGAGGACTAAGGGGAGAGCAGCATTCTATCCATGTTCCCACAAAAGACAGGATCTCCTTTTTCATGGCTGCATAGTATTTCATGGTGTATGTGTACCACATTTTCTTTATCCAATCTGTCATTGATGGGCATTTAGGTTGATTCCATGTAACCTTATACAGAATTACAGCCATGCTTTTTTTTTTTTTTTTTTTTTTTCCAACCCTACAACTTGTTCCTCACCTCCCGGAGCCTCCTCTCTGGGGTCCTGGGCATGAATTAACATCTCCCTCCGTAGCCAATTGGAATTCCACTCGGCTGACTTCTCCTTCATTTCTTCTTTCAAACTTCTGTTCGTGTTGCCTGTCTGCAGTCTCCTTTTGCTTTCTTGTCCTTGTAAATCCATAGATTCTCCCTGCTATGGACTGACCATAAGGGACTAATTGATAGTGCAGTGGTCAGGCTGATGTCAGCATGCTTCTGCAGTGGAGGAATCTGACCCAGAAACTCATCTCTTTGCATCTCTGCACGCTGCTGCCTTTGATGTAAGCTTCATTTTTAACTTTGTGTTTTGAAATAGTTTTAGACTTGCAGGAAAGTTGCAAAGATAATACAGAGAGTTCCCTAATGGTAACATCTTACGTAACTGTGGTATGATGGTCAAAGCTCATAAATTAGCATTAGTACAATACTGTCAAGTAAACTACAGACCTTATTTAGATTTTTTTTTTTTTTTTTTTTTTTGACGAAGTCTTTGTTTCCTAGGCTGGAATGTGGTGGCATGATCTCAGCTCACTGCAAACTTCACTTCCTGGGTTCAAGCGACTCTGCTGCCTCAGCCTCTGGATGAGCTGGGATTACGGGCACCCGGCACCACGCCCGGCTAATTTTGATTTTTTAGTAGAGATGGGGTTTCACCATGTTGGCCAGACTGGACTCAAACTCTTGACCTCAGGTGATCAGCCAGCCTCAGCCTTCCAAGGTGCTGGGATTATAGGTGTGAGCCACCACTGCTGGCCCTTATTTAGATTTTACCAGATTTCCCAGTAATGTGCCTTATTTTCTGTTCCCAAATCCAATCCAGGGTCCCATATTGTAGTTCATTGTTAGGGTTCCTTAGTCACTTCTAATCTGAGCCTCACACACCCAGGCTGGAGTACAGTGGCTCGATCTCGGCTCACTGCAACCTCTGCCTCCCAGGCTCAAATGATTCTCTTGCCTTGGCCTCCCGAGTAGCTGGGATTACAGGTGTCCGCACCACGCCAGGCTAATTTTTGTATTTTTAGTAGAGACAAGGTTTCTCCATGTTGTCCAGGCTGGTCTTGAACTCCTGATCTCAAGCAATTAACCCGCCTCTGCCTCCCAAAGTGCTGGGATTATAGGAGTTAGCCATCGTGCCCAGCACCTGACCTTCTTACTTTTGAAGAGGACTAGTCAGGTGTTTTGTGGAATGTTTCTTCATTTGAGTTTGACTGGCTTTTATTCATGATTTGATTTAGATTTGGGGGAAGGACATCAGAGAGGTGATGTGTCCTTCTAAGTGCATCATATGTCTTACTACTGGTGACGTTGTTACTGATTCTTAGCTTAAGATGGTTTCTGGCCGGGTGCAGTGGCTCGCACCTGTAATCCCAACACTTTGGGAGACCAAGTTGGGAGGGTCACTTGAGGCCAGGAGTTCAAGGCCAGCCTGGACAACATAGCCAGACCCTTCCTCTACAAAAAACCCCCCAAAATTAGCTGGTCACCGTGGTATTCACTTGTAGTCCCAGCTACTCTGGAGGCTGATGGGGGACCATCACTTGAGCTCAGCAGTTTAAGGTTGCAGTGAGCTTTGGTCACACCACTGCACTCCAGCCTGGGCAACAGGGAGAGACCACCTGTCCCCCTACCCCCAAAAAAGATAGTTTCTTTCAGGTTTTTCCTGTAAAGTTACAGTGGAGTGTAGAGGTTTCTTCTTATGTAATTAATATATACTCGGAGGCTATGCAAATATCTAATTTTTTTTCTCTTAAACTTTTGCCAACTATTTTTAGCATTCACTGATGGACGTTGCTGGCAGTCTAAGTGGTGCGTTTCTAGCTCTCTCATTCCTCCCACATTTATTAATTGAAATTCTTCTGTAAGGAAGAATTGTCCCTTCTATCCCAGTTATTTGTTTATTCAGTCATGTATTTATATCAGTATGGACTTATGAATATTTATTTTAACCTTTAAGCTATATCTAATACTATGTTTATTTCTCTTCTTGCTCAAATTGTTCTAGCTTTGACCACTGGGAACTCTTTCAGGTTGGCTTCTGTGCCCTTTTGACATGACCCCATAATCCCAACTTTTTTTTTTCGAGCACTTAACTTTTTCTTTTTTAAAAAAACTTTTATTTTAGGTTCAGGGGTACATGTGAAGGTTTGTTACACAGGTGAACTCATGTTACGGGGGCTTGTCGTACAGATTATTCCATCACCCAGGTATTAAGCCTGGTACCCAATAGTTACCTTGTCTGCTCCTCTCCTTCCTCCCACCCTCCACCCTCCATGCTCAAGTAGCCCCAGTGTGTGTTGTTCCCTCTTTGTGTTGATGTGTTCTCATCATTTAACCTCCCACTTATTAGTGAGAACATGTGGTATTTGGATTTCTCTTCCTGCATTAGTTTACTAAAGGATAATGGCCTTCAGTTCCATCCATATTTCTGCAAAGGACATGATCTCATTCTTTTTTATGGCTGCATAATATTCTGTGGTATATATATACCACATTTTCTTTATCCAATTTGTCATTGATAGGCATTTAGGTTGATTCCATGTCTTGATTATTTCACTTGTATTTTGATGAGGTTTCAGAAAGAAGCAGAGAAGCAGGTGTTCAATACATTTTTATTTTTATTTTTATTGTTTTTTATGTCTGTTGCCCAGGCTGGAGAGCAGTGGTGCGATCTCAGCTCACTGCAACCTCTGCCTCCTGGGTTCAAGTGATTCTCCTGCCTTAGCTTCCTGAGTAGGGTAGTCATATGCCACCATGCCTGGCTAACTTTGTATTTTTAGTAAACGGAGTTTTGCCATGTCGGCCAGGCTGGTCTCAAACCTCTGACCTCAAGGGATCCTTCGCCTTGTCCTCCCAAAGTTTCGGGATTACAGGCATGAACCGAGCCTGGCCTCAATACATTCTTCCTAAACTTTTTTGATCATCAAGATTTTCTTTGTTTCTTATGATGTTTTCCATTATTTTAAATTTATATTAGCTGTCATCTAAACAAATCATCTCTGCAGTGGACATCTGTTTGAGAGAGTGCTTCCAGTTCTCATCCTTCCAAGAACAGTAACCTGAATTTACTTCCCATCCTTACCCATGTGTGCTTGGGGGCTGATACTACATGTAGGTGTAAACCACGTGGTATATCCGTCCTGGTCAAAGCCAGCAAACCACGAGAACACCTTTTCTAGGGCTTTTGGAAAGGGGAGGTTTCTCTTCCTTGCAAGGAAGCTGCCAGAGGAACTGTTCTTTCTTTGGATGGTGATGTGTTCTGAAACAACATCTGGAGCTGCTGTAGCCACTGGATCACTATGAGCTGAGGCTGGAACTGCTATGAGAGCCCCAGGTGGAGCCCAGCCTGGGAGGAAGAGGAGTTCCAAAGAATCAGCACCTTGGGGTTTTGTTTGAGTTTCTGTTGTAGGAAGCCTCACCTAACCTTTTGAATATTCAACCCATGAACCAAAATACTCTATTGTTGAAACCAATCTATATTGGTTTTCTTGGCAACTTCAGTCCTAACCAGCATAAACTCATTATTTTATTTTTTTTCTTTTTGAGACAGAGTCTCCCTCTGCCACCCAGGCTGGAGGGGCTTGATCTCTGCTCACTGCAACCTCCACCTCCTGGGTTCAAGTGATTCTCTTGCCTCAGCCTCCCGCGTAGCTGTGACTACAGGTGCATGCCACCACACTCAGCTAATTTTTGTATTTTTAGTAGAGATGGGGTTTCGCCATGTTGGCCAGGCTGGTCTTGAACTCCTGACCTCAAGTGATCTGCCCGCCTCAGCCTCCCAAAGTGCTGGGATTATAGGCATGAGCCACCGCACACAGCCCATAGACTCATTCTTACAGAAATTGTGCTTCACTACCTTAAATTTTCAGGTAGAGCATGCACTAGGGATTATTATATCTGAGTCGATCTGCAAATATTTTGAAGCAAACACATCTTATTTTCTGTTTCCAGGCTGGCCAGAGCTTTCTGCTGCATAATGGCGGCAGCGATTACATTGCACGTTGCTTCTTTGACATCTGAGATGTTTGAGGCTGGAAACTCACTGCCTCAGGCCTTCTGTTAGTGAGAAACGCCAATTAAGTTCAGTGAATAAATTGAGCTGCATGTTAGCTTTCAGACACAGAGAAGTTCCGTACTGTATCTAAGAAACTTCCCGAAATGTCTTGTTCCAGTGGATGACGTAACTTGTCGTTTGACTAAGAAATTGCATCTTAGGAAATTATCTCAAGGAAATAAGCAGACAAGTATTTATACACAAGGAAGGTATAAGCCAGAGGATTACTGCCATGCTGTCATTCCCCGGGAAAATTGGGTATAGCATTTAAATGAGCAATAATGGGCAATTGATTAAGTAAATGATGATACATTCATGGCCTGCCATGCTATGCAGCCATTAAACAATGATGTTGATGTATATTTTTGACATGAAATTATGCTTATGGTACACTATTAGGTTAAAAAAAGAGACAAGTTATATCACAGTAAGTAAAGTATAATTGCATTTTGTAAAAAATTGTGTGTATACATATGCATATAAATGAGATGTATACATATATATATGCATGTAAAAGATTAGAGGATATATCATTTTGACCTTTTGATGACTTGCTGTTTTTCTAGATCAAAGCTATATGGTTTATGAGCAATATATTAATAAAGAATTAACTATCTTTAATTTGTTGAGTAAATAAACTAAAACAAGAATGAGCTATCTGACACCAGGGTCCTTCTTTAGGAACTTCAATTTTGGAACAATGAATGAAGTGAGTAGGGCGCTTCTTTAATATCTAATCATTTTGTGAACTGTTAAGGTCTTAAGTGTCTGTGGTTTGGATATGTCTCCTACCATCTGCCCTTGGCCTTCCTGGTGGTTGGCCTGGGAACCCCGGGGTGGAGACAGGGCTTCTGTTTGGAGAGCAGCAGAGCAAAGTTGAACATCAAAAGCCATGGGCCTGGATTCTAATTTGGAAACCTCCTTTTTCTATCTTCGTGGTCTAGGCCAACTCAGTCCTCTGTTCCACTGGGGCATGATGAGGTTGGCTTTCTTTTTTCTTTTTCTTTGAGACCGAGTCTTGCTGTTTCACCCAGGCTGGAGTGCAGTGGCATGATCAACCTCTGCCTCCCGGTTTCAAGTGATTCTCCCACCTCAGCCTCCAAAGTAGCTGGGATTACAGGTATGCACCACCATGCCCAGCTAATTTTTGTATTTTTAGTACAGATACGGTTTCGCCATGTTGGCCAGGCTGGTCTCGAACTCCTGACCTCAGGTGATCCACCCTCCTCGGCCTCCCAAAGTGCTGGGATTACAGACGTGAGCAACTACACCTGGCTGGCCGTCTTTACTTCAAAGCAGTGGAGTCACAGAGCCTTATACATGAATGGAAAGTATTGCCAAAAGGCTCCGTGGTCCTTTTGGGTCTCCTTTGGAAAAGAAGCTGGGACATTTGCTTTGCCCTGCCCCCTTCCTATGACAGTCCGTCCCCCCTCTATGTGCTGCCGTCCAAGGAACCACACTTCTTTGGAACAAAGGGAGCTGGGCAGGATCATCTCTGTCCCCTCCAGCTTTTGAGCCCCTCCTTGAAATCTGCATTTAAAGCATTCAGAAGATGCTGAGCATGATGGCTCACTCCTGTAATCCCAGCACTTTGGGAGGCCGAGGTGGGAGGATGGCTTGAACCCAGGAGTTCAAGAAGAGCCTGGGCAAGATAGGGAGACACCGTCTCTACAAAAAAAAAAAAAAAAAAAAAAAAAAGCAAAATGCAAAAATTAGCTGGGCATGGTGGTATGTGCCAGTAGTCGCAGCTACTTGGGAGACTGAGGCGGGAGAATTGCTTGAGTGCAGGAGTTCAAGGCTGCAGTGGGCCATGATTGCGCAATTGTACTCCAGCCTGGATGAGAGAGCAAGACCCTGTCTCTAAAAAATGGAAAAAAAAAAAATCATTGAGAAGAGAGAACCCAGAGGTTGAGATGTGCTGGTCCCTGGGAGAACTCAGGGGAGATCCCAGTTCTCTGGAGGCCAGCCGTCCAAAAGCATTTCTCACCCATTTTCCTGCATTTCATGGACACACAATTTGGATGCCTAGGGGTTTTTCATAAGCCATGATTATGTTTTTTTGGCGAGAGACCCCTGTTATCCCTCCTACCCCCCTTGCTAGATGGCTTAATTTCGTTTGCTCTCACCATTTGATTTGATTTGATGGCATACAGCATGAGGTTCCCAAATCATTTCTGCCTGTTAAGCAAACATATATTTCTGGGATTGATGTTTTAATTTAATGAAATACATTCTAATGAGGGTCAGCTGCAGCCATGAATTTTTTTATGAGTGATTTGCCAAAAAACCCATTGCCTGGTGACATTCTGTGCTTGGCTGAGCGAGTCTGAGAGAGAGTCCTGGTTCCAGCTCACGGGTTGAGGAAGAGACACAGGGCAAGATTCTGCCGGTCGTGGCATGCCTGGATTTCCATGCTAGGTGCTATGTCGGTTTCTCTGCTTCTGTGCTGGTGGCTCATCAGATGCCTTCTTCCCTGGATATGCATAGGAGTAATTCAGCCCGATAGAGGAGGAGACAGTGGCCTGAGAGGACCCCAGTTTGGTGTTTGATCCAGGGCTCATCTTCAGGATACAGCAAGGCAGATAATGAGGAGGGACTTGCTTGGTGTGTGTGTGTGTCTGTGATGTACACGTGTGTGTTGGAGGCCAGGGTGGGAAGGGGCCCACACACAGCCCAGCTGTCTCTAAACAGCCCCTGATGTCCCAGCCAAGCAGGAGTACAGGATGGCTGGACTCTGCTAAAAGCTCCTAACTCAACCCAGCAAACGTTAAGTCTATGCTAGTGGCCATCCCTGGTTCCATCTGGGACCTGTGAGAAGTCATGGAATCAACCGTCCACCTCCACTCAGCTCAGGTGACCTGGGGCCAACACAGCTGGTGTCCTGTCTAGAAGCCATTGCCCTTGAATTTGTTTCCTGTAGCCCTTGTAACAAATTGCCACAAACTTAAGGCCTTCAAACAACAGAAATGTATCCTCCCAATTAAGGAGGCCAGATGTCCAAAATCAATACCACGGGGCTGAAATCAAGGTGTCAGCAGGGCTGCACTCCCTCCAGAGGCTCTAGAAGAGAATCTCTTCCTTGTCTCTTGCAGGTTCCCGTGGCTCCCAACATTCCTTGGCTTGTGGCGGCATCACTCTATAATAGGGCCAGCATCTTCCAATCTTTCTATGCTTTGTCTTCACCTCAACTCTTTTCTCCTGCATGTGTCTATTGAACTTCCCCTGCCTCCTTATAAAAACTTGTGGTTGCATTTTGGGCCCCTTTGGATAATCCAGGCTAATGTCCCCATCTCAGGAGCCCTAACTTGATCACATTTGCAGAGACCCTGTTTCCAAATAAATTACCATTCATGGGTTCCAGGGATCAGGACTTGCTATCTTTGGGTGGCAGTCGTTAGCCCTTTTTTTTTCCCTCCTCGGCAAAGTACTGATTTGATCCTACCTGGCCAATACTTATATTGCAGGCTGTTCAGTTCCCCTATGCCTGGATCATCCAGGGCTGGGGCTTGGTTCTGACCCGTGACGTGAAAGGCAATTCAACAGTGGCCGCCTGGGATATGCTTCCTTCACCGACAGAGCAGTATGCGGAAAGAGTCCTCCTGCCTTTTCCTCTTTGCCCCGGGTGCTGCATTGTGACAGCGTGATTCTTGGAGGAGATATAGCCATTTTATGATCATGGGTGGATGGCCAAGAGAATCGTGAAGGATGTGGCCCAGCGCTCAGATGGTGCTGCTGCTGCCTCTGCATCTTTCTGGCTCAGGCCACTGCGACTTGGGAGTTGCAGCCAGAAGGCTGTCAACGGACCCAGGATTCCCCTGGGAGGCTCCTTCTGCCTTAGCAGACTGGCCAGCATTGGCCTGAGTGGCTTTAGCGGGGACGGTGAGACCAAGATGGCCCCGTCTGGACCCAGACTCATGTTTTGGAGCGTTTCCTGGCTCTTTCGTCAGCCTCAGTCCATTTGGACAGCTGCCAGCTGCATGGTTTGGTGGTGGTTGTGAGCTTGGCTCTCTGATAGCCGATGAGTCTGAAGAGTAAGGCCAAAGCAAGGAAATCTACATATGGGAGGCACATTTAGGGACACTTGTGATCCATTTCTATTCTCACTGTGAAGAGGAATCTCCCAGCAGTCTCCAAACAGCCCCTGATGTCCCAGTTGAGCAAGGGTACAGGGTGGCTGGACTCTACTAAAGGTGCCTAACTCAACCCAGCAAACGTTAAGTCTATGCTACTGGCCAGCCCTAGTCCCATCTGAGACCTGTGAGAAGTCATGGAATGGACCCTCCGCCTCCACCTAGTTCGATGTCTGTGACAAGCTGTGCCCCAGGCAGGGCACATTCTCACTTGGGTCACCTCCGTGGCCGGAAGGGTAATAATGGAAAAAAGCCAAGAGCGGCAGCCTGTGTCTGTGGACTGAGCCAGAGGCCAGCTGGGCCTGTTTGCTTGGCTTGAGCTGCAGAGTGGATCTCAGGCATTGCCCAGCACAGGCCTTGGAGAAAACATGGTGCTGAGCATGTGTTAGGCAGAGGCTGCAAGGAAGAGCCAAGGAGAATAGGCCCAGTGAGTATAGGGGTGAGAGGATGGAGGGGTTTGGCCTGGAGAAGAGAAAGCAAAGGGTGTCTCTGGTATAATTATTGCTGCTTTTTCTCTGTGTGCCTCCCAACTCCCCATGAGACAGAATGTCAAATATCAGGTAACTGGTTAAAATTAAAGTGGAGTACTAGTATATCATTTCAGAATACTTTCAGCCTCAAGAAACAGAAAGCCAACTAATAGCAGATTGAATAGGGGTTTATTTTATATACAACCAAGAATTTGGGAAGGAGCTGCCATTGCATGGAGTGAGAAGCTAAAGGTCAAGGCCCCCCTCATGGGTGCAAAGAGGCTACCATAGCTCCAGGCATGCAGCCCACGTTCAAGAAACAGGGAGGGAAGTTGGTACCAGCATCAGGAGAACAACAGCTTTCTCTTCTTTTCCACGCACACCCCCTCCCCTGCCACCAGCCGACTTTCCCTGTGTTCCTTTGGTCAGAACTCTGTCACTTGGCCACCCTTAGCTGCAGAGGAGGCCGGCATGGTGAGTGGTTGGGGACTGTGGATGAGGACTGGTTAGATAGCCAGTAGTGTTGGCACAGTGCCGCTTAAGGAGCCTTGGTGTCTGGGCACCTATAGGAAGAGAGCAGACAACCATCTTCATTAGGAGCCATGGACCCTGCCCGGGAGGTTAGGAGGGCATCCAGACCCATCCCTGGGTGTGTTTTTGGTTTTTCAGATCCCCTTCGTGAGCATGCTGGGGAGTCCGCCTTGGTTTTCCAAAGATAGAGCACATGAGACAGTGGTTTTCAAAGTGTGTGCCCCAAACCAACGTCGTCAAGATCACCTGGGAATGTGTTAGAGTTGTAAAGTCTTGGGCCCCACCGCAGACTCATTGAATCAGAAACTGTAGCGTGAGGACCAGCTCTCTGTGTCTGAACAAGCCCTCTGGGTAATACTGATGCAGGAACAAATTTGAGAACCTTAGACTTAGGATTTCTGAAATATGACTATCTCTGGGGAGGGAAGGGAAAGAAAAGGAATAGTAAGAAATTCATTCACATTTGTAAATTATTCCTCTTTTTCTTAAGGTGATCTAAGCTTTAAATTCACTTTCCCCATTAGTAATAATCAGTGAAATTCATGAGGGAATTTCATCTGTCCATGGTTCATGTTGGACTGAAGGATATTTTTGCTGTTTTTTTTTTTTTTCCAGTAGACCCTGGGATGGTTGACCTTAGACTTGAATCTTTTGGGAGCTTGTTTACAATGCAGATTTCTGAGCTGGTATCTGGGTTTTCCCCCAGATATTTGGATTTAGTAGATATAGGATGGGCTCAGGAATCTGCAACATGGCAGGCGATTTGGATACAGGTAATCTGCAAACTGCACCTGGAGAAGTGCAAGTCCAGAGCTTGCTATGGAAGAGAGGGTGGATGGAAAGATGGGTGTTTTAGTCGGCTTGGGCTGCTGTAATGAAATACCATAGACTGAGTGGCTTAAACGACAGACATCTTTTTCCCCCATGATTCTGAAGGCTGAAAAGACAAAGATCAGGGTGCCAGCATGGTCAGATACTGGTGAGGGCTCTCTTCCTGGTTTGCAGTTGGTTACCTTCTCATTGTGTCCTCACATGACAGATAGAGCAAGGAGAGAAGAAAGGAGAGAGAAAAGAGAAGAGGGGAGTGGGGGAGGGAGAGAGAGAGGGAGGGAGAGGGAGAGAGAGAGAGAGGGAGAGGGAGAGAGAGAGCGCTTTCTAGTCTCTTCTTTCTCTTCTTATAAGGGCACTAATCCCATTATGAGGGCCCCACCCTCATGACACCATCTAAACCTAATTACCTCCCAAAGGCCCCACCTTCAAATACCATGACATTGCAGGGATATAGGTTCAGCATGAAATTTAGGGGAGGCACAGGCATTAAGTCCATAACATTGGGGAAGTAGGTTCTCAGTGGCTCCTCTCCCTTGGGTTATATGAGGGTCTTTAGTAGCTTCAGAATTCCCTGAGTTGTATTCAGAGTCACCATTTGCTTTGGAGAATTCTAGGATTGCTACATAGACCAGCGAACATGGGGAGATTCAGGGAGTGTGAGCAAATATTGAGAAAGAGAGTTTGGGATGTAAGGTCATGAGTCATAAAGTGTGTGGATGCGCAGTCCTTCTCTCTGAGGGGATCTGCCAAATCCCTGAGGCCTACACATTTCTGTCCTTAGATTTCTTGTTCTTTCTTTCTGTAATTACTGCCCACCACTGCCCCCACCCCACCATCTCATTTGTGCAGGGGTGAAAGATTGAACACCTTTTGGGAGCCTTGGTGGTCAGGGTCAGTGGGGGTGGTGCAGCCTTGCAGAACATGCTCTACTGCCACTGACCATTCCAGGGTTACTTGTATTTTAGCCAAAGCAGTGGGGAGTAGGGGGGAGTCACAGATATAGGGCATAGGAAAGCAGGAGTTAGGGACTAGGGGGGATTTAATAAGTGATTGGAAGTGATGCAGGGCAGGTGAGCCCTAAAATTGGGGCTTAACCTGGGAAGGTTTTTGGCTTTGCTCAGGAAAGAATTCAAGAGTGAGCCAGTAGTAGAAGAAACCAGCTTTATGGAGGCATTAGTGTTACAGCTCTGTGACTGCTCCTGCAGAGCAGGGCTGCCCCATAGGCAGTGTGTGGAGTGCAGCCGCTCAGGGTCCGTGCTGCAGTTCTATTTATACCCACTTTTAATTACACGCAAATTAAGGGGTGGGTTATGCAGAAATTTCTAGATGAGGGGTGGTAACTTCTGGGTGTGGCCATGGCAGTGGTGGGCTGTCATGGTGCTGATGGGTGTATGTTATGGAGAGGTGCTTTTGGTGCCTCTTCCGTAATTTAGCCAGTTACCAATCTCGTCCAAAGTCCAGTCCCATCTCCTATCTCAGAAGTAGCATACATTTCCACAGTGAGTTCCAAGTTCACACATATTGTCTCCTTTAATCCTCTCAACAACCCTGTGAAGTAGGTTCTACTCCCTGCATTACAGAGGGGGAAACTGAGGTCCAGAGAGCTGAAGAAGGGCTTCTTCACCAACCCGGAAGAAAGCCATTTGAAATATTCCCGTGTTCGGCTGCTAACCCTGGTGGCTCTCTGCCCCACACTCCTGTTCCTCCATCTTTCTCACACCTTCCTTTCCAAGTGTGGAGTCTATGAGTTATTGAGCTGACAAGCCTGGGGCAGTGTCAGGGGTAAGAGCCAATCCCTACCTTGTGGCTTTTGTCCCATGTTCACAGGACTAGGGTGAGGTGTTGGAGGGAGAGAGGATGGCGAGGGAGCTGGGCAGTCCCTGGATGAGCGCATCCTCCATCAGCATCGTGTCTTCTGTTCTGAAGGCTCCCAAGACAGTACCTCTGTGAGGGACTCATATCAGCTGAAAGTTACCTTCAACAGAAGTAGACCTTAGAAGGCCAATGAATTAAATTGCAAAGAGAGATAGAACTGCTCCAGAGCCTAGCATATTCTCATTGGCATGATCTGTGCAAGAGTTCCCTGTTGGCCATATGGGAAGCCAGGATGATCAGAAGGTTGCTCTGGGAGCCTATATTCAGGACAAGGGGAGCCGGATGAATCCAGCCTGTGATGGCAAGAGTCTGGGATGGTGGGTGCATCTCTACTGCCTGATGGTAGGGGTGGCCTTGCCTTTGGGGCTCTCATTCTCTGGTTCTGTGCTGACCCACAGCCCTTGGGAGCACACATGTATTAGTCCATTCTCACATTGCTGTAAAGAACTACCTGGGACTGGGTAATTCATAAAGAAAACAGGTTTCATTGACTCACAGTTCCACAGGTTGTACAGGAAGCATGACTTGGGAGGCCTCAGGAAAATCATGGTGGAAGGCAAAGGGGAAGCAGGCACGTCTCACATGGCCAGAGAAGGAGAAAGTGGTCAAAGAGGGAGGTGCCACACACTTTTAAACAATCAGATCTCATGAGAACTCACTATCATGAGAACAGCAAGGGGGAAATCTGCCCCCGTGATCCAGTCACCTCCCACCAGGTCCCTCTTTCAATACTGGAGATTACAACTTGACGTGAGATTTGGGTGGGACACACATCCAAACCCAAACCATATCAACACACTTCTTGCTTTGGGTGGTTTAGCACAACCAACCAGGCTACAATCGGAGAGCTATCCTGTCACTTTTAGGTAGTTTGCATGATCAGTTTCTGAGCTATCTGTAAGGACATTGCATTTAATTTTATAAGTTTATTTATTTATTTGAGTCAGAGTCTCACTCTGTCGCCCAGGCTGGAGTGCAGTGGCGCAATCTCGGCTCACTGCTACCTCTGCCTCCCAGGTTCAAGCTATTCTTGTGGCTCAGCCTCCCAAGTAGCTAGATTACAGGCATCTGCCACCACACCCAGCTAATTTTTTGTATTTTTAGTAGAGAGACAGGGTTTCACTGTGTTGCCCAGGCTGGTCTTGAACTGCTGAGCTCAGGTGATCAGCCCACTTCGGCCTCCCAAAGTGTTAAGATTAGAGATGTGAGCCACCGCTCCCGACCCATTGCATTTAACCTTGAAGTACAAACCAAGGAGGAGGGAAGGGGTAGGGTGAATGGAGGGAAACTAAACTGCACCCACTACAAACTGAGCTGCCTGTCCTGGAACAGAGCTTGCTTTCATCCGTGGTCATAATGAACCATGTTGACATGGAACTTTCTAGCAAGATAAACCACAGTGCTGAACCAGATGCGTTATTTCCACTGTTCAAGCAGGTTTCCATATTAGGGATGCTGACTCCTGAATTTGGGGACTGGAGATTTGTTCTGTGTTGCCAGGTGGCCTGGGTGTCTAAGTGCCTTTTTGTACCTTGTCTCCTCCTGCATAGTGACTGTTGGGTCTCCTGCCTATGCAGAGGACGCTGGAGGTTTGATTTTGATCTTAAGGATAAAAAGTTCGGTCTGTTCAGCGGGGCGCGGTGGCTCATGCCTGTAATCCTAGCACTTTGGGAGGCTGAGGCGGGCAGATTGCCTGAGCTCAGGAGTTTGAGACCAGCCTGGGCAACACAGTGAAACTCTGTCTCTACTAAAATACAAAAAATCAGCTGGGTGTGGCATCGTGCGCCTGTAGTCCCAGCTACTCGGGAGGCTGAGGCAGGAGAATCACTTGAACCCGGGAGGCAGAGGTTGCAGTGAGCCAAGATTGCGCCATTGCACTCCAGCCTGGGTGACAGAGCAACACTCCATCTCGGAAAAAAAAAAAAAAAATTTGGTCTGTTCGTTTTAGGTGTTGCCCGTGGTTGAGAATCAGACCCTCTGCCCAGGGTTTGTGACTTTATTGCACAGAAGGCTGCATCACCCGCAACCGTCATCTTAATACTGCCACCGAATTTCATTTTGCTGTTTTTGTTTGCGAAGGACCTGGAGTGACTCGGATAGAATTACTGCTGGAATAAATGACGTATGAAATGAGAAATCTTTGTCCAGTGTTGCAAGGGGGAGGGAGAGAAGAAAAGAAAGGCTTTGATGGAACCGCTGTTGTACAGAATTAGTTTCCATAAGACCAGAAAATACAGAAGAACAAAATAAAACGTCATCAGATATTTTTCTCCAGATTTACTGAAAAGTCAGGCTTTTATCAATCTCCCAGCACCGCATTCAGGCTCCCAGTGATGGAAAGTAATGGGTCTTGCACCAAACGAAAGCAAACTTCTATTTAGTCTAGCCTGTGGCCTGGGTTCCCCCAGCTCCAGCACCGGGAAGCATGAGGAAGGGGGTGCCCTTCTCCTCAAGCTCCACTCCTTCTTCATGGGGACAAGCTCCACTCCTTCTTCCTTCCATCTGGTTCCCAGTGTCCTTGGATTTGCATCTCCTGTGCCATTTAAAAGTCTGCTCTTGGTCAGGCACAGTGGCTTACGCCTTTAATCCCAGCACTTTGGCATGCTGAGGCGGGTGGATCACCTGAGGTCAGGAGTTCGAGACCAGGCTAACCAACATGGTAGAAACCCTGTCTCTGTTAAAAACACAAAAATTAGCCGGGCGTGGTGGCAGGCACCTGTAATCCCAGCTACTTGGGAGGCTAAAGCAGGAGAATTGCTTGAACCCAGGAGGTGGAGGTTGCAGTGAGCTGAGATCGCGCCACTGCACTTCAGCCTGGGTAGACAGAGTGAGACTCTGTCTCAAAAAAATTAAATAAAAAAAAAAATAAAAATCTACTCTCTTAGGAAAAGAGCTGACAAACTCACTTACACTGAGGTGTAAGGGGCGGCTGAGGGCTTCATTGCTACCCTATCTCAGGGTATTTTAATTTTCAATGGTGTAAAACTGAGCTCCAAAGACCAAACTGAAACTTGCTGCACCAGAAAGCAAACTGCTTTGTCAAGGCCACTGGCTGTAGGTTTCAGCAATACCATTGTCCTCACAGCCTCACTGTTGGACGGGCCTAGTCTCCTGCTTAGGGCGTTTTTCTCCAGGGCTCTGCAAACTACACATCCTGGGTGCCTGCATAATTGGCTGCCTATAGGGGTGCCTTGTTATCTTTTTCTATAAGATGGGGAATACATTGCTTTGCCTTAGACTTGCTGTCATCTGTCCCACCTGGGAGGGACGGGCTGGTGTTCCCTCTGCTGCCAAACACTCCTGGATCGCAGGATGCAACCTCCAGGCTGTGTGCTGATGCAACCGAACAATAGCAACAAGAACCAGAAACATGGAATCCAGGCCAGCCCTCGGCGGGGGCACCTGCCCTTGACCTCCCTCGCAGCACTTCTGCGGGGTGTTTACAAAAACTGCACCTGCTCTAATAGCTGATGGTCGTGCTGGGAGAAAATAATAATCTAAGCCATTAGAGAGAGAGAAGAAAAGAAAGCCAGGACGGGGAAGGGAATGATCCATCCTCTGCTCTATTTTTGTCTGTGCTCCACGCTCACTGAGTGTCCTTGAGGGAGATGCCTAAGTTCTTTGTCTTGGTTTGTTACTGCCCTGGCAAAATCTCATGCATCGCCTGCCAGAACACCCAGGGAATCTCGTGGCTCCCTGACAATGCACAAACACGCTGCCACATTCTTTTTTGGGGGTCCAGAGAGTGGGAGGTAGGGTCAAAAACCACGGGAGTGGAACTGAAATACCCCCATTCATCCAATCATAGGCAGATCGCCTCCTTCTTTAAATTGCCTTTGAAAAATAGCTTTATTGTCTCCGTATGTAATGCAAGTAGGCATTCCCCCGGCAAGTTCGGGGGAGTAGCTGACATTTGTTGACTGTTTACTGTAGGTGTGAACTTTATATGCACCATTTCACTTGATCCCCATTTTCAAGATGAGAGAATTGGGGCTCAGAGGGGTGTAGTCATTTGCCTGGGACGGAACAGGAAGATGTCTGGAATAAGGGCCAGCCCTGGGTAGATGTGGTGGCTCATGCTTGTAATCCCAGCGCTTTGGGAGGCCAAGGCAGATCGCTTGAGGCCAGGAGTCTGAGACCAACTTGGCCAACATAGTAAGATCCCATCTCTGAAAAAAAAAAAAAAAAAAAAAGAAAAAACAGGGCATAATTGTGTACGCCTGTAGTCCCAGCTACTCAGGAGGCTGACATGGGAGGACTGCTTGAGCCCAGGAGCTTGAGGCTACTGCGAGTTATAATCAGGCTATGGCACTCCAGCATGGGTGACAGAGTGATACCCTTTCTCAAAAACCAAACAAACAAACAAGTAAACGGAAAATAGCCAGCCCCAGCACAGAGCTTAGCACACAGCCAGGGGCTTAATAAATAATTAGTGGCTAAATAAGAGTTTTGGAACTTTTTGGGGATGTTTTCCCATCACCCCACTGCCTCTTAATGCCTCAGTTTACTCACTTTTCAAATAGGAGTGTGGACTGGTGGACTAGATCTTTGTGTGTGATGGGGATGCGTTAGGGGGCACCCGTTTCTATCCTTGCTGAGTTTGAAATCACTTGAGAAATAAACACGGGAATCTGACCAATGGAGTGAAAAATATCCACTTTATTTATTGAGAGAAGCTGTGCTTAAGGGCGTGGCTTAGATCCATGGCCACAGTGAGTCTCCCACTAATCCACTCCACTATTTAATGTATTCAGCAAACAGAGCCAGAGCTGGGCAGCTCCCCTGTGGCACAGAGCACATTCCATAAGGCAGAGGGCAGAGCAGCCACACTCTCTCTCTGAGCAGGCAGAACTGTAGGAGAGAGCCCCAGAGGAACTGAGCCAAGAGCAGTTACTTTCTTTTGCAGTATTTCAGGCATGGAGGGGACTCTGGTTCCAGGGTGGGAGGCAGGGAAGGTGAGGGGTTGGGAAAGAGGTCTCTCCCAGAAGCCTTTCACATTTGCATCTAGCTGCATTCGGAATTTATTTATTTATTTAGAGAGACATGGTCTCACTCTGTCTCCCAGGCTGGAGTGCAGTGGTGTGACCATAACTCACTGCACCCTTCAACTTATGGGCTCAAGTGATCCTCCTGCCTCAGCCTCCCAAAGTGTTGGGGTTACAGGCATGAGCCATCACCCCACTGCACCTGGTCTGTGTTCAGTATTTATTATAAATGATGGGCTAAATATTGAAAGGTGGGGAAATGAAGGTCTCGCCAGCCCTGTGAATGACTGGGATTCTGTGTGTGTTCTGGCTTCCAAGTGGGATAATGAAATGGTGCCTCTCTCTGTGTGCGGTTAAACACCCATTCATACCACAAGGAGGTTGTAGTCAGCAGCCTGTCTGGTGGCCCCGTGGGGGTCTCCAGCATTTATACCCTTGTTAATCCTCTCCCCTGGAATGTGGGTGGGACCTATTGACTCATTCTAATAACTACAATGCAGCAGAGACCATGTGTGCCACTTCTGAAATTAGGTTATAATAAGACTGTGGCTTCTATCTTAGGGTGTGCCCTCTCTCCGTCTCTCATGTCACTCACCTGGGAGAACTCAGCTGCCACACCGTGAGGTCCCCTTGTAGATAAGCCACATGGCAAGGGCTTGAGGCCTGTCAGCAACCGTGTGAGTGAATCTGGAGGAGAATTCCCCCTTGTCCCCAGTCAAGCCTAGAGATGAGCCTGCAGCCCCAGCCGACAGTCCCATTGCAATCTAATGAGACACCTTGAGTCAGAGGCACCAAGCTATGCTATGCCCAAATTTCCCACCCATAGAAACTCTGGGATAGTAAATATTGTTTGGGCTGGGCACAGTGGCTCATGCCTATAATTCCAATGCTTTGGGAGGCTGAGGTGGGAGGATTACTTAGGGCCAGGAGTTCAAGACCAGCCTTGGCAACATGGTGAGACCCTGTCTGTACCCCCCCCCAAAAAAAAATAAATAAAAATTAGCTGGGCATGGTGGTACATGCCTGTAGTCCCAGCTACCTGGGGACTGAGGCAAAAGGATCACTTGAGCCCAGGAATTCAAGGCTGCAGTGAGCTATGATTGTGCTACTGCACCCCAGCCTAGACAACAGAGAGACACCCTGTCTTGAAAAAGAAATAAATAAATGAAATAAAAAAATACTGTGTTCATGACTCAGTTGGGGTAATTTGTTATGCAGCAAGAGAGATCTAATGTCAAAGCCCTTTCTCTTTTCTTCTGAGAGGTTCCTGCATGACAGCAGTATCTAGAAGGGCCAGTGATGCTTTAACCCCAAGGCTTCTGATTTCACGAAGCAGGGCTGGATCTCTGAAACGGCACAGCTGAGCAGAGCTTGGGATTGTTTTTCACTCCAGGCCCCAAAGTAGGGACACAGACAAGCTGGGACATGTGACGAGGCTCTGGAAAACAGGTTTAAAAATAACTTTACTAGCTCACACTCTGAAATTTAAGCCATCCATTTAGGAAATGCTGAGTGTGGCTAGAAAAATGAGTTTTACATTGTTATTCTTCAAGAATAAAGTGATAAGTGACTTCAGAGTAAGGGGAAGTGGTTGTTTGCAGAGCTTATTAAAAATAAGCTGTCATTTCTGTCCTATATTACATTTGAGTCACTGGGAGTTAAAACTCAGTTTTCTTACATTTGGGTGTTTTAAGAGACTTTGGACATATTGAAATAAAAGAATGCCTCACAGTTACACAGAAGTGACATTTCCCACGTTTTCCCTTAGAGGGTGGAACGTTAAAAGCTTGCCTAACTCTTTTGGATCCTTACCTAGTAGCTACTTCACAGCCTGGGGAGAAGACAGAAGTAGACAGAGATGCATGCCTGTCTCAGCCGAGACCGGAGAATTGTCAATTGTATTTAGATGAGATATAATCTCAGATATCAAATGTATTTTTTCGTTGTTTTTAATTTCAGTTTTTATTTTGGATTCAAGGGGTACATGTGCAGGTTTGTTACAACGGTTTATTGCATGATGCTGAGGTTTGGGCTTCAGGTGAACTCATCACCTAGGTAGCACAGTATCCAGTAGGTAGTTTTTCAACACTCACTTCCCTTCTTGTCTCCCTCTATTTGGAGTCCCCAGTGTCTGTTGTTCTCACCTGTTAAGTCCATAGGTACCCATTGTTTAGATCCCACTTATAAGTGAGAACATGCAGTATTTGGTTTTCTGTGTCTGCATTAATTCTCTTAAGATAATGGCCTCCAGCTGCATCCAGGTTGCCGCAAAGGCCATGGTTTTGTTCTTTTTTATGCCTGTCTAGTATTCCATGGCGTATACGTACCATATTTTCTTTTTTCTTTTTTTCCTTTTTTTTGAGATGGAGTCTCGCTGTCGCCCAGGCTGGAGTGCAGTGGTGCGATCTCGGCTCACTGCAGGCTCCGCCCCCCGGGTTCACGCCATTCTCCTGCCTCAGCCTCCCGAGTTGCTGGGACTACAGGCGCCCGCCACCTCGCCTGGCTAATTTTTTGTATTTTTAGTAGAGACGGAGTTTCACCGTGTTAGCCAGGATGGTCTCGATCTCCTGACCTCGTGATCCGCCTGCCTCTTCCTCCCAAAGTGCTGGGATTACAGGTGTGAGCCACTCGTACTACATTTTCTTTATCCAGTCCACTGTTGATGGGCACCTAGGTTGATTCCATGTCTTTGATATTGGGAATGGAAATGGCAGCATTTTGGGGATCAGATAGTTCTGTTGCTCTGGCTCTGAGCTTGCTGTGTTTATGATGATGTTCTCTGTAAGTTCTTTGAAAGTGGCTTGTTTTGCCATCATACTTGGAATATTCTAAAGTTAAAAATTTTCAAGGAGACGAATGCCCTTGGATTACTTGATACCTTTCTCACTCTTTCTCTCCTCCCTGGTTTGGCGGATCTGGTAAGGGCCCTGATGGTAGAGTTGTTTGGGTAAGTAAGCTCCCTGGGGATAAACATCAACTTCTGTTGTATCCTTCCCCCTTTGTGAAAAAGATTGCTGTTTGTCCACTTCACCCTCCCTAGAGATAGGCTTTTTAGCTGGACATGTGGCCACCCAGAGAAGAATGATACTTCCCAGCTTCTCTTGCATTGTGGTCGCCTGGAGGTGAGTAGATCCTTTCCTCTAAGGAGATATAAACCAAAGAACAGGGATGTGAACCAAAGTGCCACGTTCCATTTCCAATTTTGCTCTTAAAGGCAAGGAGCATGCTTTACTCTTCCCTTTCCTCTTAGTCTGTTTGTGTTGCCATAAAGGAATACCTGAGGCTGGGTGCAGTGTCTCATGCCTGTAATCCCAGCATTTTGAGAGGCTGAGGCAGGAGGATTGCTTGAAGCCAGGAGTTCCCAACCAGCTTGGACAACATAGGGAGACCTTGTCTGTACAAAAAATTTAAAAAATTAGCCAGGTATGGTGATGTGAACCTGTAGTCCCAGCAGCTTGGGAGGCTGAGGCAGGAGGATTGCTTGAGCCCAGGAGTTCTAGGCTGCAGTGAGCCATGATCACGCCCCTGCACCCCTGCCTAGGTGACAGGATGAGACCTTATCCCAAAAAAAAGAATACCCGAGGGTTGGTAATTTACAAAGCAAAGAGGCTTATTTGGCTCATGGTTCTGCAGATTGTACAAGAAGCATGGTGCCAGCATCTGCTTGTGGTGAGGACCTCAGGAAACTTCCACTCATGGCTGAAGAGGAAGGGCAGCCTGCATGTCACATGTTGAGAGGGAGCAAGAGAGAGAGAGAAGGTGGTGCCAGACCCTTTTAAACAACCAGCTTTCTTGTGAACTAGTGGAGCAAGAACTTGCTCAATTCAATGAGGAGGGCACCAAGCCATTCATGAGGGATCTGTCTCCAAAACCCAAACACCTTCCACTTGGCCCACCTCTGCCATTAGGGATCACATTTCTTTTTTTTTTTTTTTCTTTTTCTTTTTCTTTTTTTTTTTTTTTGAGACAGAGTCTCACTCTGTCGCCCAGGCTGGAGTGCAGTGGCGCCATCTCAGCTCACTGCAAACTCCGCCTCCTGGGTTCACGCATTCTCCTGCTTCAGCCTCCCGAGTAGCTGGGACTACAGGCGCCTACCACCACGCCCGGCTAATTTTTTGTATTTTTAGTAGAGACAGGGTTTCACCATGTTAGCCAGGATGGTCTCGATCTCCTGACCTCGTGATCCGCCCTCCTCAGCCTCCCAAAGTGCTGGGATTACAGGTGTGAGCCACCGCGCCTGGTCAGGGATCACATTTCAACATGGAGATTTGGAGGGGATGAACGTCCAAACTGATTCACCTCCTATCTGCCACAGGCTGGAATGCAGATGTAGTTTTGAGTCAACTTGGACTACAAGGAAGAGGGCAACATTTAGGGATAGTGGGGAGGAACTTACAGCCTGGGCCCCTGAGGACTTTGCTGTGCAAGACTGCCATCTTCCCTGGTAAAGCTGGTGTCATTTTAGGTCTCTGTCACAAACAGCAGAACTGATATGCTAACTCACATCCTTTTATGTCTCCCAGGGTGCCCATTACTGGGCCTACTATAGAAGACACTCAATGTTCATTGCAGGTGTACTTTACCTTTCTGTGGTTTACAGCTAGTTAGGCCATTAGAATCTTAGAGTTGGGAAGAATATTCTAGATAACCTATCTGGTCCACTGATATGATTTGGCTCTGTGTCCCCACCCAAATCTCATCTTGAATTGTAATCTCCCTAATCCCTACATGTTGAGGGAGGGTCCAGGTGGGAGGTGATTGGATCCTGGGGGTGGTTTCCTCAAGGCTGTTCTTGTGATAGTGAGTGATTTCTCACGAGATCTGATGGTTTTACAAGGCAGTTTTCTCTGATCTTTCTTGTCCTCTCTTGCTGCCACCATGTGAGACGTGCTTCTTCCCCATCTGTCATGATTGTAAGTTTCCTGAGGCCTCCCCAGCCATGTGGAGCTGTGAGTCAATTAAATCTCTTTTCTCTATAAATTACCTCTTTTCTTTATAATTAAACCTCTTTTCTTTATAAATTACCCAGTCTCAGATATGTCTTTATGGCAGTGCGAAAATAGACTAATACATCTACTCTTCAATGATTTCAGTGTCTGCTCATCATTCTTGTCTAATATAATTCCGGCTTGCTTTATGATGTATAACATGTTGGGCGACCTTAATTCTACTAAAGGTTTCTTTTCCACAAGCAGAAATATGCAATCCTTCAACTTCCTTTGCTATTGTTTCTCTTTTCTTTTCTTGTCTTTTCTTTTCTTATTGAGATGGGGTCTTGCTAAGTTGCCCAGGCTGGACTCAAACTCCTGAGTTCAAGTGACCCCCCCATCTTGGCCTCCAGAGTAGCTGGGACTACAGGTGGGTGCTGCTGCATCCAGCCCTTTAACTTCCTTCGATCTTGTTCTTATTTTCCTTTTTGAGACCTCATAAAACAGCACATTTGGGGGCAGATAGTATGAGGAATGAGAAAAAACAACGGCCAAACTTGTGCAAAAATGAAAAATGTCTGTTCATAAAAGGACTGAAACAAGTCTATTGAATTTGGCCATGATGAGGTCATGATGTCGTTGGCAGGATCAAGAGTTTGTGGAAGCCAGATTGAAGTGGGGTGGGGTGTGAAATGAGAAAATGGGAAAATGGAACCGATGTGGATGACTATGCCAAGAAATTGGATTGAGAACTGGGGAAAGGGAGATGGAGGTGCAGGGTTAGAGGTGGCGTTTTCTGTGCCTGTGTTTAGGAAGGGAGTGACTAGAGCAGTTTAGCAGTTAAGAAGAGAGTGTGGATACAGAACTGCTCCAGCATCCGCCTGCTGCTACTGCATGCCCAGCTCTGCTCCGTCCAGATCCTGCCTGGCTGCACAGGCACCTCCTGAACTCTTCTAGTTCAATGCATCCTTCTTGGCTCCCACTTGCTCATTCTCTCTGGGTCTGCTGTCATCAGGGAGAATGCTTGCCAAGGTCATTAAGGGTTGATTGACACTAAGACATTTCAGTAATTCCTGGCATTTGGAGTTCTGACACCTAACACTGTAGCGTTTGGTTTCACGGCTCTTTTATTTTCTGGGAGCATTCCAGTAAGAGAGAAGAGAGCCTGATGGTCAGGAGCTGAGTCTTTGGAGACACACAGATCTGAGTTTGAACCTCAACTCTGCCCTTTATTAGTTGTGTGACCTTGAGCAAGTCATCCCACTCCTTTATCCCCATCTGTAAATAAAATGAGATAATAAAAATGCCAACCCCTTAGGCTTATGGTGAGGAATGAAGAGAGATTACGTGACAACTTTGTGGAAATGAAGATTTTAGAATGAAGGCAGAGACTGGGATCCCTCCCATTCCCAATACTTGGATTAAAAGTTGCCCAGGTGCGGTGGCTCATGCTTGCAACACTGAGGTGGAAGGATCATTTAAGGCCAGGAACTGGAGACCAGCCTGGGCAACATAGTGAGACCTTATCTCTACAAAAAAATTTAAAAATTAACTGGGCATGGTGGTGCACACCTGTAGTTCTAGTTGCTTGGGAGGCCAAGACGGGAGGATCACTTGAGCCCAGGGGTTCAAGGCTGCATTGAGCTATCATGGCACCACTGCACTCCAGCCTGGGATACAGAGCGAGACCCTATCTCCAGAAAAAAAAAAATCAACCAAAAAAAACCTCTGTCTTTTGGGAAGGACCCCTAGGAAGAAATGGATGTTTCTCAGGAAAAGCAATTAATCGATGTCACCTAGCCCCACTCTAGGACCTTCCAAATGCCTCTTGGTATCTGTGTTCTTTTCTTGGCTCCTGGATAATAAGTGGTTGAAATAATTACGTTCTAAGTCTTTGGCACCCATCTGCCCTCGTCCTCCATCCACTCGCTTGGTGGAGCCTTTGTCATTGTCGACAATAATATGACTGAAGTCTGTGGGCTTTTCTAACCCCACACATGATCTATACCAAGTGGGAAGATTCTGTGGGGGCCGTGCTAAGAGAGTGTGCTAAAAAGAGAGACTATTTTAAAAAACCATCCTAATTTTGTGAGGCAGAATGTTGTTGCCATTTTTACTTTGTGCTGCCTGTCATCCACGGGTGTAAAGAAGGGCACAGGTATGGAGTAGTCTATGCTCATGGTGACATTCCAGGCACATTTGTTGTCCTTGGGATGTTTGGAAAAGGGGGAGGCAGGTGGAAAATTTGGCCATGTCTGGCCAAATCTAGGTGAAAAAATAATGCTTTGCTGTGAAAGAGTGGAGACTTGGGAGCAATCTCTGGGCGTATGTGCAACCTCTAGTTCTGGGTCTCTGAAGGTTAACGCCCTGTGGACACTGGGGACTGAACTGGTTTAGATTTTTCTGTCTCTTTAATGGGCAAAGGCTAGAGATAATGAAGGTGAGTTCTGTGTGTAAATTAGTATTTCAAATTAGCTTCTGGAGGTGGAAAATTCTTTTAAAGAGGAGCACAGAGATCACTCAGTAAAAACAGGAGAAATCAATAGGGGAAGACTGGTGTGAATTGGGAAAGGTCTGCAGAGAGCAAGAGAGCAGGTTTTTTTTTTTTTTTTGCAAAGGTATCTTTGCACTCCTACCCTGTATAAGTGAGATTTTGCCTGGACCCCATAGCTGGTGGCCTTGTAAAATCAGAATCACACCTTTGGAAAGCCATTTGGAAGTACATACTCCGAGCCATAAAAATATTTCATACCTCTGAACTAGTAATCTTCCTTCTGGGAATTTATGCTAGGGAAATCAATCATAAAGGGGGAAAAGTGCCACATGCATGAAAATGCTGATGGCCTCATAGCTTTTTTCGTTGTTTTTTTTTTTTTTTTTTTTTTTTGAGACAGAGGCTTGCTCTGTCACTTAGGCTGGAGTGCAATGGCGCGATCTCTGCTCACTGCAACCTCCACCTCCTGGACTCAAGCAGTTCTCCTGCATCAGCCTCCTAAGTAGCTGGGATTACAGGCACCCACCCACCACTCCTGGCTAATTTTTGTATTCTTAGTAGAGATGGGATTTCACCATGTTGGCCAGGCTGGTTTCAAACTCCTGACCTCAAATGATCTGCCTGCCTTGGTCTTCCAAAATGCTGGGATTACAGGTGTGAGCCACCACGCCTGGCCCCTCATTGCTTTTAATATTAAGAATTTGGAAGCCACCTAAAAGACTAATAGGAATGGAATGGTCATTTAAATTATGGTATATTTAATCAATAGACTGCTATACATTCATTAAGATTATACTTATGAGGCCAGGCGTGGTGGCTCACGCCTCTAATCCCAGCACTTTGGGAGGCCGAGGAGGGCGGATCACGAGGTCAGGAGATCGAGACCATCCTGGCTAACACGGTGAAACCCCATCTCTACTAAAAATACAAAAAATTAGCCGGGCATGTGGCGGGCGCCTGTAGTCCCAGCTACTTGGGAGGCTGAGGCAGGAGAATGGGGTGAACTCAGGAGGCAGAGCTTGCAGTGAGCTGAGAACGCGCCACTGCATTCCAGCCTGGGCGACAGAGCGAGACTCCGTCTCAAAAAAAAAAAGAGATTATAATTATGAATACCCTTTAGAAGCTTGCATCTGTCTGAAATAAGTACTTTTTATGATATAAGCATAATGTAAATACTTGTCTGTACAATTGACTTTTTGGGGGGAGGGGGGAGGGGCAAGGTTTTGCCATGTTGCCCAGGCTGGTCTTGAACTCCTGGGCTCAAGTGATCTACTTGCCTCAGCCTCCCAAAGTGCTAGGATTAGAGGCATGAGCCACCACGCCCAGCCTATTACTGCTTTTCCTCTGCTGGGTTTGTGTTTGGTTTGTTCTTATTTCTCTAGTTCCTTGAAGTGTGAGCTTAGATTGTGTATTTGTGCTCTTTCAGACTTTTTTAAATGTTTATGTTTTTATTTGTGTTAGTATTTATCTTGAAGAAGAGTGAAAACATAATTAAAGAAGTACTGGAGAATGTTTTAAAATAGTACCATCATAGACAAAAATACTAACCTCGTTATAGCTTTGGGGATAGATGGGGAAAACATGAGAAAAATTTTTTGATGGCTACAATTGTCTCTTGAACGATGCAGGGGTTAGAGGTGCTTACCTCCTTGGCAGTTGAAAGTCCACAAATAACTTCAGGCTCCTAGAAACTTCACTACTAATAGTCTACTTTTTTTTTCTTTTTTGAGATGGAGTCTTTTTCTGTCGCTCCCACTGACAGTGCAGTGGCGCAATCTCGGCTCACTGCAACCTCTGCCTCCTGGGTTCAAGCTATTTTCCTGCCTCAGCCTCCCGAGCAGCTGGGATTACAGGCATGCGCCATCGTGTCTGGGTGATTTTTGTATTTTTAGTAGAGATGGGGTTTTGCCACATTGGCCAGGTTGGTCTCGAACTCCTGACCTCAGGTGATCCACCCACCTCAGCCTCCCAAAGTGCTGCGATTACAGGCATGAGCCACTGCACCTGGCCAAAGAGTCTACTGTTGACCAGAAGTCTAACCAGTAACATAAAGTCCATCAACACATACTATGTATGTCATATGTATTGTATATCATATTCTTACAATAAAGGCGAGCTAGAGAAAAGAAAATGTTTTTAAGAAAATCGTAAGGAAGAAGAAAATCTATTTACTGTTCGTTAAGTGGAAGTGGATTGTCATAAAGTTTTCATCTTCATCGCCTTCACATTGAGTAGGCTGAGGAGGAGAAAGAAGAGAGGTTGGTGTATTAGTCTGTTCTCACACTGCTATAAAGGAAGACCCAAGACTGGGTAATTTATAAAGGAAAGAGGTTTAATTGACTCACAGCTCCGCATGTCTGGGGAGGCCTCAGGAAACTTACAATCATGGTGGAAGGTGAAGGAGAAGCAAGTATCTTCTTCACAAGGTGGCAGAAAAGACAGAGAGAGAGAGAGCACAGGAAACTACACTTATAAAACCATGAGATCTCGTGAGAACTCACTGTCGTGAGAACAGCATAGAGGAAACTCCCATGATCCAGTCGCTTTCCACTAGGTCCCCCCCTCAACACGTGGGTATTACAATTTGAGATGAGATTTGGGTGGGGACACAGAGCCAAACCGTATCAGTTGGTCTTGCCGTCTCAGGGGTGGTCAAGGCAGAAGAAAATCCATGTATAAGTGGACCCATGTAATTCAAACCTGTGTTATTAAGGGTCAACTGTACTGCGACTTATATATAAAATAAAGACAGAAACATACAGATAGGACCTGAAAGGAACATACAGAAAATGAGAACAGTTGATGTGTTCATGTGGTGAAAATAGGAATGATCATTTTCCTTGTTTTTTTTCAGATCACTTCATTACAATTGCAGTGTTCCTTTAAGTCAGATCCTAGCTTTGTCAATGAATGGCTTCAGCTTTGTCATCTGTGAAATGGGTGTAATAATAATAGTTTGTAATACTAGCAACTCATTTCCCCCCATGCTTCTTTGTTCTTAGCCTTTCTATACATCAGCTCATTCGGTCTTCCCCACCCACCTATAAGGTCGGTATCTACAGACAGGCAAGGGAACGTGGAGGACTTGTCATAGTCACTCAGAGCAAATCTGGGCTTCCAGATCCACCTACTTTTACCGTAAAGGTGACAGCCTTAACCACCTCTTTGTACCATCTTCTTGCCTCTTCTCTACTGAATCTTTCTAGATATGTTGTAAGAAATAGAGGTGATGTTATGCTCCCTTTGGGCCTGGCATTTAGGAGAAATTCAGTCAACAGTAGCTGGTAATCACCATTGTCATTATAATGTTTGTATAATAAAGCAATAAGAAGAAAATAACAAAAAGTAGAGTCAGTATCTTGAAGTTCATGTATATGGTGAGCAAAACTCACAGCCAATATTTTCAGGCACATGCATTCTTAAGGTTCATCTTTACATAACAGCATCTGTTTCAGATTTCCTTTCTTACGTGGGTTAAATATACCTCCTGCAAGGATGTTTATAATGTCTTACCTCTTTTTAGCACTTTGTCCTTCTTTCAAAGCATATTCATATTTATTTTTTTCTCTCGTTAATTTTGGGAGACATGTCAGTGGTCCCCCCATTTTACAGATCTGTGATCTCTCACCTTTTTTGGATTGCATACCCCTATTGGTGAAAATTTTTGAGCACATACCTCCAATACCTGCATATATGTTTAATTATAAATTATATGTGTGGATTGCTGACAGATTGTATTTAAAAGCATGAGATGATGAAGATGAAATAAGCAATGCTTCAAATTTATTTTCCAATATGGTTTATTTAATAGCATAGGAAACCTTTTTTCCTCTCATTAAAATATCATTACTGGCTGTATTTTCCATGGCAGCCATCTTAGTAGATCTGTTTTTGTTATTTTCAAAATCATGATTTAATACTTTGTGATAGAGTAATTCACAGGTCTGGTTTTAATTCACTTATTTTTGGTTTCAATACTGGAAAAGATACCCCCCAAAAGAGATGTAGATCCAAGTAGAAGAAATTCATAGTTGGTGGTGCTTAATAAATTATGATACTCGCTTCGCGAAGCCATCCATGTATTATGCAAAAGTTTTTGTTGAAATTCAGCTAGTAAATTTCCATTTCTCATGATGCCAGTCAGTTGCTCTTGCAAACTAACTGAAAGGTGATGCATTTCAATATTTTTAACAAATGGGCCCAAAACCTGCTGAAACTCTTCATATGGAAGGCGTTTAAAAGCCTAGAAAATCTGTTTCCAAGTTTTTCAAGTGTGAACATATGAGTTTTTATAAATTAAATTATAGCATTTTCAGCCACAAATCATTAATCATAGAAACATTTCCAAACATCCATTTCAAAATGACTCTCTAGTAGTACAAGTATTCTTTTTTATTGGAAAGCATTAGTTTCTCATTCATCGTTTAAATGTCATCTTTACCTTGAGGTAACAAATTAAGTACGTTTATTTTTTCTGAAAATATTTATGGATGCCATAGGCTCTTGAGGGATATCTGTCATCCAAGAATAGGCCATTATATTTTGAACTTAAAAAATAATGTATAATTTATTATTAATTTACAGCCCTTCTTAAGTTTTTTGACACAAGATAACCAGCAAACTTCTGGGTATTTCCAGGGGATTTAGGTCACTGCCTATTTTACTAAAGGAGTTTTTTGACAGTATGGCTATATTTTAAATATCTGTGTTTTTACGATTGATATCCTGGAGGCTTTCGTGCCCTTTGCTGTAGTAACTTGCTAGGAATATAGAGTGAATGAAATTAGCTGTGCACCTGTCTCTGTAAGCTCGCCCCAAAACCCTTCTTTTATTTCAGTCAAAGCATCCATTCCATCAGGAGGCACCCTAGACGTTTTTCCCCTCGAACAAGGTTTTCACGTAAGAACTCATTTAGTTCAGAATATAAATTTACCGTAGTGACAAAAACTGCAATTACTTTTGCACCAACCCGATCATTGACTCACAAAAGTGGTATTTTGTATGTGTTGTAACAGAGACTGAATCTAGCAAGTATCACAGGCTGAAACGTGGGAAAAACCCTTTTCCCTGAGCACAGCAAACCTGCCTTCTGTGTGCGCCTTTCTTAAGTTTCTGTCTTCAAGTTGTCACCAGTGTTTTCAATACATTTTCCAAAAGTATTTGCTGACAAAGAAATGCATTTAGTTTATTGCCAGATTATGTTTTTGTGTAATAGTCCTGCTATCTTGGCTGTAGGTGAAAGCATAAGCATTTCCCCAACATGACTTCTTATTTATTTATTTTTTGTTATACTTTAAGTTCTAGGGTACATGTGCACAACGTGCAGGTTTGTACATATGTATACATTCGCCATGTTGGTGTGCTGCACCCATTAACTCATCATTTACGTTACGTATATCTCCTAATGCTATCCCTCCCCCCTCCCCCTTTTGCTATTGGGTGGAGAACTCTGAAAGAGAATCACAATGCTTATTGTTTAGTTTGGGGGAAATTTGGAAGGTCCTGGGATTGTGTCTAGTAGGGTGTTAAATATCATTGAAAATATTACAGATACTTGCCTTCTATTTCTGTATGGTTCATTTTAAAATGTCATTCAAAAGCATGATATATTCTTAAGGTAAGAATTAGTGTTACTGGCAGTGGGTCTGCATCCATATTTCAATACCTTTCTCCTTTTCTTTTGAGACAAGGTCCATGCTGTTGCCCAGGCTGGAGTGCAGTGGCACTATCATAATTCATTGCAGCCTTGAACTCCTGGGTTCAAGCAGTCTTCCCACCTGAGCTTCCCAAGTAGCTAGGACTATAGGTGTGCACCACTGCACCTAGCTAATTTAAAAATTTTTTTCGTAGAGATGGGGTCTCACTGTGTTGCCCAGGCTGGTCTCAAACTCCTGGCCTCAAGTGATCCTCTCTTCCCGGAGTGCTGAGATTACAGGCATGAGCCACCACAACTGACCTCGATATTCTTCTTGATAATTCCTTTTGGACCTATATCGGATTGTCAGTCTTTTAATCTCAGATAGTGGCTCCAGACAAGCTCCCAACAGGCAGAAAAGCGTCAGCTCTGCCCTGTGAGGTTGCAGCTTGTGTTTACCTTACGACTGTCACCCCCAGGGCACATGCTGTGTGCACAAATCTTTATGTCTCTTACCTGTTTTATGAGGACTTGTTTGGTTAAAGCTGAACCATAAGATCTGTACAGTCACTACCTGGGCATGTGTAAACTGCACATTCAGCCTCGGGCTGTGATCCAACCCTGGAAGAAGGTGCCCCTGCTGCCTCCTCCGGGACTCACTCAGGGAGCAAATTGTCCTTCCGACATGGGACATCACCCCCAAAAGAGGATGTCACCACCAGGGCATGTGTTTATTGTGGTTATACCCGATATCCTTTTTTTGTTTTCAGATCAATAAGCATTGCTATAACAGAAGTTTTATTATAGGCTTGCAACCTTTTATCTGCGATCCTGAAACTCAAAAAAAAAAAAAAAAAAGATGAGGCCGGGTGCAGTGGCTCATGCCTGTAATCCCAGCACTTTGTGAGGCTGAGGCAGGCGGATCACAAGGACAGGAGTTTGAGACCAGCCTGGCCAACATGATGAAACCCTGTCTCTACTAAAAATATAAAAATTACCTGGGCACGGTGGCACGTGCCTGTAGTCCCAGCTACTCGGGAGGCTGAGGCAGGAGAATCTCTTGAACATGAGAGGCGGAGGCTGCAGTGAGCCAAGATTGTACCACTGCACCCCACTGGGCTACAGAGTGAGAGTCTGTGTCAAAAAAAGGTGGTAAAACCTAACTGTAATGGGATATAAGGCTATTTATGACGTTTACTTGTCTCATTTAATGTGACTGTGCACACATTTCATTTCAGGAATATTGACATGTTAAGTTGGGATGCTGACCCAGACCCATTAGAGAGTGTTAGATCATACATATATGTGTGAAAGGAAAATACAACCTTGGAGCCCTCAACTTACTCTGCCAAAGGGGAAAGTCAAGCTGGGAACAGTCATGCAAACCGGCTTCCCATTTTGTTCCTAAATTCATAACTGCAAAGATAAAAGGCTGCATACCTCCCTCACGATTTATTCATGAGGAAATTCTTTGTGGGCTCCAATATCTTTTACCCTAAAGCAGTTCTATTGAGTTTCACCCTGACAATGTAAATTAACAGTTTATCTTCACAGGTATGGGACAAAGGACAGATTTGAAATCATCCCTCCACTCATCTGAGCCATATGCCTGTCTGACTGCATCCTCTATGTTTATTAAAAATGCTCTGTGTGCAAGACAACTTGAAATTGACTATTCTTCTGCCCTCTGCTTTCCCATGTAAAATGCAGATTCAGTGACCACTGATCAAAGCCTCAAATGAATGCAACCACGTACCTCTTTTATCTACTTCATTAGTTTGTTTTCATGCTGTTGATAAAGACATACCCAAGACTGGGTAACTTACAAAGAAAAAGAGGTTTAATGGACTCACAGTTCCCCGTGGCTGGGGAGGCCTTACAATCATGGCGGAAGGCAAAAGGCACATCTTACATGACAAGAGAGAATAAGAGCCAATTAGAAGGGGAAACCCCTTATAAAACCATCAGATCTCATGAGGCTTATTCACTACCATGAGAACAGTATGGGGGGAACTGCCCCCATGATTCGATGATCTCCCACGGGATCCCTCCTACAACACATGGGAATTATGGGAGCTAGAATTCACAATGAGATTTGGGTGGGGACACAGCCAAACCATATTACCTACTCTTCCTTTTTTTTTTTTTTTCCTTCGTCTCTTCCTTACTGCCTACTCTTTTCTCTTTAAATATAGACGTCCCCAAACTCTCTTTGGAAAAACCATGAATCACTGATATTTCCTGTGGTTTTGTGTTCCTTTTTCCTGAGCACATCCTAAACCTTGGCCAAATAAATCTCTAAAATAACTGAGACTCGAGTCAGTCATTTTCTTTGGCTTACATAGGTACAGGTAAGAATTTCTACAGCTCCCAAAGAACTCTGATTCTAAAAAATTTCTACAGCTCCCCAAATTCTGATTCTAAAACCCAGTGTGCCCAAGGTTTTGGATACAGGACCGTGACCCTTTCCACAGTACCATGAATTGTTCTGGCATTCCCCAGGGCGAGTTGTTGAGGGAAAGAGTCAAATTCTGTAAGATATTTGAAGAGATTTGTTCTGAGTCAAATGAGAGGACCATGACTCTTGACACAGTCCTGGGAGGTCCTGAGAACATGTGCCCCAGGAGGTCTGGTTACAACTTGGTTTTATATGTTTCAGGGAGACATAAGACATCAATCAGTGCATGGAAGGTGTGCATTGGCACTGTCCTGAAAGGCAGGACCACTCAAAGCTGAGGAGAGCTTCCAGGTCATAGGTAGATTCAAACATTTTCCAACTGACAATTGGTTGAAAGAGTTAAGTTATTATCTGGAGACCTAGAATCAATAGAAAGGAGCATTTGGGTTATGATAGATTCTTGTGGAGGTCAAGGTTTTTATCATGCAGATGAAGCCTCCAGGCAGCAGGCTTCAGAGCTCTTATTGGACATAAAAGGGTGCCAGACTCTTACTTAATTCTCTCCTGGATCAGGAAAAAGACCTGGGAAGGGAAGAGGATTCTCTACAGAATGTAGATTTTCCCTACAAGAGATAGCTTTGCAGTGCCGTTTCAAAATATGTCAAGGAAATATATTTTGGGGTAAAATACTTGGATTTCTTTCAGGGCCTCCCATCTATCATGTTGGTATCTTACTGCTGCAAAGAATCTTTTTTGTCAGTCTTCAGATCTCTGTTTTACTTTTAATGCTGGTCACCTGTGCCTTCCCAAAGGAGGAGAGTGTAAGAAGGCATGTCTGACCACCTAATTCCCATCATGGTCTCACCTAGTTTTTCAGGTTTCTTTGGAATGCCCTTGGCCAAGAAGGGGGTCCATCAATCAGTTGGGGGGCTTAGATTTGATTTTTGATTTACAGAGTGTACCCCACTTTTGAGCATATAAAGGGTGACATGAAAGCCCACAGGATTTGTTACTTGCTCCAAGTCACCCAGCAAGCTGAAAACAGGAATCTGAAATGAGACTCGGCCACAGTCTGCTACTGCGGCTTTCACTGAATCACATCTTGTTGTCTGTCTGAGGAGAAGATTCTGGGTCTAGTTTAAAACTGGAGCTTTCCAAAGAGAACATGTATATCAGTGGCCTTCTGCCAAGAGAAGATTTCATTCATTGCCAGCATCAGCTGTGAGAGGCGATGTCAGGGAGTGGGGAAGAATCTAGACTCACAGGATGTTCAAGTTAGAACATTTCCCCAGTGGATTCCTATCTATTTTCACTCATCCATTCAACAAAATATTCAATGATCCTATGCTAGGAATGGAGCTGATAGGGTTTGGCTCTGTCCCCACCCAAATCTCATCTTGAATTCTAGCTCCCACAATTCCCACATGTCTTGGGAGGGACACAATGGGAGGTAACTGAATCATGCGGGTGGGTCTTTCTCGTGCTGTTCTCGTGATAGTGAATAAGTCTCATGAGATCTGATGGTTGTATAAAGAGGAGTATCCCTGCACAAGCTCTCTCTTTTCTTGTCTGCCACCATGTGTGAGATGTACCTTTCACCTTCCACCATGATTGTGAGGCTTTGCCAGCCATGTGGAACTGAGTCCATCAAACCTGTTTCTTTTGTAAATTGCCCAGTCTTGGATATGTCTTTGTCAGCAGTGTGAAAATTGACTAACACAGGAGCTAGCTAAGCCCAGTCAAGACAAAAGTCTGTTGACTTCTGCCTCCCCTGAAGGAGTTTGCAGTTTACTGGGACGGTAGTGCAAATTTCCTGCATAAGATTCATTTGTAACCTGGAAAATGCTTGTGAGTTCAGGGGAGAAGGTGTCCCCTCTGGAGAGAGTGTGGTGATGTGTTCATAGGGAAAGTAGCTCTTAAATGGAAACGTACAGGTTGCCTGGGGCTTTTTCAGGGGAGCTGGCTTGTGGAAGGCATTCCAGCTGAGGGAACAGCATGAGTAAAGGCATAGTGGCTGGCCGAGAGACTAGATACATCTGCTGTAAACCAAAAATAAAATTCTCAGTCCTCCCCCAGCCACATGAATGGACCACTGTCCTCTCGGCCAAGGGCAATCCCAAGTTAACCTGAAAAATGAGTTCAGGCCATGATAGGGAGGGGAAGCTGGACATACCTCATTATACCCTTCTGCCTTTTCAGAATTACTGACAGAGCAGACTCTTTAATTCTGAAAAGAAGCATTTACAATCTATTCTCCCTGAAGCCTGCTACCTGGAGGCTTCATCTGCATGATAAAACCTTGGTCTCCACAACTCCTTATCACAACCCAGACATTCCTTTCTATTGATAATAATTCTTTCATCCATTTACCAATCAGAAAATCTGAATCTGCCTGTGACCCGCAAGCCCCCGCTTTCAGCTGTCCCACCTTTTCAGATCCAACCAGTGCACAGCTTGCATGTATTGATTGATGCCTGTTGTCTCCCTACAATGTATAAAACCAAGTTATGGGCTAGGCGTGGTGGCTCACACCTGTCATCCCAGCACTTTGGGAGGCTGAGGCAGGTGGATCATTTGAGGTAGGAGTTTGAGACCAGCCTGGCCAACATGGTGAAACCATGTCTCTACAAAAAATACAAAAATTAGCTGGACATGGTGGCACATGTCTGTAGTCCCAGCTACTTGGGAAGCTGAGACAAGAGAATTGCTTGAGCCTGGGAGGTGGAGGTTGCAGGTTGCAGTGGATGGCACCACTGCACTCCAGCCTGGGCGACAGAGTGAGACTCCGTCTCAAAAAAATAAAAACCAAAAACCAAAAACAAAAAAACAAAACTGAGTTCTGGACTGACCACCTTGCGCACGTGTTCTCAGGACTTCCTGAGGCTGTGTCACAGGCCACTGGTCACTCATATTTGGCTCAGAAGAAATCTCTCTAAATATTTTACAGATTTTGACTTTTTTCAATGACAATAATTTGGCACCCAATATGGGGCCGCTCTTTTTGCCAACACTGCGTATCTCAGTAGCTCGGTACTATTGACCGTTCAAGTGAGAATGAGAGAGGTAGGAGATGACACTATCTAGGCTGGCAGAGGTCCTGCCATCCCAGATTCTGTGCTGAGAGGTATAGATTTCCAATGCAGAGGTAGAGAACATTTTTGAGCAGGAGAGGGAAGAGTTTTTCTAAAAGGACTCTCTCTCTCGCACTCCTACCCCCTGCAGAAATGCCTTCTGCAACATTCCTGCTGGGTGGCTGAGCGGCCTCTGTGTGACCACTTCTGGGGACATTATTTGGTTAACATAGAAATTAATTTCTTTTATATAGCTCGTAGTTTGTAACCTCCATTGGTTTTAAAACCTGGCATTTTAGGGCTGTCTGAACAACTTCAATCTGTTCTTTTTTTGTGAAATGGGTGCAGGACACATCAGTTTAATTCATTCTGCATCCTCATTTTTCACACGAGTTGTCTTATTATTCTTAACTATTATTAAAAGGAATGATAAAAAGTAATTAACCATCTGGAACAGATTCATGCTTCCTATTAGTCAGGGTGTCCATTATGAAATCTCCTGAAAGTTCAGCCTTAGAAATAAATTCTCCAAGTAGGTGGATTAGCTAATGAATTTTTCTTCTCCAAAGATGAGTGTACTTTCCCAGCACAGCCAGCACTCCCCTCCACTGCTCATTTATCAAAGGGGGAAAAAGTAGAAGTGAAAAATAGAAATGGCTTGTCAATATAATTTACTGTATAAAAGCTATAGGTTTGATATGGTTTGTGGAAGGTTTCCGCACTATCCTTCTCCACTATTATTTATGGTTTTAGTGTGACGCTGAACCTCGCCTTCAGGAGGAAAATGCTGTATTCAGTCACTGGTCTCTTCAGGGTCCCTAGGAAATGCCCCCAGTCCCTTCCAGGCCACTGTGGGGATGCTGGAGATGGATCTGCTGCAGAACGAACCAACAGGTGATGCCAGAAGCCTAAGTTTGTCTTGTATGGATCCCGTGATGAGTTTTAGGGGCACTTGTAATTTGACAAAGGAAGAATTATGTTGCAAGTGGGTAACCGTTCTGTGCATCCTGGATTCTACGAATCACTGCCTACCACAGCCTCCTGGGCATTGACAGGCAGCCTTGACTCCTGGAAGACCATGTGACACCATGAGCCAGCTGTATTTGACCTCTGCATTGGCCCTTTATGCTTCTAAACCCAAATCATCGCTCCCCTCGGCCGTATCCATGGCCTCCCGCCATTGCTAATACCAATGAATTGAGACGGGATGGATCAGGGAACCCAAAGGCCACCCTCTTCCTTAATGGCTGCCCTTGCACTCACATGAGCTGAGACCCAAAAGTCCTTTCTCAGAGAGAAGCTGCTTCCTGGGAGAATTCCTCCTGGGTATAGAACATAGGGCCAGGCCTCCCAGGGCCAAGGGGCTGACTCCCATATTATCTGTGTCAACAAGAAGCATTTGCTTCTTGCAAATACTAGAAGATCTGAAGCTGTTCACTGCACTCAGTATTCCCTAAGTGCAATGCTGATTCATGGTCAAGAGTGAACTCTTCATGCTTCATGAAATCTTCCACGGTTTTGTATTATCCTGAGAAAGCTCAGCTCAAGTGCAGTTTCTTTCGTGAAGCCTTGATAATGCAGGTTACAAGTCAGTTCTATGCAACAAATATGGCACCTTTTGTGTCCTAAGCCCCACACTGGACTCTGAGGATCTAAGAGTAAATGAGACATGTGTCCATCCCCAAGAAGTTTTCAGTCTGCTGATAGACACATGTATAGAAAAACTGCAAATAAACACAGTAAGAGAGGTGGCAGGAATATATCACAGAAACCTGGAAGAAAACATTACCATCTGCCCTGAATGCTTGGGGAAATCTTTACAGAGAGGATGATATTTATGCTGGGTTTTGATGTATTCATAGGAGTTTGCAGGAAAACTGCAAATAAACACAGTAAGAGAGGTGTCAGGAATGTATCACAGAAACCTGGAAAAAAACATTACCATCTGCCCTGAATGCTTGGGAAAACCTTTACAGAGAGGATGATATTTATGCTGAGTTTTGAGGTATTCATAGGAGTTTGCTAAGTAGAAAGTAAGTGAAGGAGTGGGGAAGACATTTGACGCAGAAAAGACATACAAAAGCATGGCTTGAAAGCCTACAGGGTGGGGCATAGTGTATTTCTGATGCTCAGGGTATGTGTATATGGGGGATGAGGCTGGAGAGGGGACCTCTTCTAGTTGTTTCTAATGATATTGCAATCACCTAAGACCCCAAGCCTGGCACACCGTACCCACTGGAGCGGGGAGACCTAGGTTGAGTTCATGGGGTAGGGCTGGAGCAGGGAGCTCTTACCTTCAGAGGGCCTCTTTTTCATCCTAAATCTGAATGTCTAGAGAATTCCATACCCAGAAATGTCAAAGGCTTGGATCAAAGCTGCAGATCTCTGAGTCAGAGGGAGTTGGAAAAGAAGGAGCAACAGAAGCAAGTTGTTCCAGCCAGGTTTGAATGGGGGATGGCACTTTCCTGTTTCATGCACGTGTGCCTTGTCTTTTCAAATCAATTATATTCTACTTGAAGGCAAGAGAAATGGTTTAAGAAATTTGTTAAAGTATTATGAAAACATAGAGAAGTCGTATCAATTGCCCAAGGTGATAGAGTTAGCAGGGGCAGATATAGGGTTTTACGGGCACTTGGAAACGAAGCACTGGTCCCTGTCCTGTGTCTCAGATCTCATACACAGTTTGTGCTTAGTGGACAGTGTCACATATTAAGAGAGGGGACATAAGCCAATGGAAGTACACACAGAAGATGGAGACCAACAGATCTTGGTCCTGTTTTGTTTTTTGTTTTTTTGTTTTTTTTTTTTTGAGACGGAGTCTTGCTCTGTCACTCAGGCTGGAGTGCAGTGGCGCAATCTCGGCTCACTGCAAGCTCCGCCTCCCGGGTTCATGCCATTCTCCTTCCTCAGCCTCCTGGGTAGCTGGGACTACAGGTGCCCACCACCACGCCTGGCTAATTTTTTGTATTTTTAGTAGAGACAGGGTTTCACGGTGTTAGCCAGGATGGTCTCGATCTCCTGACCTCGTGATCCACCCGCCTCGGCCTCCCAAAGTGCTGAGATTACAGGCGTGAGCCACCGCACCCAGCCTCTTGGTCCTGTTTTATGGAAAAACATCTATTAAGGGAGCAGAGAGGATGACAAGGTCTTGGGTAGGGGATGGGGAGAGGGATCACTGTCATCAAATATTTGCAGGAATTTTATATACAAAAAGGAGTTGCTTTGTCCCATGTGGACTTGGAGGCCATCCTGGACTTGCAATAGAAGTTGCAGTGAGGCTGATTTCTCCCTAACTGCTGGTGCTACCTGAAAGTTCCATGGGCTGTCTAGAAAGAGTAAGCCTCCCAGGACGAGAGGCAGAAACATCATAGATATTGTCAAGGAACTTCTTCCTCTTGGTTGGTGACCCCACCAAATGATTTGCAGTGTCTCTTCCAATTTGGAGATGCTGTACATCTCTTGACACTTCTATAATTCTGCCATTCTCCCTGACTCCCAGGAGAGCCCAGGATCTGTGAAGACATCAGAAGTTGAGTGCTGGGCCGACTGAAACACACAGACCTTTGCTTTAATTATTCCACTGTGTGAGATCCATTTGCCAAGGGAAATGGGGAAAGTATTTTTAGCCAAGGCATTTGCTTTTAGGGGACTCATTCTCCTAGAAATATTCTACTCCTCCTCTTTTATGCTGTACCTTATTATTCCCCAGGAGTTTTACTCCTTGAGACACTATTTGGATTTTTTAAAATCTTTTTTTAATCTTTTTTTTTTTGAGACAGTCTTGCTCTGTCACCAAGCCTGGAGTGCAGTGGTATGATCCCAGCTCTCTGTACTCCTGGGCTCAAGTGACCCTCCTGCGTCAGCCTCCCAAGTAGCTGGGACCACAGGTACATGCCAACACATCCTGATAATTTTTATTTTTATTTTTATTTTGTAGAGATGGAAGTCTCACTATGTTGCCCAGGCTGGCCTCGAACTCCTGGACTCAAGCAATTCTCTTGCCTCAGCCTCCCAAAGTGCTGGTGTTATAGGCATGAGCCTCTGTGCCCAGCCTCTTTTTCATCCTTAAACTGGTTTGATTCCAAAAGAATTATAAACCCAGGTGTTAAATTTCAACATATAGAGATGACATCCTATTGATCGTCACACCGGCTCATCCTCCTGAGTGGGCAGCTGACTTCGCAGTGCAGGGATTCCCCTATGTGTGCACTTTGGAAGCCCTTGGACAGTTGGAGAAGTCCCCATGCTCAGGCTATACTCCGATGGATTATATCAGAAAATCTGGGTGGGGTCAGGCACTAGAGGTCTTTAAAGTTGCCTGGATGGTTCCAACGTGCGGTCACGTCTGAGAGTCGCTGCTTGAGATGCATCCTGGATTCTGCCTGGCAGGACTCATGGGCCCCTGTTCCCTTTCGGAGCTTAGAGGGATTGAGCAAAGCCACTTTCAGTTTTTCCACTTGCCAGGCAGGTGCTTGAGGAAGTTATTTGACTGCTCAGAGCCACCGGAGCAAAAATACTTTCCCCAATTTCCCTTGGCAAATGGATCTCACACAGCAGAATAACTAAAGCAAAGGTCTGTGTTTCAGTCAGCCTAGCACTCAGCTTCTGAGGTCTTCACAGATCCCGGGTTCTCCTGGGAGTCAGGGAGAATGGCAGAATTATAGAAGTGTCAAGAGATGCATAGCATCTCCAAACTGGAAGAGACACTGCAAATCATTTGGTGGGGTCACCAACCAAGAGGAGGAAGCTCCTTCCTCCGTGAAATGGAGACCCTGGAAGGTTGGCTTCGTGTGCCTTGAATCCCTGAGGTAGTGCCTGGCAGGGGGCTTGCCCTGGTGCCCTTGGCTGTGACAGTGGTGGTGATCGTGACAACCGTAAGGAACACTGGCTGGGCATTCTTCTGTGGAGGTGTAGCCTCTGTGCCAAGTGTGTCTCAGCTTTTTGCACGTGTACTTCATTTATTCCTCTTAGGAATCGGAGGTGGTAGTTACTATTATTATCTCACCCTTTTCACATTGCCACCTCCATGGAAAATGATGGTGTTTCTACAGCATAGTGGAGTAAAATAAGACAGCTGCCAGAGGTGACGAGCTTGGGCCCTCTTCCCGGGAGCCGTGAGCACTGAGGGGGTCTACATCTTGGGCACCCCGATTACCTGAGCGTGCACCTAGGAGGCTGTGTTTCTGACGCGTGATGATGGTGATGGTGAACAAGAATGTCAGGATGAATTGCCCTGTTGGTTTCTTCTTTTAAATCTTAATTGATTTTTATTTTTTTTGTAGGCGAGATCTTGCTCTGTCACCCAGGCTGGAGTGCAGTGGTGCGATCATAGCTCACTGCAGCTTCAAACTCCTGGGCTCAAGTGATCCTCCCACCTCAGCCTTCTGAGTAGCTGGGACTACAGGCATGTGCCATTTTGCCTGGCTGATTTTTAATTTTTTTTCTTGTAGAGGCAGACTGTCATTATGTTGTCCAGGCTGGTCTCAAAGTCCCGGCCTCAAGCAGTCCTCCTGCCTCAGCCTCCCAAAGTGCTGAGATTACAGGTGTAAGCCACTGTGCCCAACCTGTTTCTTATGTATATGTCACTTGTCATTGGCAGGCAAATTGGAGTTGTTCACTTGGCACAATTTCAATTCTTGGGAACTATTATGGGTTGAATTGCATTTTCCCCAAATTCCTATGTTAAAGTCCTAATCCCCAGAACCTCAGAATGAGACTGTACTTGTAGAAAAGATCTTAAAGATCTTAAGGGATAATTAAATTAAAATGAGGTCTTTAGAGTGGGCCTTAATCCAAGATGACTGACTGGTGTCCTTTTTTTTTACTTTCTTTTTTTTTTTTTTTTTTTGAGACAGGGTCTTGCTCTGTCACCCAGGCTGGAGTGCAGTCGCGTGATCTTGGCTCACTGCAACCTCTGCCTCCTGGGCTCAAGTGATCCTCCCACCTGAGCTCCCCAAGTAGCTGGGACCACAGGCACGAGCCACCAAGCCCAGCTAATTTTTGTTTGTTTTGTAGAGATAGGGTTTCACTTTGTTGCCCAGGCTGGTCTCAAACTCGTAAGTTCAAGCAATCCACCCACCTCAGCCTCCCAAAGTACTGGGATTACAGGCATGAGACACCACACCCAGCCGACTGGTGTCCTTATGAGAAGAGGAAATTTGGACACACATGTGTGCACAGAGAGGAAAGACCATATGAGGTTGCACAAGGATAAGACGGGCCATCTGCAAACCAAGGAGAGAGGCCTGCAGAAAGAAGCAGTCCTTTGGGAGGCTGAGGCAGGCGGATCTTGAGGTCAGGAGATTGAGACCATCCTGGCTAACATGGTGAAACCCTGTCTCTACTAAAAATATAAAAAATTAACTGGGTGTGGTGGCGGGTGCCTGTAGTCCCAGCTACTTGGGAGGCTGAGGCAGGAGAATCATTTGAACCCGGGAGGCGGAGGTTGCAGTGAGCTGAGATTGCGCTACTGCACTCCAGCCTTGGCCGCAGAGCGAGACTCCAAAAAACAAAACAAAACAAAAAAACAAGAAGCAATCTTGCAGCACTTTGATCTTATGCTTCCAGCCTCCAGAACGATGAGACAGTGAATGTCTGTTGTTTCAGCCACCCAGTCTGTGCAATTTTGTTATGGCAATGCTAGCAAACAAATACAGGGAAGAGAACTGTTTGCCACTTGCAGGAATTTACCTTTAGAGCCTCCTTGGGTTTTCCTTGCCTCTGAAAGAGTGGGTCACAAACTTTAGTGGGCTTGCAAACACCTGGAGGTCTTGTTAAAACCTCAGTGATCTGGCCGGGAGCGGTGGCTCATGCCTGTAATCCCAGCACTTTGAGAGGCCAAGGCGGGCGGATCACTAGGTCAGGAGATCGAGACCATCCTGGCTAACACGGTGAAACCCCGTCTCTACTAAAAAAATACAAAAAGTTAGCCGGCGTGGTGGCAGGCGCCTGTAGTCCTAGCTACTTGGGAGGCTGAGGCAGGAGAATGGCGTGAACCCGGGAGGCGGAGCTTGCAGTGAGCCGAGATCACACCACTGCACTCCAGCCTGGGCGATAGAGCGACATTCCGTCCCAAAAAAACAAAAAAACAACTTCAGCAATCTGATGTTTCCATGTGTGGGAGCGAGTGGGGCTTGTAAATTTGCGTTTTCTGGCATCTTCCTAGGTGATACTGCTGGTCTTGGGGACTATCGTTTGAGAGCTACTGCTCTGGCACTTGCAAGCCTGGAGGTGGCTCTCAGCAGGCCCTCCTATTAGCTTTTTGAACATTTTGACTTTGAGAGTGAGGGGAGAGCATGTGGATTAGCCTGCTGGGGGCAGCTGATGCTTCCAGTTGTGCCTTCATTCCTCTTGGACCTGCTCTCTAGGGGTTGAGCATGCCGCACATGCTTTCTTTATCATAGGCCCTCTTAGTTTGACAGCTGAAGGACACAACCCTTTATTTAGTCTTCGGTTCATTCTCCCTGTGTTTTTTGGGTTCTTCTTGGTTCTAGTCTTATATAGGCAGATACATTTCTGGGGTTACCTGGGTTGTACCTGAGGGGGTGAAGACAGTCACGTTATTGAACCTACTGTAAAAATGTAATAAATTCTAGAACTTCCATACCCTCCACAATCCTAGTGCTGAGTATTTATGCAAAGGAAAGGAAATCAGTGTGTCAGAGGGATACCTGCACCCCTGTTCATTGCAGCAGTATTCATAATAGCAAAGGTATAGAATCAAACTAAGTGTCCAGCAACAGAGGAATGGATAAAGAAAATGTGGTGTGTATGCACAGCAGAGTACCATTTGACCCTAAAAAAGAATGAAATCGTGTCATTTGCAGGGACATGGATGGAGCTGGAGGTCACTATGTTAAGTGAAATAAGTCGGGCACAGAAAAGAACATATTGAATGTTCTCACTCATATGTGGAAGTTAAAAAAGTCGACCTCATGGGGCCAGAGAGTGAAGCGATAGATACCAGAGGCTGGGAAGGGTGAATGGCAGGGGTAGGGTTCGTAGAGAGGTTGGTTAATGGGTGCAAAAATACAGTTAGAAGGAATACATTCTAATATTTGATAGCAGAGTAGGGTGACTGTAGTTAACAACAATGTATTGTAGATTTCCAGATAACTAGAAGAGGACTTGAAATGTTCCCAATTCATAGAAATGATCAACCCTTGAGGTGATGGACACCCCAAAACCCTGACTTGATCATGACACATTTGATGCATGTAACAAAATACCACACGTAACCCATAAATATTATATATATATATATATATATTTTTTTTTTTTTTTTTTTTTTTTTTGAGATGGAGTCTCTCTCTGTCACTCAGTCTGGAGTGCAGTGGCGCGATCTTGGCTCACTGCAACCTCCGCCTCCTGGGTTCAAGTGATTCTTCTGCCTCAGCCTCCCAAGTAACTGGGATTATAGGCGCATGCCACCACACCCAGCTAATTTTTGTATTTTTAGTAGAGACAGGGTTTCACCATATCGGCCAGGCTGCTCTCGAACTCCTGACCTCATGATCTGCCCGCCTTGGCCTCCCAAGGTGTTGGGATTACAGACGTGAGCCACTGTGCCCAGCCAGCTATATAAAATATTATGTATCAATATTTTTTAATGTGAGAAATTCTTAAGAAGATCTTTATGTTGATACCACATAATGATAGAGTGTAGAGAGGCTAAATTTGCACAAGGAGGGCAAGGAAGGTTTGACAGAGGTGGTGGTATCAGAGCTACTGTGTGACTGATTAGCAGAGATTTTCTTGGCAGAGAGGGGAGGCCCAAAGTGTTCTCTTCTAAGGCAGCAGTATGTGCAAAGGCACAAGGATTGGAAACAACCAGCCTCTCTAGGGGAAGATTTAAGGAGATAAGTGTGGCTGATGCATGAGGTCCATGGGTGGAGGCGTGGTGGGAGCTGAGAAGGAAGGGATAGGTTGGTGCCACTTGTGTCTACTGGGAGTTCAGTATTAATCTTTTAAGGAACAGGATGTATTAGTTTCATGCTGCTGCTGTAACAAATGGCTTCATAGTGGCATAAAACACCACACATTTATTCTTATAGTTTTCGAGGTTAGAAATCTGAAATGAGTTTTACAGGACTAAAATCAAGGTGTCTGCAAGGCTGCCTTCCTTCTGGAAGCTCCAAGGGTGAATGTAATTCATTCCTTTCCTCTCCTAGCTTCCAGAGGCTGCCAGCATTCCTTGGCTTATGGCCGCATCACTCCAGTCTCTGCATCTGTGGCTGCATCACTTTAGTCTCTGCATCTGTGGCTGCATGGACTTTGTTACTTTGATCCTCCTGTATACCTCTTATAAGGACTCTTGTGATATCATCAGGCCCACCCAGATAAATCCGGCATAGTCCCCCCCATCTCATGAGCCTTAATTTACTCACATCTGCCGATATGGTTTGGCTCTGTGTCCCAACCCAAATCTTATCTCAAATTGTAATCCCTATGTGTCGGAGGAGGGGCCTGGTGGGATGTGACTGAATCATGGGAGCGGACTTCCCCCTTACTGTTCTCATGATAGAATCCTCATGAGATCTGGTTGTTTGAAAGCATAGCACTTCCCACTTTGCTTTCTCTATCTCTCTCCTGCTCTGCCATGGTAAGGCGTGCTTACTTCCCTTTCATCTTTCCCCATGATTTTAAGTTTCCTGAGCTTCTGCAGTCATGCTTTCTGTTAAGCCTGCAGAACTATGAGTCATTTAAACCTTTTTCTTCGTAAATTACCCAGGCTCAGGTAGAGCTTTATAGGTATAGAGATTGGACTAATACATCTGCAAAGCCCCATTTGCCATATTGGGTAACATTCACAGTTTTTGGGGGTTAGAATGTGGATATCTATAGGGGGTCATGATTGAGCGTATTGTAGGGGAATTGAACAATTCAACTCTGCAAGGGGAGAGAAGTGCAACCTGGAAGGCCAGCTCTGCTGCTCTACCGGGTTGCATGAGGGAAGAGGAGAGCCTGGTCCCAAATATTGTCACTGGAGATGGGCAGGAGATGGTGGCTTGAACTAAGAGGGAAAAAAATTGGTGAGAATTTAGTAAAGGAGGCTGAAGACCCAGGAGGCATTGAGACTGACTCTGAGGTTTAAAATGCTGTCATTTTTTAATGGTGTCATTAACCAGGAGAAAGTGTGCAGAGCCTCCAGTCTCCAGTTGCCTGGCATACTTTTCTTGGTCTTTGCAACAATTTCAGGAATCCTTCCCTGACATGCAAAAGCCCATCCCCGAAGCAACGTGCTTTCCAGTTAGCACATGCTGCATCCCTGTGCTTCACAGTGACTTGCCTCACTCCGTTTGCTAGGCTGCAAGTTTCTGCAGCACCATGCAAGGTGCCTGTCCAAGCCAGGCTCTGGTTCTGTCGAGCTCCCCATTGGTATATAAAGATGTAGGTGTCCTTTGCGAGCTGCGCAATTGGCTATTGCCAGGATGCCCTTCTCAGGCTCCACGCCTTCCTGGAATGAGCCTTGGGGTTGAGTAGTTAACTTTGATATCTCCTGTTAAGGGATTTTCTAGTTTTTTTTTTTTTTTTCTTCTAGGAGGATATGTGGTTTTTAACATAGACATAAATAAGTCTAATAGGTAGAAATGACTTTGAAATAATTCATCAAGGAGGAATAATTCAGCTAGAAATAGCAGACACCAGTTTTCAAGCCTTCTTGCCTGTGTATTTTCAGAAATGTGCTCTCCTTTGAGATATTTCTCTCATCCATTTCGGTAAATATCTGTTGCGCTCATTTGCTGATGGATGGTGAACCTGCTTTGTCTCCTGTGTGTACTGGCTCTTTTATTCCCCTTTATCCTGCTTATTCCTTACAGCCATGGAGAACAGCAGGTTTCTTATTTTATTTTATTAAGTTCTGGGGTACAGGTGCAGGAGGTACAGGTTTGTTGTACAGGTAAACGAGTGCCATGCTGGTTTTCTGCACCTGTGAACCCATCACCTAGGTATTCAGCCCAGCATGCATTAGCTATTTGTCCTAATGCTCTCCCTCCCCCCACCTGCCCCCACCCCCACTTCCCAGCAGGCCCCAGTGTGTGTTTTTCCCCTCCCTGTGTCCATGTGGAGAACTGCAGGTTTCTTTACTTAAAAACAGGGCATGGGATGTTGAAGGAGACTGTTCCTTTCACTTGGGAATTCTGGTTTATGTCCCAAAGCTGAGAGCAATAGGGGCGTGTTTGCCATTTTTTCAGAGGGATGCTGGATGCCTCTGTGGAGGACCTACCAAGGGATTCACAAGATTCGTCCTGCAGCCTGGATGGCACTTCTCTCTAAGGAAAAGATGAGTTAATGGAGGAGAAAGTTGGAGGGAAGAATGGGTGTTTCTTTTTCCCTCCCAACAGGAGGGACTCCTCCCCAGGTCAAATGGGGAAATTTAAGCAAACCCCCCATACAGATTGGGATGCTGGCTAGGCATGGTGGCTCATGCCTGTAATTCCAACACACTGGGAGGTCGAGGTGGGTGGATCCCTTGAGCTCAGGAGCTTGAGAACAGCCTGGGCAACATGGTGAAACCCCGTGTCTACAAAAAATACAAAAAAAAAAAAAAATTAGCCAGGTGTGGTGGCATGTTCCTGAGTCCCATCCACTGGGGAGGCTGAGGTGGGAGGATGGCTTGAACTGGGGAGGTGGATGTTGCAGTGAGCCATGGTAGCACCACTGCACTCCAGCCTGGGCAACAGAATGAGATCCATCTCAATAAATAAATAAATAAATAAATAAATAAATAAATAAATAAATATTAAAAAAAAGAGATTGGGCTGCCTGCCAGAGGAGGCTGGCCTCTCCTTCACTGGCTGGGTGCTGGCTGAACTGTGGCACTCATAGGTCCATCTTCATAGGCGAGAGCAGGGTTTGATGAGTGCATTCTTGGGATCACCTGAAATAGGGAAGAAATTGATGTGACTTCTCTGGACTTGGAGGAGCCTCGGTGAAGGTTGGGGTTGTGCCTGTCTCCTGTCTCCTGCTTGGGGAATTCTGAGGGCAGGAGTTTGGTAGGCAGGAAGGGTGGGCAGCAATAGAGTGGCCTACATGGCTTCTTCTAGCATGACCAGCAGATGTGAGACTTGAGGCCTCATGGAGGCAGGAACAGGGAGGAATTAGGCTGGCTGCAGAGGGGATCTGGCACTGAGGCTGCCAAGGGCAGGTTCAATAAAAGTCCCTAGAGGCCAGCTGGAGAGCTTACTGCCATATCAGGGATCCCTGTAGCTTGGAAAGCCTCACAGCAGGGCCTGGGAGAACCCTCAGCCGGGCCCTTTAACAGGGCTCATCTTTGACCACTGCCAAGAGGTAACAAAGGAAAACACCAGGCAAGCGTTTAAGCCTTTTGTGGCCAGGCATCATGGCTCATGCCTATAATCCCAGTACTTTGGGAAGCCAAGGTGGTAGGATCACTTGAGGCCAGGGGTTCGAGACCAGCCTGGGCAACATAGTGAGACCCTATCTCTACAAAAATAAAAGAAAAATAAGCTGGGCATGGTGGTGCACACCTGTAGTCCCAGCTACTCAGGAGGCTTAGGTGGGAGGATCATTTGAGCCCAGGAGTTTGAGGCTGCAGTGAGCTATGATTGCGCCACTGTACTTCAGGTTGGGCAACAGAGCAAGACCATGTCTATTAAAAAATAAGCCTTTGCTTCCCTTGCTCTGTCTTCTCCCCTCTTCTCTCGTCTGCCTTGGTCTTGGAGGAGGCAGTAGAAGGAGTAGGGGCTGGAGGAAGTATGGAGGGCCATGCCACTGCTCATCTGTCTGCAGAGGTCCTCGACCCACACGTGGGGCCTAGACTGGGGAGGGGCAGGAAGCCGAGAACTGGACATGAATGGAAGTGTTCACAGGAGGCTGTGCCACACTTTGTAAATCCTAAAATTGAGTTGTAGTTTCCTAACTTATTTTCCTCTTATAACTGAAAGTGAGTGGAGGGCTAAGGGATTGTCATCTGGCTGAGAAGGGAGAGCTGTGATAGCATGGCTGGGGGAGGTGATGGAAGACGGATGGAGCCCTTGCCTTTGTCCCCCACAGATAAATTTGTTGTAAAACCTAACAAGAGCACAAAGCAGGGGATAGACTCAGGAAGAGAGATTAATACACTCTCTGAAACGCTTTGTACTGATTTACAGGCTTTAGGAAATATTTTCATGAGTGTGTGTGACACCTCTCTCTCTGTCTAGCACATAGTATTCATTTATAAACCTACCTCCCTGCTGCCCTACACATTTAATAAATGTGCTTTAAACTCATTTACTCACCCCCAGCAACCTTATGAGTAGTTACTATTTTTAGCCCCGTTTTACAGAGAAGCAACTAAAGCACAGAGAGATTGAGAAACGTGTTGAAGGGTGCACAGCACATGTGGAGGAACTGTGATCTGCACTCAGACCTTCTAGTCCCTGGGGTATCTCACTCTCCCCCCTTGTATCTCCTCTATCTCTCAATTTTTTATTATAGAATGCAGATCACGAGGTCAGGAGATTGAGACCAGCCTGGCCAACATGATGAAACCCCGTCTCTACTAAAAAAATAACAAAAATTAGCTGGGCGTGGTGGTGGGCGCTTGTAATCCTAGCTACTCTGGAGGCTGAGGCAGGAGAATCATTTGAACCCGGGAGGCAAAGGTTGCAGTGAGCCGAGATTGCACCATTTTGCCCCAGCCTGGGCGACAGTGCGAGACTACGTACCCTCCCCACCCCACCAAAAAAAAAAAAAAAAAAAAAAAGAAACGAATTTTCTAAACATATATAAGGTAAAGAGAATAATATAATGGACTTAATGTATGCATCACTTGGCTTCAGCAATTCTCCTTTTATAAAATGCATTCCAAACCCTTACCCTCTTCTGCCTCTTTCAGCAAATTTGTTTGAGGTGGTGGATGTTTGCTGAGTGGACGGATGAAAAAAAATAGTTGAAGAGTAATTGCCATTTGATACAGAACAGAAGAGCTTAGCTTTGGTTTAAGCTGTTCATTTCCCTCCCACAGTCTGAAGTTCAGCTGCAGGAAAAAAAAATAAAAAAGAAAGAAAAGTAATTTAAGTAATTTAAATTCTGCCTGCTGACTTAGTTTTGTCCTCATCTTATCTGACCTTATTTAATCAGAGAAAAAAAAAAGAAGAAAAGAAAAGAAAAAAAAAGACTGGGAAAGCGTTTTCTAGGAATTTCATCATGACCCTTTAAACACATCTTCCATTTACACTTATATAATTGTTTCATACGGGATAGTGTTAATAATACCAAATTTCATTCCTAAAGCAAGCTGACAAAAGCATTTAAAGACTTGCTCATTCCAAATGTGTTAGAGCAGCTGAGAATCACGATCTGGTGCCAGTTCATTTGCTTTCAATACTTCCTGCTTTTGGGTGCTGCATATTTTCTTTACAATAGCCCATAGTTAGGGCCATATCCATACACCCCAACTCCAGATTCCTGTCACGCGCCTTCCAGTGCAAGAAATGATCATGCTTTAGGGTGCACGGGGCACAGTCTAGCATTTTCCTTGCTTTCCACATCAGGGTGATGATGCTCAGAGATGTAGAAGAGCTCCCAAAGGGGTGGCACTGACCAGTGGCCACGTGGCTCCCTGGGCCTGTTCATCCATCCCGGTTTGTTCTGAGATAACCTCATGTCCAGGAAACAGCCTTGGCTAACGTGCCTAGGAGCAGTTTTTGAAAGAATCTGAGCTCACGGAAATGAAGTAAAAAATCTCTGGCACTCATTCAGGTTTTTTATTTAAGATTTATTAAAGGATAATTTACAGGCGATAACATTCACCCTTTTTGGGTGTACAGTTTGATGAGTGTTGGCAATGGATATGTAGCTGTGGATTTACCACCACAGTTAAGATGCAGAATAATCCCATTTTGTGGTCAGTCTCCAACTCATCCTTAGCAATCACTGATCTGTTCTCTAATTCTTCCTGTCTTTTTTATTTAGTGGTGGGGACAGGGTCTCACTCTGCCTCCCAGGCTGGAGTGCAGTGGCACGATCACAGTTCACTGCAGCGTCGACCTCCCAGGCTAAAGCGATCCTCCCGCCTCAGCCTCCCGAGTAACTAGGACCACAGATGGGTGCCACCATGCCCAGCTAATCTTTTAATTTTTGTAGAGATGGGGTCTCCCTATGTTGGCCAGGCTGATCTCAAACTCTTGGGCTCAAGCAGTCCTCCTGCCTCGGCCTCCCAAAGTGTTGGGATTACAGGCATGAGCCACTGTGGCCAGTTGTCCCCTATTTCTATGGTTTTGCTTCTCTAGACTGTCATACATTGGAAATGGAATCATGCAGTATGTAACCTTTGGGGCCTGGCTTCTTTCACTTGAATGATTTTGATACATGCTATTCCATGTATTGGGAGTTTCTTTCTTTTTTACTGTTAAGTAATTTCCGAAGTATGGATGGACATTTGGGTTGTTTCCAGTTTGGGGGAATCATGAATAAATCTTCTATTAAACATTCATATACAGTCATGTGAACATATGTTTTCATTTACCTTGGGTAGATACGTAGGAATGGGATTCCCAGGTATCATGTGGTGAGCGTATGTTTCACTTTGTAAAAAAACGCCAGCCTGTTTTCCAAAGTGGCTCTACTATTTTGCATTCTCACAGCTATGTATCAGGCAGAGTTCAGGTTGCTCCACATCCTTGGTGACACTTGGTATTGTCAGGTATTTTTTTAAGCCATTCTAGTAGGTGTGTAGATGTCATGCAGGCTTTTGTACATGGAAGGGCAGGAATGTCTTGGGGGAAAGTCAGCCTCAGTTACTGCTCCCATAAAGCTCTTTCTCCTGCAGCCCTTCAACCTGCGCTTCAGACAATCGACAGCAGGATTCCCTGTTTAGATTCACTTTGTGCCAACAACCTGTGAGGCTTGGCAGCCTAAGGCCTGGATGCCCTTTGGTGAGAGGCAGGCACAGTAACAGGGCAGACAGTGACCAATATGACATGAGGAGGCCTGAGATGATATTTCTTCTCTGATACTTACTGCTCTTGTAACATCCCCACATCATTTAAGCTCTATGTCTGTCTCTCCTGTTATGTAGAAGATATAGAGTTAATCATGTCTGCTTTTTCACCCTACCGGAGAGCAAAGAAGAGCCTTGAAAGTTGAAATGTTCAATTCAGAGAAGAAAGAAGAGAGCACGATCATTTTTATTGCTTTTGAGTTGCTGCCAGCTAAAACCTCAGGTCCAAAGTAAAAACACTCCTGTTATTAGCAGTGAAGGTTGACAAGACTGTTTTTCATCCATCTTATTGTTTTTTTAACAATTTTATATGCATATAATTCCATGATAATGACATAAGAACTGCTTGGAGAAGAAACTGCATGTTCTTTTGTGATTTTTAATATAAAATTCTCTTTGGGCTAAGGCAACCCCTTGTAATCACTCACCTCATTTCCCTGATACCAGTTCTCTGAAATGTTATTGTAGACCTTGCTCCAATTTCAAACGCTGTCAACTCTTGCACATAAAAACAGTTGTTTATATAGTTTGTGGATTACTCCTTTTCCCTCTTGAACTATTTGTTTCACTGCTCAATGCTATTCCCAGTTGGTTCTGACAGGAGAAATGGAAGATAATGAAATATCGGCTAGATTATTTTCTCCCTGGTTATAGCTATTGTGAAAGTTTGGCTAAAATGTAGTATTTTTGTCTGTCTGGAGATTTGAGTTGTTCTTGCTATCTCCCTTTTCTCTGTTAGCAAAGTCAGCAAATGGTTGAATCAAGGTAGACAATGAAGTATTCCTGTTTGTGGTCTCCAGTTTCTGTCCTATAGACATCACAAGGTTATTTGCAGAGTTTGTATGAAACAATGTTTTTGGAGCCTAATTCTCATTTGTACTTTAGAGCCAACAGATGTTTCTTTTAAGAACATAGGAAAAGAGAGTGAGATAAAGAGACTTTGGCTAAGCATTCTTTTGATCAGCCATGAAAAGTTTGACTTTTAACTGTTGGTCAAATACAATCATGGCATTTCCAAAAATTTTTCTCTAATGAGATAATGTGTGTGTGTGTGTGAGAGAGAGAGAGAGAGAGAGAGAATGAGAGACACACAGAAAGAGAATGTGAATCATAGGTTTCCACTGACCTGTTTTAATTTTAGAGACTCATTTCAGGGATGTGCACCCACAGAAAAATGCCTGGCATCTAAGCATAGCATGTGCCACACTGAAGAATATTCTGGTTCATTTCAAGCTGTACTATGCTGGTAAACCAGCCCTCTGGGTAGGGCGAGGGCATATGTTCGGTGGTGGTGGTAGGGAACCTTCATTTGTGGCTTTTGCCTGTTTCCCTGGTGTACATATTTCTACTCTGGTGGATTTCAAGTTAGCAGCATTTGGCAGCTAGTTTGCAAAAGTCCTAAATATTTAACAGTAGGCTCTGGGGGAGCTGGCTTCAGCACACCACTCATTTTGAGGGACATTCTGCTTTTTATTTGATGTATTAAATGGATGTTTTTAGAGATAGGGTCTCTCTGTTGCCCAGGCTGGTGTGCAGTGGCATGATCATAGCTCACTGCAGCCTTGACCTCCTTGTGCACAAGTGATCCTCCTGCCTCAGCCTCCTGAGTAGCTGGGACTACAGGTGTGCGCCACCACACCTGGCCAATTTTAAAATTTTTTGTAGAGGCAGGATCTTGCTATGTTGCCCAGGCTAGTCTTGAAGTCCTGGCCTCAAGCAGTCCTTCTTCCACGGCCTCCAAAAGCGCTGGGTTGGCAGATGTGAGCCACTGTACCCAATGCTCATTCTGCTTTTTATGTATTTCACTTTTGCACAGATCCCCTAAGACATTGGTCTGGAACACACCATCCACATCAGTGCACATGAAAATAGTTCAAAATACATTAAAAGATGCCCCCTGGCTGATTTTGGCATGACCAGTAGTACCTACAACTCTGTGTTCTTGTGTGTTTGTGCAGGCTCACCAGCCTGTGGATGTCCAGGTACCCCGCAGAGGCTGTCAGCAGGAAGAGTCTGGGCAGACAGGAAAACTCAGGGCTTCCTTCTGATTTGCATTTCAAAATGAAAATGAGAACTTTTCAAAAAAATAGTTATCCTGCCAACAACATTGTTATACTACTGATGGGCTGGGGACCATGCTTGGCCCTGGGGGGTCGAAAGGGGAGCAGACCACAGTCCCTGCCTCTGGCCCTGGGTCACCATAGTGGGGGCTGAGGCAGGCTGTGAGGGTCTGTATTGGGAGTTCGGCTCTTGAACAAATCTACTGAGTGGTTTCAGTACTGGGAGATCCTGAAATGGTTTGTCTTTGCCTACAGCCATCTTGGAAAATGGCTTAATCTCTCCGGCACCTCTCAGTTTCCTCCTTGGTCAAGTAAATATAATAATCCTTCCCTTATAACAAAGATTCTCAGAGTCAGAAGTTGCAGGGGGGTCCTTACGTTAATAAATGCAGCATCACCTGCATACTTCTTAGAAATGCAAATTCCCAAGATGTAGTGACTCACGCCTGTAATCTCAGCACTTCGGGAGGCTGAGGTGGGAGGATCTCTGGAGGTCAGGAGTTCAAGACCAGCCTGGGAAACATAGTGAAATCCCATCTCTGGAAAAAAGAAAAAAGAAATGCAAATTCCCAGGCCCCACCTTCAGACCCTGAAGATCAGAAGCCCTGTGATGGGCTTGTGTTTTACCAAGCCTTGCAGGTGATGTTGGTGCTGAAACCAGCTCTTGTGTGAGACCCACTGAGCTGCAGGGCTGTTAGGGTCACCATGGCCTTTTGTGAACACAGCTCAGCGCCTGTCACATGTAAAGGCTCTATCTACGGCAGTTCCATGGGGGACACAAATAGCTAGAAAGCGTTTTGAGCTGTCTGAAGGTTGAGGAAGTGGGATGCACGTGGTGCTAGCTTTATTTTGGGATAGGAAGGAGAGAAGGAGGCAATGTTCCTTTTGCAGGATCTGTTGATAGAACTCTCCTTCCCCTAAGGCATCAACTGCCTGGTTCTCTTACTGCCAATGTTAGAAGCTCCCTTCCCCACAAGTTGTGGCCCAGTTCTTTGTCCTGACTCTTGGAGTCCTGGGAGATCGTGGGTCTTCCTGAATAGAAGTAGAAATGAACTATGCGATGGGCTCCTCTGCACAATCCACAACCACCAGCTCCTTAGCTACTTATACCCCTGGCCTACTTGTTTCATTTTCTTCATAGCACTTATTATTCCTGGCACTTAATTTTGTGATTTGTTGCTATAATGTTTACTTGTCCCTGGTCTTCCTTGTCCATCAGAACAGAAGCACTCTGAAGGCAGAGACATTATCTGTTTTGTTGGCTGCGGCCTCTCCGGCACCTGAGAACAGCAGCCGGCATGTGATGGGTGCCCCTGTAAATGTCTGTGGAATGGCTGACTGGCTAGCTGGGTGGGTAGCAGGGCAGGTGGCTGCAGGGGTGGGGGTGGTCCATAAGAGTGAGTGTTCTGAGCTGAACATACAACTGCCATTCGATCCAGTAATCCCACTACTGGATATTCACTCAAAGGAAAAGAAATCATTCTATTTAAAAGATACCTGCACTTGTATTGTGCCATTCACAATAGCAAAGTCAAGGAATGATATGGTTTGGCTCTTTGTCCCCCACAAATCTCACCTTGAATTGTAATAATCCCCACATGTCGTGGGAGGGACCCAGTGGGAGGTAATTGAATCATGGGGGTGGGCTTTTCCCATGCTGTTCTCATGATAGTGAATAAGTCTTATGAGATCTGATGGTTTTACAAAGGGGAGTTTCCCTGCACATGTCCTCTTGCCTACCACCATGTAAGACGTGGCTTTGCTTCTCCTTTGCCTTCTTCCATGATTGTGAGGCCTCCCCAGCCATGTGTAACTGTGAACCCATTAGATCTCTTTTCTTTATAAATTACCCAGTCGGCCGGGTATGGTTGCTCACACCTGTAATCCCAGCACTTTGGGAGGCCGAGGCGGGTAGATCATTTGAGGTCAGGAGTTTGAGACCAGCCTGGCCAACATGGTGAAACCCCCTATCTACTAAAAATATAAAAATTAAGCAGGCATCGTGGTGGGCACCTGTAATCCCAGCTACTTGGGAGGCTGAGGCAGGAGAATCACTTGAACCTGGCAGGCGGAGATTGCAGTGAGCCGAGATTGTGCCACTGCACCCCAGCCTGGGTGACAGAGCAAGACTCCATCTCAAAAATAAATAAATAAATAAAGAAATAAATTATCCAGTCTTAGGTATTTCTTCATAGCGGTATGAAAATGAACAAATACAAGGAAACAACCTAAGTGTGCATCAGTGGTGGGTTGGATAAAGAAAGTATGTTATATACACCATGGAATACTATGCAGCCATAAAAAGGAATGAAATCGTGTCCTTTGCAGCCACATGGGTAGAGCTGGAGACTGTTGTCCTAAGTGAACTAACTGAGAAACAGAAAACCAAATCCTGCATGTTCTCACTTACAAGTGGGAGCTGAACAATGGGTACACTCGCATAGACATAAAGATGGAAATGATAGACACTGGGGACTATAAAAGGAGGGAGCGAGGGGCATGAGGGTAGGAAAACCACCCGTTGGATACAGCATTCACTATTTGGGTGATGAGTTGATGAGAAACCTAAACCTCAGCATCACACAGTATACCTATGTAACATGCCTGCACATGGACCCTGAACCTAAAATTGAAGAAAACAAAATATATTTTAAAAAGAATATTACAAAACAGCAAGGTAACTTGTTACACAGTATATGACATGTCACATTTTTAAAATGATATAAATGTTACATTAAATAAAGAAGGAGTGTTCTGAGACACTGCCACTGCGCAAACCTGGGCACTTTACAGACGTGCCAAGAGAAAGGGTTTGCATCACAGCCTGCCTGAAACTTTGGTGGAAGCACTGAGAAAGTTAGTGAGTAGACAGCTGTCCAGAGGAGGGGAGAGAGTGTTTCCTTTGGAGGAATAATGATTATTGCAGTCTTTTTCACCCCAGTGCCCATCTGTGCCCTCCTTTTTCATTTATTGACATGCCACTTTTGTGCCATGGGCGGTCACCCGTGAAGAAAAACATTTCACTTACACCAAGGGGAAGAAAACTTCAAATCCATTATTTCTTTTCAGTTTGGAAAGTTTAATCTGTGAGCATAGCTTGTGTTTGGAGCCTAAGATAATTGAGCTTCTTTCTCCTGCTAACTTTTTTATTTATGATACTTAAGAGGAGGTCAAGCTAGGCAGTTCAGCTTAGCTTTTGATGTGTGCCCAGGAGAGGGTGGGATGGGGGATGCAGCAAAAAGTAATAATAATGATACTAAGAAAAGAGGTCACTGTGTGTCAGTTACTATGTTTCTGTTTAATCCACATAACTAGTCTATGAATGAATAGGTCCTTTTGTTAGTAGCCTTCTTTACAGATGAGCAAATTGAGGCTCAGAGGTTTATTGACTTGCTCCAGGTTACCTGCAACCTTGTATTAATTTGCCAGGACTGCTGTACTGGATGGCTTCAACTCATCTCAGATTTCTAGAGCCTAGAAGTCTGAAACAAAGATGTTGGCAGACCACGCTCCTTCTGAAGAATCCTTCCTTGCCACTTTTAGCTTCCAGGTTCTGGTGTTTGGAGTGATACAGCTACAAGCTAGACATTCCTTGGCAGGTACATTTGGCTTGTAGCTGCATTACTCCAATCTCTGCCTCTGTCTTCACATGACCTTTGTCGTAATATGTTCTCAGGCTGCTACAAAGAATTGCCAGAGACTGGGCAACTTATGAAGGAAAGAGGTTTGACTCACACAGTTCTGCAGGGCTGGGGAGGCCTCAGAAAACCTACAATCATGGAGGAAGGGGAAGCAAACACATCCTTCTTCACGTGGTGGCAGGAAGGAGAAGTGCTGAGCAGAAGGGGGAAAAGCCCCTTATAAAACCATAGATCTCATGAGAACTCACTATCATGAGAACAGCATGAGGGTAACCACTCTCATGATTCAATTACCTCACACCGAGTCCCTTGCACGACACATGGGAATTGTGGGAACTACAAGTTGAGATTTGGGTGGGGACACAGCCAAACCGTATCAACCTTCTTCCCTCTGTGTATCTCTTTTTCCTCTTTTTCTTCTTCTTCTTCTTTTTTTTTTTAATTGAGATGGAGTCTCGCTATGTCGCCAGGCTAGAGTGTATTAGCGCAATCTTGGCTCACTGCAACCTCCACCTCCCGAGTTCAAGCGATTCTCCTGCCTCAGCCCCCCGAGTAGCTGGGATTACAGGAACGCACCACCACGTCCAGCTAATTTTTGTATTTTTAGTAGAGATGGGTTTCACCATGTTGGCCAGGATGGTCTCGATCTCCTTACCTCGTGATCTGCCCGCCTTGGCCTCCCAACCCTCTGTGTATCTCTGTATATTCCCCTCTCCTTATAAGGACACCAGCCACTGGATTCATCCTAATCTAGTATTTCTTCTTATGGCAGCAGGAAGAAGTGTTGAGCAAAAGGGGGAAAACCTCTTATAAAAGCATCAGATCTTGTGAGAACTCACTATTATAAGAACATCATGAGGGTAACTGCCCCCATGATTCAGTTACCTCCCACTGGGTCCCTCCCATGACATGTGGGGATTATGGGAATTAAAATTCAAGATGAGATTTTGGTGGGGACACAGCAAGACCGTATCAACCTTCTTCCCTCTGTGTGTGTCTGGGCATTCCCCTCTTCTTACAAAGACAGCAGCCATTGGATTCATCCTAATCTAGTAGACCTCATCTTAACTTAATTACATCAACAAGGACTACATTTCCAAATAAGATCACATTCTGAGGTTCTAGGTGGACATGTGCTTTGAAGGGACACCATGCAACCACTGCAAACTCTGTTCTGTCTGACTTCAGAGTCATGTTCTCTTCACTGCCTTTTACAGACTTGAGCATGGAGGGTCTTTGATAGAGGCATGCCCAGGCTGGAGGAACGAAGCGAAATGGGGGGCAAACTAGATCTGTGAGCTGGGAGAAAATTCCACCAGGAGGGTGATGTTTGGCTTTGTTGATGTTCTTTATGTTATTTGGCATGTAAACTTTCTTGATGGTGGTGTCTTCATTGGGGGTTATACCTTTTATCAAAATCAAATAATCTTCCGGCCCACTAAATGATTTTTGTTTCTCTATCCTCTGGATAGTAACCTGGATAGTTCATATTTTCTCTTTTTGTTTTCCCAATATATCTTGGGGCATCTTTTAATTTGTCTGGGTTACTGGGTTATATGCATGCTTTGTACAAATGTATAGAGTAGCATTTTCTGCCCCATTGTGAGCTTTTTGCCTTTGGATCAGAGAGAGAGGGAGTATTGGAGGGAGGGAGGTCTCTGAGGTTGTGGAAGAGACAGGGGACCAGAGTCCAGGATAATGAGATGGGCACAAGGGACTTTATTCATTCTGGGCTCAGTGTGAGGCCTTTGGTGTATGTTCTGTCCTTTCATCTTCATGGTTTCCCTGTGCAGTAAGTGTGATTGTCCCCATCTGACTGCGTTGGAAACTGAGGCTTCAAGAAGTGCTAAGGAGCTTCCTCTGTGGTCACGTGGCTCATTTGTGGCATAGGGGATTATGTCACTATGCCATCCTACCTCTACTTTCCACCTTCACCAAGAGAGGAATCAGGGGATGAGGGTAGGCGTGAAAAAGATCAAGATTAGGACATTGACCTATGAAGACCCTCTTGGTTGCAAGTGACAGAAAACCCGTTTAACCTAGCTGAAGCACAGAAGGGAAGACGCAGAAATTTATTAGCGCTTATAACTGAGAAGTTCAGAGTTGCCTCTGGCTTTAGATAAGGCCACACTCAGGAGTTTAAGCAATGGGACTCTGCCCTCCAGTCTGTCCTGTAGACAGGCTGTCTCCAGTGTGATAGATAAGACAGCAGTAGATTTTCACCCCTGGAGAAAGAGGGTTTTCCTTGACAGTTCCCTTAGAGATGTCCTAGGAAAGTCTCTGGTTTGGTTTGAGGCACATGCCTGTCTGAACCCATCCCAGGGGATGGGGGCCTACAGTTGGTGACTGGGCTGGTCTGCATCACATGCCCACTTGGAGGAAGTAGTAGGGTCACCCTGATCCCCATGGGTTGGGGTTCACACAGAGAAGAGGGGATTGGTTTCCATGAGGAGGAGAATGGGATGCTGGACAGATGAGAACCACAGATGCCCAGAGATTGTAGTGGTCTCTCCAGGAGACTAGATAGTTTCAGCACAGAAATGCATAAAGGCAAGGAAAAGCAGGAACCATGGGACCAGCTATTGGGAATGCCCAAAGTTGCCAGGTTTGAGGAGCTGTCAGAGGTAGAAGAAACCAAAAGCGGGCCCAGTTGAAATAAACACAGTGTTATTCAACAATGTTAAGTACCAGGGGCAACTCCAGACACCAACTCTGGGCACTCTCTAGTCTAAGACTGTGATCCTGATGGAAGGTTTCTCAGTCAGCCCAGGTGAGGTGGTAGGATCACTTGAGGCCAGGAGTTGGAGACCAACCTGGCTAACATAGTGAGACTGTTTCTATAATTTTTTTAAAGAATGTCATTTAGCTAGAAGGATTTGGCTTACTTTAATTTCAACTCATGTGCAGACAGGAAAATAGCCCATTTCCTGGAATCTGCAAACATCCAGATGCATGAGCCAGAGAAAGGAATTTCAAAACGGCTGCTGCATCTTTCACTGGATTTGTTTCTCATGTGCTATGATGTCCCAGAGAGTGCAGCAGGATCCATGGGCGGCTTCTCCATCCAGCTCTAATGAGCATCATGTAGAAAGGCATCATCCCTTATTATTTGTTATCTCTGACACCTCTCACTTTTTCCTTTGTGATCATATCACTGAATTGAGCCCTCTCTGAAGTCTACTGCAGTAGCAACGTGCCCCTGTTTCCTTAACGCTGGAAAATCGTGTTGGTTTTGAATTTGGGAGACAATGATATATATTTCCAGATATCAGAAAAATCCATTTTGACCTAACCACCTCCCAGTGTGGGAACAATTTATGGTTTTCTACTTGATGTTTTGAAAATTCATTTGGAAATAGAAAAAGTGACCCATAGATTTCAGGTTAGTGTCGTGGGATGAAGATGAGCTCACCTGCTGGAGACAATTCTCTTCTGGAAAAAATCCGATTCCCTCTCATCCCTACTAGGGCCCAGGTCACAGGTTGCTTCTATGTGTTAACTCTTTCTTCCTCAATGTTCTCCAAGCCTCTCCTTGCTGATCAATGACAACGCCACCCCCTTGGGCTCCTGTGCCATCCCTGAATCTTGCTTTCATGGGGACAAATCCTACAAGCATCCACATGCTTAAGGACGCTGCATGAAATCCCAAAACCCATTCAGTGTGATGCTTTCTTTTGTGAACGAAAAAGCTCAGACAAAAGCATGTTCATCCTAATGACGACTGGCAGGTTTGTGCCTCCTGACGACGAGAGCCACTCTGCAGCCCACCTTATTTCCAGTGCAGTTTAGCAAACATCTGGGGTTTGAGATGCAACCAGATGGGAACCTTTTAGCCTGGTGGGAGAAGAAGTAATCGAATTTACACAGCAGAATGAAGGAACAGCAGTGAAGGAAGAGTAGCAATGCAGAGAGAGAAGGGAAAAGGAGAGGGCCATGTTATTCTTTGCCCCCGCAAGGCTAGCCCAGCATTTAGCACTGTGTCAGGCACATAGCAGATGCCCATTCCGTATTTGTTGAATGAGTGAATGGAAGGGCTTCTGCCTGTTTAGACAACCAGTGTGTGTATGTTCCAAAAGGAAAATCCTGCATAAGGGCAGAGGAGGGAGGAATATTGTGCAGATGGGTTGAGGGCTGAAGAATGTCCTCAGGACATCCTGAGTCCTATGGACTCAGGACTGGGGTCCATCTCAAGGGAGGGCTGTGGGTGGGGGGATGTCTGCTTCTATGGGGAGGGTCAGGTTTCAGGTGAAGCAGATATGGTAGGGGGAGGTTACTGAGAAAAGGCTAAAGCCTCAGAGAAGTTACCTGCTGTGGGAAGGTCTCAGAGGCTACCTGGAAATGGTTTGCCAGGAGGAAAGGGATGGAGAATTCGCTAGGAGGGAAGGAGTGCTAGGCAATGTGGGGGTGAAGGCTCAAGAAAGGACCGAAGGCAGGAGGGGTTCTGAGAGTGAGCAGGACATATAGAGGGTGGTGGCTTAGCTGGGGGATCTGCTCAGAGCCAAGGTGGGACCAGAACACATGCCCCACTGCCACTCGTTTTTTAATTTTAGAGACAGGGTCTTGCTCTGTTACCCATGCAGGAGTGCCATGGTGTGATCATAGCTCGTGGTAACCTCAAACTCCTAGGGTCAAGTGATCCTCCTGCCTCAGCCCCCCCCAAGTAGCTGGGACTGTAGGTGTGGGCCACCATGCCTGGCTAATTAAAAAAAAAATTTGTGTGTAGATGGAGTCTTGCTGTACACCTTTCCCAGGTTCTTTTCAAACTCCTAGGCTCAAGGGATCCTCTTGCTTCAGCGCTTGGATTACAGGCATGAACCACTGTGCCCAGCTCTCCCTGCTTTTATTTTATTTTTTTGTGGTTCAAATTTTTGTCTTGGTTTAATTATGTTGATTATATTGATTTTATTGTATTACAGCAACCTGCAAATTATTCTCATACCTACATAGAAATAAATAAAAATAATAGTTAAAAAAATAGTAGACTCTCCAAGCTTAGAAAGCCAGGCTGTCTTCTCTCTCTGGGAGTCAGCATCAGTGGACACTCAGGTAAGATTTAAAGAAAATCTATTCCAGATGATATGGTTTGGCTGTGTCCCCATCCAAATCTTATCTTAAATTGTAGTTTCTATATTCTCCACCTGTTGTGGGAGGGACCTGGTGGGAGGTAATTGAATCATGGGGGCAGTTACTCCCATGCTGCCGTTCTTGTGAGTGAGTTCTCATGAGATCTGATGTTTTTGTTTGTTTTGAGACAGAGTGTAGCTCTGTCACCCAGGCTGGAGTGTAGTGGTGAAGGGTGAAGCCAGCTGGACTTCCTGGGTCGAGTGGGGACTTGGAGAACTTTTCTGTCTTACAAAGGGATTGTAAAATGCACCCATCAGTGCTCTGTAGCTGCAAGAGGTTTGTAAAACGCACCATTCAGCACTCTGTAAAATAGACCAATCAACACTCTGTAAAATGGACCAATCAGCACTCTGTATAATGGACCAATCAGCAGGACATGGGCGGGGACAAATAAGGGAATAAAAGCTGGCGGCAGGGAAGCCCGCAGCTGCAACCGGCTCTGGTTCTTTTCGGTGCTGTGGAAGCTTTGTTTTTTCGCTCTTCACAGTAAATCTTGCTGCTGTATATTCTTTGGGTCCACGCCGCCTTTGAGATGTAACACTCATAACACTCACCCTGAAAGTCCGTGGCTTCATTCTTGAAGTCAGCGAGACCACGAACCCACCGGAAGGAACCAACTCTGGACACAGTGGCATGATCTCGGCTCTCTGCAGCCTCTGCCTCTTGGGTTCAAACGATTCTCCTGCCTCAGCCTCCCAAGTAGCTGGGACTACAGGTGTGTGCTAGCACACCCGGCTAAGTTTTGTATGTTTAGTAGAAACGGGTTTCACCATATTGGCCAGGCTGGTCTTGAACTCCAGACCTCAACTGATCCACCGGCCTCAGCACCCCAAAGTGCTGGGATTACAGGCGTGAGCCACCACACCAGGCTGAGATCTGACGGTTTTATAAGGGGCTTTTCCCCCTTCTGCTTGGCACTTCTCCTTAGTGCCACCATGTGAAGAAGGATGTGTTTGCTTTTCCCTCCGCCATGATTGTAAGTTTCCTGAGGCCTCCCAGCCCTGCAGAACTGTGAGTCTCTTAAACCACATTCCTTTATAAATTACCCAGTCTTGACTATGTCTTTAGTAGCAGCGCGAGAACAGACCAATACACCAAAGTATTTCCTTAAGAAGTTCTAGAGGCAGGGTTCTATAAGCTTTCATAGCTGGAAGATTCTCTTCTATGTAACTGCTGTTGTTTAAATTCATTTTCTTTCAGTCCTTGGTGGAGATGCTTTAAAATCATTGCATTTGTTTTTGTGAAAGGAAGTTCTGAGCTTTTTTTTTTTTCTTCCATAAGTGAGTTAACTGATGGGTATAAAAAACTTACAGGACTCAACTGGTGGGGTGGCATCCAAGGTGTTATGGGGCCTGAAGCTTACACAATTTTGGCTCCTTCTTTAAGAAAAATAATGCAAAATTCATAATACACAATTAGGTGCAAAAGTAAATATCTATTTTGGATGAGAAAAGAAATCATAACAAATTGCTAAGTTAAAGAAAGCCGACAAATACCGCAGAAATTACAAAATTCACAAAAATAATGTAAGGTTTTTATTAACTACCGAATACACCTTTCTGATCCTTTTTTTCCTACCTTCTTTGACTACATATTATTTGACTACCTCTTTATTATGACAGCAATTCGGAATAGCCTTTTCTATTAATAAAGAGAATAAAAAGGTAATTCATTCCTTCTTCCAGTATGGTTGGCTAATCCTTGCTTTTTTCTAAGAGTTGTAATTGAGAAAATTCACTTTAGCTTCATAACTCAATTTGCGTATTGTCATGTAAATTTTTAGGATTGTTGTAAAATCTGGACCAACCTCTCTCCACTTGCTATGTGAGCTGCAAGATTATCAGGCATTTCACATTTTCTTGTGGTCACTTGTATTAAATGTGGTTATGGACTGGATGTTAGTGTGTTCCCAAAATTCATATGTTGAAATTGTAACCTCCACAGTGTGATGGTATTAGGGGGTTGGGCCTTTGGGACATGATTAGGTCATAGGGTAAAGCTCTCAGGAATGGGACTGGTGCTTTTATAAAAGAGACCCCAAAAAGATCTCTCATCCATTTCTGTCATGTGAGGACACAGCAAAAAGACAGTATCTATGAACCAGGAAGTGAGCCCTCACCAAACACAGAATGTGCTGGTGCCTTGGTCTTCAACTCCCCAGCCTCCAGAATTGCAAGAAATAAATGTTTGTGGTTTAAGCCACCCAGTCTATGGTATTTTTGTTATGGCAGGCTGAACAGATTAAGACAAATATTCTTTGAATTGAGGACATTATGAAGTATTTGTGAAGCTATTTCTAGTTCCGGGCAGCTCAGCAATATATGGAAGACTGGAAACCATCATAAACACATCCCATAAAGCCAAACTAAATGCGTTCCCAACCTAAATTCCGCAAAGCCAAATCCTGAATAACTGTGTGCTCCCCCAGCCCCTACTTGGGGAGAACTATAACACAAGGAAAACTGGGCATTCAACTGATTGCAATAAAATATCTTGCGTTTGCAAATTTTACAGAAGCATATGATTGTGTGCACACATTACTAGGGCCCTTTCAAGGCCTTAGAAGGGGCCCATGTAATTGAAAGACCCTGAACTTAAGCCTCAATAGCTTCACAGTAAATCTTGCTCTGCCCACGTTGATTACTTCTGGAAGTGAATATTTACTAAATCCCCCTGGAGTGAAGGAACCCTGGGTGTTTTCTCTATTAGACCTTTTACATTTTTTTAAGTTTCATTGAAATAGGCATTAAGAATACTTGGCCCAAATGATAATTACATTTCCCTTACATCTGTGTAGTGGTTTGCCGTTTGCAAGAGTTCACAATGCTTTATTTTCTTTCCTCTCCACTCCAGCCCTGTGAGCCAGACAGGGCCAGTATTATTCCCGTTCGCAAATAAGGAAACACGCTCTGGGCTTGCCAGGGCTTTTTCCATCTGCCTCTCAGGAGGAGCCTTTGCCGCAGCAGGCTGTAGGTGTGATGAAGGGAGCATTGGGCACTAATCTGGAGACCCACGATCGATGCTAGCTCCAACATGAACTGGCTGTGAGTCTTGTGTTAGGCCTTCCTGAGCCTTGGTTTCCTCATTTGTAAAGGAGGGATTATCTCCTAGAGGGGCCTTGTTTTTGTTTTTTTTTTTCTTTTTTTGTTTGTTATGTTTTTGTTTGTTTGTTTGTTTTTTTGAGACAGGGTCTCACTCTTTGGCCCAGGCTGGAGTGCAGTGGTGGTGCGATCATGGGTTGCCAAAACCCTGACCTCCTGGGCTCAAGCCATCCTCCCATCTCAGCCTACTGAGTAGCTGGGACTACAGGCGCCTGCCACTACAACTGGCTAACGTTTTTGTATATTTTATAGAGACACGGAACTCCCCATGTTGCCCGGGCTAGTCTCGTACTCCTGGGCCCAAGTCAAGTGAAAGTGCTGGGATTACAGGCATGAGTTACTGCGTCCAGCTGCTTTTAAGTTCCTTTTTGTTTTGTTTTTTGAGACAAGGTCTCACTCTGTTGCTCAGGCTGGAGTGCCGTGGTGCAATCAGGCTTCACTGCATCCTCGACCTCCTGAGTTCAAGCGATCCTTTCACCCCAGCCTCTTGAGTAGCTGAGACTACAGGCATTGTGCCACCATGCCTGGCTAATTTTTGTATTTTTGTAGAGATGAGGTTTTGCCCTGTTTTCTGGGCTTGTCACAAACTCCTGGGCTCAAACAATTCTCCTGCCTTTACCTCCCAAAGTGCTGGGATTACAGGTGTGAGACACCACACCCGGCTGCTTTTAAGGTCCTTAAAGTGCTTAAGAAACACTTTTATCTACTAGATAAGAGGAGGGTTCCCACCTCCCTCTCGTCTCATAGCCAAATAGGAGTAAGAGGTGCCTTCACTCTCCTTATTTCTCTCGCTTCTGTTATCCATTTATAGTTAACCCTTTAACAATGCAGGGGTTAGAGGCACTGACCTTATAGTCAGACTGCGTGCAACTTCTGACTCCTCCAAAAGGTAACTACTAATAGCCTACTGTCAACTGAAAGCTTTACCAATAACATAAACCATCAATTAACACATATTTCGTATGTTATATGTATTATATGCTGTGTTCTTATAATCAAGAAGGCTACAGAAAATGAAATGTTATTAAGAAAATCCTAAGGAATGGCTAGGCATGGTGGCTAACGCCTGTAATCCCAGCACTTTGGGAGGCTGAGGCAGGCAGATCACCTGAGGTCAGGAGTTTGAGACCAGCCTGGCCAACATGGTGAAACCCCATCTCCACTAAAAACACAAAAATTAGCTGGGCGTGGTGGTGCGCACCTGTAGTCCCAGCTACTTGGGAGGCTGAGGCAGGAGAATCGCTTGAACCAGGGAGGCAGAGGTTGCAGTGAGCCGAGATCACACCACTTCACTCCAGACTGGTGACAGAGCGAGACTGTCTCAAAAAAAAAAAAAAAAAATTAGCTGGGCATGGTGGCACACACCTGTAGTCCCAGCTACTCGGGAGGCTGAGGCAGGAGAATCACTTGAACCCGTGGGGTGGAGGTTGCAGTGAGCCAAGATTGCACCACTGCACTCTAGCCTGGGCGACAGAGTGGGACTCCATCTCAAAAAAAAAAAAAAAAAAAAAAATCCAAACGAAGAGAAAATCCATGTGCTGTTCATTAAATAGAAGTGTATCGTCATAAAGGTCTTCATCCTCATCGTATTCATGTTGAGTAGGCTGAGCAGGAAAAGGGAGAGGAGAGTTGGTGTTGCTCAGTGGTGGCAGAGGCAGAAGGAAATCCATGTAGAAGTGGACCTGTGCAGTTCAAACCCACGGTTTTCAGGGGTTACCTGTCCTTTCTGGCATCATTCTGACATCCCATGAGTCTGTCTTTTCCTGACTATAAGCCCTGAGCGGGCTGGATCCTTGTGGAAATTAAGTATGTATGTGCTCCTCTGATTTCGGAAGCAGGTTGCAAACTTTCAGAGGTGTTTGAACATCCTGAGTCTCTCCAGGGTGGTCTTGCAGCATGCTCAGGGGCCCAATGTCAGTGCAGTGACCTTGCGTTTAGCTGGGTTCCTGGGCTGTGATTTTGCTTCCTCATTTTCTGCTTTGATGCGTGTGTTCATCTGGAAATCCAGAGGGTCCCAGAACTGGGTCAGGGCAGCACACATTGCTGGAGGAAGCCCAGCTAGAGAGTGCAGGAGAGGAGAGTTGGTTGATGCTGAGAAATATTTTTTTGCTGGATCCATTTCTTCTGATGAAGGTAGCCATTCCCTCGGGATTTTCTTTAGGTGATGTATTTAAAAGATCGCTGAAACATGATTTGGCTCATGTGCTTAAAAACCATCAACTACATAATTTAATGTGCCCATTTTATGTATGGGGAAATTGAGGTCTGGTGACGACAGGTCCAGGGTCAAACTGGACTCCTGATATCTTTTTAAATTTGACCCTTCAGCAGTACAGGGGTTGCAGGTACCAACTCTCACAGTCAAAATTTTGTGTGTGACTTTTGACTCCCCCAAAACTTATTTACAAATAGCTTAAGGTTAAAACTGGAGCATGTGTTTAAGGTTATTCCTCTCTGTGCAGGCATCATCTGACCACGTCTTTTTTTTTTTTTTTTTGCAATCCTTTTTTGTGCCTTGTTATCCCAATCATTATTGGGCATAATTAATAAGGAAATAATTGAATTAAAATATTCTGGAGATTTTGCTTTTATGTACATTTACTGGATCATACACGTAAATACAGAGATATATTTATATGTAGTTTGGTTTTTAAATTTTTGTCTTTCTTTTTCCTTTTTCAAGATTTTATGTTTTTCTCGTGATAAAGTTCACATAACATCAGATTCATGCCAGTGCTGTCACCTCATGCCTGTAATCCCAGCACTTTGGGAGGCCGAGGAGGGCGGATCACTTGAGGTCAGGAGTTTGAGACCAGCCTGGCCAACATGGTGAAACCCCATCTCTACTAAAAATATAAAAATTAGCCAGATGGACCGGGTGCAACGGCTCACACCTGTAATCCCAGCACTTTGGGAGGCCGAGGCAGGCGGTTGACCTGAGGTTGGGAGTTCGAGACCAGCCTGACCAAGATAGAGAAACCCCGTCTCTACTAAAAAAACAAAATTAGCCAGGCGTGGTAGCGCATGCCTGTAATCCCAGCTACTTGGGAGGCTGAGGCAGGAGTATTGCTTGAAAGGGGGAGGCGGAGGTTGTGGTGAGCCAAGATCGTGCCGTTGCATTCCAGCCTGGGCAACAAGAGCAAAACCCCGTCTCAAAAGAAAAAAAAAAAAAAGCCAGATGTGGTGGCACGCACCTGTAGTCCCAGCTATTCGGGAGGCTGAGGCAGGAGAATTGCTTGAACCCGTGAGGCGGAGGTTGCAGTGAGCTGACATAGCGCCACTGCACTCCAGCATGGGCAACGAAGCAAGACTGTCTCAAAAAAAACCAAAAACAAAAATCCATCAGGTTCATCATTTTAACCATTTTGAAGTGTACGATTCTGTGGATTTTAGTATATGCATGATAGCATGCAACCATCACTGCCATCTAATTCCAGAACATTATCATCACCCCAAAAAGAAACCGTGTACCTATTAGCAGTCAAATATATTGGTTTTGAAGATTTGCTAAATCATGGTGCCAAGAGTGTTTTATACATGTGTGTGAATGTGTGTGTCCTCTTGTAATGGGAAGACATCTTTCGCTTTATGACAAGAGTCTTTGGAAAGGTCTTTGTCCAGGCGGGATGCTCAGGAATATACTCATCTAGGGAGCTGCTCTGGATTGCGATGCCGTCTTGCAGGTGGCTGATGCTATAAAAATACATGCAGAAGGTCCTTTGGGAGGCCCTGAACAGAGGCTGTAGGAACCTTGGGGAGGGAGAATAGATGGCCCGGGGAGGCTACCCTGCTTTCTTAGTCCCTGTTGAGCCCAGGCCTGGCACAGCATTAAAGAGAGCTGGGCTGCAGAAAGAGGCTGTCTGTAAAACAGGCAGGGAGCCAAGGTCCTGGGTGGCTGGTCTATTAAAAGCTCCCTTGACAATTTCGACAAAAGCATCAGTATTGGCTGGTCCCATCCTGATGTGGATCCTTAGCTTCTGTGTCTGAAAATCCTCCCTGAAGTTCCATTTGCATGTATTATTCCATTCTCTATGATTCCCTGCTGTGGGTTACTGTTCTACAGACTCTTATGCTCAGACTCCAGAGAGCCGTGTTTGTTTATAAAAGGCGGTAATTGGAAACAGTGTGGTTAGAGAGACATAATATTGGACACAGACCTCATCTTGGCTCTCTGCCTCGCTCTGTGACCCTGGCGACATCACTCACCTTCTCCGAGCCTTGGTTTCCACATTGAGAAGTGAGTTGGAATAGTGGATCTAGAAGTAGTAATACCTTCTTCATAGGACTTATGTCAGGATTAAGTGAGATAATGCATGGAAATACTTTGGCATAGTGCTTGGTACCCAGCTTAAGTGCCCAATAAATGGTTACCAACAGAAATATACCCATGATTATTAATATATTAACCTTAATAAATTAATGTATCCATCCAGACTGAACTCCCAAATAGCCAATTTCCCCAACACCTTTTACGAAATAGCAGAGTCGTTAATTTGTAACACCTTCTACATCATATATTAATTTCTCTTTGGTTGGCCGGTGGACTCGGTTTTGTTCTGTGGATCTGTTTTTGATCATTTTATTAGAAACATTTAACTTTAATTATTATGTCTTTTAATTCTTGTTACATTCCTATTCTTCCAGAATTCTTAGGCATGATTTTGTTGGGTTGACCCCACGTTTTACTGGGGTTGTGATTAGAATCCAATTCCATGATAGCTAAATCTTGGTCTGTGAAAACTGTCTAACAATATTCAGTCATTTCATCTAGAAAGAGACTATATTTATTTATTGGTTTCAGTATTTTACATCTTTCTAAGTATTTATTGCCAGGGTTATTCCTGGACAGTTTTTATTTGTTAACGTTTTCACTGGCATTTTATCCCATTATTTGTTCTAATTGGTTTTTGCTTTAGGAGAGGGGTTGATTTTTAATTTTAATGTTATGCGTACCTTATATCCAATCGTATCACTGGATCTATATACTAATTTTCTGAGTTATTTTGATTATCTCTTGATTTTGAAGCATGTAATCATATAATTGAATATGCATCTAATAATTTTATCTGTTATGAACTTGATTTTCTCTAAATTTATCTTTTCGATTGTTTTAAATTTCTTGCATTTATTTATCAACCTAAAATTCTTTTCTGTTTTCTGGTGCATTAATTTCTGCTTTACTCTTATTTTCCCCTTCCCAGTTCTTTCTTTGTTTCTCAAACTGTTTCAACAGAGTGGTTGGTTCATTTATTTTTCATGGTTTAATAATAAAAATAATTAGGGCTGTTAATTTCTTTCTGGGAACATGTAACTCTGTTATGGATTATTTACATTTTAGATATTTTCAAGCTAGTTTATAACTGTAGATTTGATTTTCTTCTTGAACTAATAATTTTCCCAGTTCCCCTTCTGCAGTGGGATTCCGGGAGAGAGTAGTCAACAGCTGAATTAACAAGTCTAGAAAGCATTCCTAGAAAAGGTACCAGGCTGAGAAACGAACTGGCTTAGAGTAATGGGTTGCACCACAGGTAGGCAAGTGACAGAAAAACAAGAATACATAGGTTTTGCTGGACAGACATCAGGCACACCTTGGTTGGGTGTTCTAAGTGCTGGGCTGCAAAAGTCTATTAAGCATGTCAAGTCTGTATAGGCAATAGTTGATTAAAGGATTATTTTCAAATCCTCATGTTGTTTGGATTTGTTTTGTTGGACATCTTATTATATTCTTATTTTATTGTGCTGTAGTCTGAATGTGAACTGAGCATTTTTAACAGTTTTATTGAGCTATCATGGACATATAAAAATTGTATATATTCAAGATGTATTGATATATGCATACATTGCAAAATGACCACAATTAACCAAATTAACATATTCATTATCTCCACATAGGTACCATTTGGGAGAGGGAGAGAGAGAGAGAGAGACAGAGAGAGAGAGAGAGTGTGTGTGTGTGTGTGTGTGTGTGTGTGTGTGTGTGTGTGTGTTGGGCAGATTTAAGATCTATCCTCTTATTAAATTACAGTATACAATACAGTATTGTTAACTTTGTCATCATGCTGTACATTAGATCTTCAGAAATTGTTTGTCTAGTATAACCAAAACTTTGGACCATTTGACCCAAATCACCCCATTCTTCCCTCCCCCCATCCTCTGGAAATTAGCATCCTACCCTCTACTTTTATGAATTTGATATTTTTCAATATGTGAGATCATGCGGTACTTTTATTTCTGTCTCAGTCACTTCATTTAGCGTGATGTTCTCCACCTCCATCCATGTGGTCGCAAATGGCAGGATTTCCTTCTTGTTGAAGGGTGAATGCTATTCCATTGTGTATGTGTGTGTGTGTATACACACCCTGTTTTCTTTATCAATACATCTGCAAAAAGATAGTGAGATTATTTTTGTATCTTGGCCATTGTGAATAATACTGCAGCCGCTCAGTGTAGATATTTCTCAACATACTGATTTCAGTTCCTTTGGATATATATCTAAAATGGGATTGCTGGATCATGTGATAGTTCTATTTTTAATTTTTGGGGGGAACCACTATACTGTTTTCCATGATGTTTATGCTAATTTACAGTTCCCCCTGCAGTGTACAGGGTTTCCCTTTACTCCAAATCCTTACCAACCCTTACCTTGTCTTTTTGATAACAGCCATTCTAACAAGTGTGAGATAATATCTCATACTGGTTTTAATTTCCGTTTCCCTGAGAGTTGGTGACATTGTGCATTTTTTTCATATATCCATTGGCCATTTACATGTCATCTTTTGAAAAATGTCAATTCAGACCTTTTGCCCATTTTAAAATCAGATTATTTCTTTTTTGCTGTTGAGTTCCTTGCATATTCTGGATATTAATCCCTTATTAGATAAACATTTCTTGAAAGGCAGGTATAGTAGTGACAAACACAGTTTTTGTTTGTCTGAGGAGGACTTAATCTCCCCAACATTTTAAAAGGATAGCTTTGCAGGGTATAGTGTTTTAGGTTAGCAATTCTTCTTTCTTTCAGTCCTTTGAATATATTACTTCACTGTCCCCAAGCTTGTAAGGTTTCTGTGAAGAAACGTCCTGTTAGTTTCATGGTATTTTCTTTGAATGTGATGAGGCACTTTTCTCTTTCTGCTTTGAAAATTCTTTGTCTTTGGCCAGGCATGGTGGCTCACGCCTGTAATCCCAGCACTTTGGGAGGCCAAGATGGGTGGGTCACGAGGTCAGGAGATGGAGACCATCCTGGCTAACACGGTAAAACCCCGTCTCTACTAAAAATACAAAAAGAAATTAGCTGGGCATGGTGGCGGGTGCCTGTAGTCCCAGCTACTTGGGAGGCTGAGGCAGGAGAATGGTGTGAACCCGGGAGGTGGAGCTTGCAGTGAGCCGAGATCACAGCACTGCACTCCAGCCTGGGCAACAGAGCGAGACTCCGTCTCAAAAAAAAAAAAAATTCTTTGTCTTTGACTTTTTACAATGTAGTTAGGTTTCTCAGTATAGTCCACTTTATATTCAATATATTTGATGTTTTATATGATTTTTGAGACTGGATGTTTATTTCTCTTCCCAGTTTGAGAACTTTTGGTTATTATTTCTTTAAATAAGCTGGTTGCCCTTTTTGCTCTCTCTTCTTTCTGGAATGCTCACAATATGCATATTGTTTTGCTTGATGATGTCTCATAAGTCCTTTTTTTTTTTTTTTTTTTTTTTGAGATGGAGTCTTGCTCTGTCACCCAGGTTGGAGTGCAGTGGTGTGGTCTTGGCTCACTGCAACCTCTGCCTCCCAGGTTCAAGCAATTCTCATGCCTCAGCTTCCCAAGTAGCTGGGACTACAGGTGTGCACCACCATGCCTGGCTAATTTTTGTATTTTTAGTGGAAATGGAGTTTCACCATATTGGCCAGGCTGGCCTTGAACTCCTGACCTCAGGTAATCA